>NC_000002.12:89025295-89330679 GCF_000001405.40 Homo sapiens
TATTGTAGTTGCTTTATTTTTGTTCCTTTAATATTGGTCATTCTTCTAGTTTTTTTCCCAGGAGCTGTTAAACTGACAATTTTACATTTTTGATAATACAGTACCTCTCTTTAGATTATGGGTTTTTTAATTTTAATTTTAATTTTTTAGAAATAGGGTCTTACTCTTTCACCCAGGCTGGAGTATGGTGGTGTGATCATAGCTTGCTGCAGCCTCAACCTCTTGGGGTCCAGTGGTTCTCCAGCTTCATCCACCTGAGTAGCTGGGACTATAGGGGCATGCCATTACTCTCTGCTATTTTTTTTTTTTTAAATAGTAAGATATTTTGCCCACCCAGCCTGGTCTCGAACTCCTGGCATCCAGTGATCCTTCTGCCTCAGCCTCCCAAAGTACTGGGATTACAGGCTTGAGCCACCACGTCAGGCCTGGAATTTGTTTTGTTTTTCTGATCATTTTTTAATTTTCTTCTTAGTTACTTGGGTGAACTTACTGATAGTACCTGACTTATGATGCTTGGAGTTATAACTTTTTGACTTTCAGATGGTATGAATGTGATATGCATTCAAGTAGAAATAGAAATTCTAGTATTTATACAACTATTCTATTTTCTCTTTCAATATAGTATTCAATAAATGACATGAGGCATTCAACACTTTATTGGAAGATAAGCTTTGTGTAAGATAATGTCGCCCAAGTGTAAGCTAATGTAAGTGTTTTCAGCACATTTAGGATAGGATAGGCTGAGCTATAATGTTAAGTGGATTAGATGTATTAAATGCATGTTCATTGCATGATATTGAAAAATCTATCTCACGTGGTGTTTGACCACTGATATCACTGCTTCCTTTTATTCTTAATATTAATATTTAGTTTGAATTTATAGGAACTGCACATGTATCTGCATAGTGAAGTGGTCACCAATGATTTGAGACGTTTTGCTTAAATATCTAGAGGTTATAAATCTATCTTCTGTCAACCCATCTGTGTGTAGTTTAAAAAGCAAACTGCATGCAAAATGCAGCTAGTTCTTGAATCCTTCTGGTTTTACTTTGCACCGGAAACTCCTTGTTCTCATCACTCATATCTATATCTTCTAGGTCACTAGGAATGTGTGCAGAGATTATTTCAGCAATATGGGTCTATCTCATCCAGGAATCTGCTATTTACTATCAGCAGATGTACTACTTGCCTCAAACAGGTCATCATCTTGGACTTGTAAAGCTGTGAGATTTTTCTGTTCATTTCCTATGGAGTTCTGCATGTTTAGCTGGAAACACTGAATAATTTTTTTTCCACTCCTTGGCTTTACTCAAGTCCACCCACTTTGGCAGCAAGCTGCTAGTTTTTTTTGCTACGCTCATATTGGTAAAACTTCAGTTCTGTAATTCATGCTGATTGAGCTGGGGGTAGAAGGCTGCTGTCACAGGCAAAAGGCTACAGACATTTTCTGTCCTTACTCAAAGCACTGGTACTTTTTTTTTCTATAAAGAATATGCATCCTTAATTATTTTATACTTCACCAATTTTCAGAGTGCTGAAATAGTTTTGATACTTCAGCTTTATATTTAAATGTGTGTTTGTTGTTTATTTTTGCACCGAAGATTTATTAAACTCTTTGTGATGCCATAAACAGAGATGCCTTCTAAAATGCATTTAGTTGAACATAATAGCCACGGTGAAATGGTACGATGCAATGGACTAACATAAGTAATTTTGGACTTGACAACTTGAACTCCAAAATGGCCAAATAGAGCTGAGATGCTAACACTGAGTGGCCACCCCACTAGCTGTCTGTAAAGGAAGCAGCTGGTATAATAATCTAGTAAACACTGATGGTCTTGTTGGGGTTTTTGTTTCATGTGGAATCACTGTGGGAGGCCAGTTGCTACGCTGCTGACAGTAATAAACTGCAAAATCTTCAGGCTCTAGGCTGCTGATGGTGAGAGTGAAGTCTGTCCCAGACCCACTGCCACTGAACCTGGCTGGGATGCCAGTGGCCCTGTTGGATGCATCATAGATGAGGAGCCTGGGAGCCTGGCCAGGTTTCTGTTGGTACCAGGCTAAGTAGCTGCTAACACTCTGACTGGCCCTGCAGGAGAGGGTGGCTCTTTCCCCTGGAGACAAAGACAGGGTGGCTGGAGACTGTGTCAACACAATTTCTCCGGTGGTATCTGAAATTGGAAATAAAACAGAAATGCACTCATGTAATCAAGATCAAACCAACTGTCTTTGAGTAGAGCCAAAATTGTTGATATACTTTGAATTTTAATTATATTTCTTGCTGAGCAGAGGTGGCAAGAGTTTTCACTAATGTGCAAAACCACCTCATGTTCCCCTCACCTGGGAGCCAGAGTAGCAGGAGGAAGAGAAGCTGAGCTGGGGCTTCCATGGTTCCCTCTGGGTCCTAACTGAGCAGTTCCTCCCCAGGGCTCTGACACAGGCATTGATATGGGCTCTGGAAGGTAGGGCAGCTGGGAGGGACATGCAAAGCAGCTGGGTGGGAGCTGAGCTTCCAGCTGCAGAGACCACCTGCTTCTTCCTCTCTGCACTGAGCATCCTGCGCCACCCTGGTTGTCAGGCCAGAAAAGTCTGTTGGCTCAGTCTGAGTGTAGAACTTCTCCCTTGTGCTCAGAGAATTTCATTCCTATGTCTTTCTTCTCCTCAATCACCTAAATTCACCCAGATGATGTTTGGCACAAGCCTGTTAAGAACAATATAAAAGGCTGTGTTTTCATTTCTCTCTTCCTATCCTCAATATGCCCAGTCATCTCCCTAAGTGCATTATTGGATCGATGGAAATGAGGAGTCTGTTAGAACTTAATCTTCCAGATACACCTTTCATTTGCTTGTTAGTAATGTTTTCTGAGGGTCCTGAAACTTTCCATTAACCCAGACACATACCCTCTTTGAGTTAAAAAGTTAAAACTTCTGTTTACAGTCACATGTCCTGGCAGCCCTGACATAGATGCTCCATGGCTTGCCGATTGCTTGAAATTGACCAACTAACTTAACTTCCCTGTGTCTCAGTTTCCATATCTGTGTAACTGTGACAATACTGGTGCCTACCTTACAGTGCTGTAGACAGTTTAAAGAAAATAAGATAAAACATTTACAGTAGTACTCAGGACATTATGTATGCGGCAATTATTTTTGTTTTTATTGATTAAATATTTAGCACTACAGTCATCATCATTATCATAAATATACTTACTTGGCACAGAAAAGAGTCTTCAATCTAATCCAAGAATGTTTTATCAACAGTCAAATTAAATTCTAGGGCTTTTTCTTCACTAACTGTACACAACTCTTAAAATCCTAATGATTTGGTCTTAATCTGTGCTAAAATGCTCAGACCTTCAATCATTCCCGCCCATCTCTGTCTAACGCATTAATTCTCATCATCCATTATCAAAATGTTATCCTATGAAAGTTTCCCATGTCCTGCTGCTTTCCTTCTTTCTTACATAATCTTTAGTCTACCTTGTTATCTTTTGTCTTATTTTTGCCCCAGGACTGACAATAAGGAAAAGCTACCATCATTACTTGTGGACTTGCTCCAGTATAATTTTGTCAGGCTTGTTATCTTGGAAGTGAGGACTATGTCTTGCAAAGAAACATATTCATTGGGTCAATGTGTTATCAAATAAAAGATTTTATCTACTTATCATCCAATAATTAATTTAGACTGACTTGAACAGATTTTTTTTAAGGACGAAAAGGAGAAGATGATATAAGAGGAAAATACAATACAATATCAAATGCTAGCTATTATGACTCTTGCTTCATGGATTTTTACATATATATTAGACACATGGTGGGTATATGTGTGCAATGATGATCCAAAAACTGAATGCTGACTGGCATAAGGAATGCCTGCATTACACTGAGTCTTGTCTACTTTTCCAATTATGAACAGAAAGCTGCAGTAGTATTTGTATGAGTATCAAAACTTCTAGCTGCCTGAGATAGAGGTAGAGCAGATTTACTGAAATAAAAGCCTTGGAAGTAGGAGAGGTTCGTCCTGTGATGATATGGCTGTTGCTCTGGTTGCTGTTGTTAGGAAATACAGTGGGAGTGAAAGCAAGTAGAAGATTGACAAGCTCTGCTCTTCCTCATACTCACAACCCCCTCTAGAGATGGACAGATGCTGGTACAGGAATCTCTGACACCTCTAAGGAAGTCTCTTTGCTTTTTCCAGAATCTTTCCTGACAAGTATTGTATGAGTCACAGATGAGGTGGAAGTGGGTGTAGAAGAAAGGACTAGAGCGAGGGAAGAAGTTTTCAGTCCCAGGTAGTTGTTGTTGCCACGGGGAAACTGAATTTTTCAAAGATTTGTGCCACACTTCTATCGTGTTGGGGAGAGAGGCATCAAACCAGGCTCACTCCTGAGAGAATCATTACATTATTTTAGAGAGAAGGAACTGTAAATTTCTTGTCAAATAGATGTTTAAAATTCAAAGCTATCGAGACCATCCCGGCTAACAAGGTGAAACACCGTCTCTACTAAAAATACAAAAAATTAGCTGGGCGTGCTGGCGGGCACCTGTAGTCCCAGCTACTTGGGAGGCTGAGGCAGGAGAATGGCATGAACCCGGGAGGCAGAGCTTGCAGTGAGCGAGATCGCGCCACTGCACTCCAGCCTGGGCGACAGAGCGAGACTCTGTCTCAAAAATAAATAAATAAATAAATAAATAAATAAATAAATATAAAAACATTCAAAGCTACTGATTTTGTTGTTGTTGTTGTTGAGATGGAGTCTTGCTCTGTCACCCAGGCTGGAGTGCAGTTGCATGATCTTGGCTCACTCCGTTTCCCAGGTTCAAGCGATTCTCCTCCCTCAGCCTCCCAAGCAGCTGGGATTACAGGTGTGTGCCATCACACCTGGCTAAATTTTGTATTTTTAGTAGGGACGGAGTTTTGCCGTGTTGGTCAGGCTGGTCTCGAATTCCTGACCTCTGGTGATCTGCGCGCCTCGGTCTCCCAAAGTTCTGGGATTGCAAACATGAGCCACTGCCCCGGCCCTACTGATGTATTACTATTATTCATCTTCTTGAATACAGCAAGTGGTAAGGTGCAAATCCACAATTTAAACTTGAGATTTCTACTCCTATGTGAATTATACCAGTGAGGAACAGAAAAATTCTGTATTGTTTGGGAGATGATGTTTGACAGTGATCAGTTTGTGAAGCAGAGGATTATGTCACAATACGTTCCACGGTATTACATATAAAAATAACGAATGGCCTTAAACCCAGAAGAGTCTGCATTTCTCATGAGCCATACTACCACCAAGAAAGAATTGAATTGAAACTCGTGACTACTTGATGAAGGGTGTATAGGAAGAGGGAAAGAAAAAGGACACAAAACATAATATTGTAAATGGAAATGAGAAAGTCATTACACAGCCTATTAGAGTAAAAAAAATAAAGAGAGGCTAAATGAGTAACTTTTTGGCAACTAACTTGACAAAAGTGGTGCAATCTTCACCTCCTGGGTTCAAGCAATTCTTGTGACTCAGCCTCCCAAGTAGCTGGGATTAGAGGCGTGTACCACCACTTATGGCCCTTTTTTTTTTGCATTTTTAGTAGAGACATGGTTTCACCATGTTGGCCAGGCTGGTCTTGAACTCCTGACCTCAAACGATCTGCCCACCTCAGCCTCCGAAAGTGCTGGGATTACAGGTGTGAGCCACTGTGCCCGGCCTTAAAGCAGTATTTTCATTTAGTAAAGTGTAGAAGAAAAAACATAAATAAAGTGACAACAAGAAAACAAAATGCCATTATGAAAAATGGTAACTTTAGGGCAGAAAACAAGAAAAGGCAAACCAAGATTCTCATAAGGTAAGCCTCCAATCCACAATCCTAGGAGGAATGTCAATGCTGAAAACCCTGGAGCATCCAGGGAGTGGCCAAAAATACTAAATGCTGAAAACCCAGAGTACCCGAGTATCAGCCTATGAGTGTCCCCACACCAAATGCCAGGAAACCCTGGAATATCCAGGGGCTGACCAGTGCAGAAAATCCTGGAGCCTCAGTTGGGTGGCCAACAGTGAGCCCCAAAGGCCTGATTGGGACCACAGAACAATGTGACTCTGGCTTCTTACGGCCAACAGAACAGGAGAATTCTTACATCCAAGTGTCCTGCCTTAAACAATTGCACAAACACAATTAGCAGGGAGCCAAAGCCAAAACTGCAAAGCAAACACATATATCAGGGCAGAAAATAAGATAAAATGGCTGATGGATAAATAAAATGGCATTAGAGGAGAAATGACTAAGAGAAGGACCAAGGAGGATGTAGTCAGGTGTGCTATGGAGGACTTCAAATGGACTATCGAGTCAAAGGCCTTATTCCCTGGATCATCCAATATAGGTCAGGTGGGCAGAGGGGACACTTACAGGTGTGCAGGAGCCAAAATGGTGCCAAGCAGTCTCTAACGTGGGGCCTGCGTGAAAATCTCTCCAGGCTCCCCAGCTTGGGTGGGTTGGGCTCCTACGGGGAACTGGAGCACGGAGCGGCTGGCCTGCATGAAGCAGTGGCTCTGTGGCCACTTGCCCATCCCCAGGGCTCCACCGCCTGTCAGGAAAGATGATGGCTCTTAAAACAGCCTTTGGCTAGTGTTAACAGCTCTGCAATGTTAGCAACTCTGTAGCTTTGATCGCTGTAGCACTGATCACCGTCTCACCCTCTCTCACTGATCTCTGTCTTCCCAATTCTCCAATAGCTGTCCTGCTCATTGCTGACCGCTATGTCCATCTTCTCACAAAATCCCATCTCTTGCTGTCTCTTGTTGTCTTGCTTTCTCTGCTGTTTCTGCTGTCTCACTGCCACATCAGACGCTGCCTCTCACCATCTCTAGAGTTGAGTGGCTGGCTTAATCCTGATGCAAGGCAAGTTCTTGGATTTGCTCGGGAAAGAACGTTAGAGTAAGCCGGTGATTGAATAAAACAGCTTTATTGATGGGGCAGCAGTGTTACAGCTCTGTGACTAAGCCTGTGGAGCAGGCATAATTCATAGGCAGAGGGCCAAGAGTAGCAGCCAGGTGCAGTTTTACAGTCACATTTATACCCACTTTTAATCATGTGATAATTAAGGGGTGGGTTATCGAGAAATAGCTCGAAAATGGGTCGTGTTGCCCCAACTTCCCGGTGTTGCCATGGCAGGGCAGCAATTTCCAGGTGTTGCCATGGCAAGGCGCTGCGACTTCTGGATGTTGCTATGGCAATGGTAAACTGTCATGGTACTGGTGGGTATGTCTTACGGAGAGGTGTTTTCAGAATCCTATTCCTGTTTTGGCCAGCCTCACATCTGGTCCAGAGTGAAGTGCTGCCTACCTCTTACCTCAAAAGTAACAAGAAATCTGTAATAACAAGTTACCCAGAAAAAACTCCAAATTTTATTTGGTGGTTAGTGACATGGTACTTATCAAAATTACACAAACTTTCAAGGGAATAAAAAAAATACTCAGAATTATTATAGGAGGTCATAATGTCCTCCAGTCCAAAAATTAATGAGGACATAACAAAAAAAGGATATTAAAGGCTGGTATCTCTTATGAACATAGACACAAAAATCATAAGAAAAAATAAAAATGGAATCCATCTGTGTATCTACACATTTAGTGAACACACGTTGTAAAAAGTGTTACAGTTTTTACGATAAGAACTCTTGATAGGTAATTTTAATTTCTGAAAAATTTATATGAACTATAAGGTATGTTGGATCTCTTTCCCTAACTTAAAAAATATTTCCTCGCATTTAAATATTTTCCAATTTTTAATAACTTTTTATTACTTAGACTTTTAGTTGATATAAATAAGAAATGTGTATTAAAAGCCTACCATTTTGATTTAACCTATGAAACACATTTAAATTCTTGGAAAAATCCAAAAATACCTAGAAAAGTGAGCTCTTGCTAGAAGATACACAGTTCTTTAGTGTCAGGCTGAGATTATCTACCAGAAATAACTTTTGGCTCATGTAGCTTTCAGTACACTGCAAGAATAAAAGATGTGAAGACAACATTACTTAATTGGATTTGCAATTACTCACTATTCACTATTAACCAATTTTATTGAAAAAAAATGATTCCAATCAAATACTCTGATTTTAAATGTACTGTTGAACAAGTACACTCGTGTAAATGCCTCCAAAATCAATACACACAACATTTCTATAACTCCAAAAAGTTTTGTCCTGCTCTTCAGGAATCAACTTGCTTTCCACCTCACAGAACAGACCATCCTTGGTCAGCTTATTGTTAGTATAGATTTCACTTTCTTTTTAAGAATTTTACATAAATGGAATATAGCACGTGTTCTTTTGTGGCTGGTGACTTTCATGCAGCATAATTGTTTCCTAGGCTCATTCATGTCGCCCTGTGTCCTCATGATGTGTTACTCTTCACTTTTGGGTACTATTTAACTGTGTAGTAATTTCACAATGTATCCCACCACCTGCTGATAGATATGTGGGTTGTTTCCACTTTGGGCTATTATGGATAAAGCTACCAAGAATGGTATTATACATGGCTTTGCATGAATATTTCTTTATTTCTTTTAGGCAAATACCCAGGAGTGCAGTTACTGGGTCTTACAGCAAGTGTTTAATACTCCACCAAACTGTTTTCCAAAGTAGTTGTACCATTTTACATCTCAGCCCAGAATTGATGAGTGTTCTCAATGTTTCAGCTACTTGTTTTTAAGAATTTTTCTTAATCTTCACTCAACAGTGACCAGAATGGCTAATCATCATTAAGTCATGTTTTCCTTACAATTCTCTTGACTTTTATGGGTGCTTGACTTGTATTAGGATATTGAAAACAGGATCAATATTGTCTAAACCCCCTTTCAAACACTTTTCCTAAGTCATGATATTTAGGATGATAAGAGGAGATCTAAAGGGACTGCTGGTAGTAGTAACAGGCATTATTCAATATTTATTATCATACTCCATAAGGCAATACATTTTGAGTGAAATAGCATTCAATTAGACTCAGGATAAAAAGCTTCTAATCTCAGCTTTAGCATTAAATATTAGGAAACCTTTGAGAAAACAATCCAGGAAGACAAATCAGAGTGTTTTGCTAGTGGAGAAGTGCTGCAACACCTAAACCCTATTAATGCCAGATCTTTGCAGTGATTTCCACTCATAAAGTTGGGTTGACTCCTTGCCTTGTTCTCCTATGTGTCTGTGTGACTTCATGCTGAGGGGATGTGACATCACAGAGGGAGAAGTGCACTTGTGTACAGAAACATGGCTTAGGAGATTGGCTTTGGAGGTGGCTGCAATGAAATATACGTTTTGAAGAAGTTCCCTATGAAATGTCTTATAAACTGTTTCTTCTGGCCAGGTGCTCGGGCTCACACCTGTAATCTCAGCACTTTCAGTGACCAAGGAGAAAGGATCAGGATCATGTAAGGCCAAGAATTTGATGCAAGCCTGGGCAACATAGGGAGACCCCATGTCTACAACACACACACACACACACACACACACACAATTTGTGAACAATGTCATCACAAAGTGATTATTTATGAACATTTGCTCAGAAAAGTAGAAAATAAAACAATGTCTTCTGAGCTAACAATACTATAATAAAGACGTTAGTTATTTAACTATAGTAAATACAGAGAATATAAGATTGTCTATCTTAACCATACTTGAGAGTGCAGAGAAGTGGCATTAAGTATATTCACATGTTCTGCCATTATTACTGACATAATCAGTAAAAATCTTTTCATCTTATAAAAATTAATATGTATACCCCTTAAACAATACTCCACCCATTTTCTCTATCCCTACCTCCAGCAACCTCCATTGCAGTTCTGTCTTTATGTCAATGACATGTTTGAAGCAACTTCGCTGTGCACTGGTTACCAACGTACTTGAGCGTGGGGGAAGAGAACACCCCCCACAGCAAGTTACATGAAGTGGGTTTATTATTACAGATAAGCAGCAAGGGAACACAAAATTCTTGGACTCATTATGGGTCAGTCCCCCAAGGCACAGGAAAGCTATGTGGAGCTGATGGAGTTGACTATGTGTACCCCACATACACCACAGTGCAGGAACTCAGGAAAGCAGCCACTCTGGGTTTTGTATCCTGGGGTAAAAAGACACACAGGGCTGAAGTGCTAATGGACATTCTATTCTATGGGAAACTGGTATAGAGGACAGGTAGGTTGTTCTGCTCAGTTCCTGTCTATCTCAGGATGTTACAATTCCAGCACGTTCTGCAATTGTACTTGAGAACTCTTAAAATAAGCAAGAAAGTGGAGAGAACTAAGTCAGTCCAGGGTCATTGCAGAACGGTCTTGCAGTTATCTCATCCCCCTTAGCAAAGCTAGCATACTTCATATGCCCACCAACTTCCCCTGAACTGGAGGCAGAGGTTTATCTTTTCAGATTGATGAAGCACCTTGACTTACACAATCTCAATGCAGATTATGAAGCCATAGTGAGAGTACATTTCACTGGGCCATGAAAAGCTAGTACCACTGGTAGGAGGATAAAACTCCCCAAGCAGTGACTAAGATGTTAAGAGGTGAAAGGGGGATCTTTTGATGTCCTATTGTCTGCAGCCAGTGAGCCTGCTTTATGATCACCCCTACTTGTATTTCTAGGATATCTGAGGTGTTTATCCAGGTACAGCAGCCAGTGTTGGGTGTTGGTAATTGCATGGAAAGTCCATTTGTTTCCATGAGAGTGTGCCCATTGTTATGTTGATTGGGCAGTGAGGCTGTTTCTTGGTCAGAGTGAAGTCTCATGGAATATCCAAAAACATGACATAAATTCCTCTCAAGGGTGGCCATGGTAGCCCCAGCATCTAATAGAGTGACATATATTTAGCTGTCCAGGAAGCAAGCTATTGCCATAGTCCTTTTCTCCACTCATGAGATCCTTTAATAGTTCAGTCACTCAGTTGCTATTTTCCTGACCAGACAGCTGGGCTGTTGGCAATGGCCCATGATTTAGTGGAAATGGAGCAAAATATAGTGTTGGGGGCAGCCTGCATGGCTACTATCATTTCATGTAGTTTGTCCCATTGGGCAGAATGACCATGTTCAGTGTCAGTCAAAAGATGCCATCCCCTGGCTGGATGGTGGCTGCACCCAGTGGATCCACTGGCATGTGTTTTGTACAATCATCAGGGCCCCATGCCATACTGACACAGGCATGTCTCTGAATCTTTGGCTCTATGTGGCCAAAGGAGAAGCTAAATTGTCCCCTATGGGCCATTTGTTCCCTTCTAGCAAGCTTGCCATTTATTCATGGGGCACATGGGTCCTGTGGGATCCTGGTTAGGGCTGATTCTGACTGTATCATTTCCACTTAATGATTTGGATCTGTTGGGCCTGTCCAGTTTTATTGATTGTGTTTGTAGGTACCAAAGTGAGAATGGTTAGTTAAGGTCGCAGCATCCTGCCTGGTGCTCTAGCTCTGAGATACTCAGCCCCTATCAGTTTCCTACAGCAAGCAAGGAGCTGCCATTCAAAAGAGGCACAACTGTTGGCTGCTTCAGGAAATTTTGTGTCCAAAATCTGAGTCTGGTGCACCCAGTGACAGTAGAATCACCTGACATCAGATGTTAGTCTGAGCCCTGATGTGTGATACAATGTGAAGGGTTCAGGAGGGGTCATTCTTCTTGGCAAATTAGGTGTTCAGAAGAGCCAGTAGCACTCTAAATCTCGGTTGGGGGAAACTCAAATTATTGAGTCCCCACAGAGACCTCCATAACATTGGTTCATGAGACTCCCAGGGAAAGCTGGGAAAGATGACTGACTGAAGTCCATGTGTTGAATCATTCTCATTATTAAAAGCCCCTGCTCATTAATGGCATTTCGATTAGCATCCACTTGGAAAGCATTTTTTTTTTTGGATTATGGCTCATTTTAAAAACATCTAGTCATAGCTCTTCCACAATGACTTTGTCTGTAATCATCCTGTTGCATTTCTTTTAAGGCCTGATGATCTGTCAAAACCAACAGCCAATATTATTAAAATGTTATTCTCTTTGCAATGTGATCATCAGACATAGGCCTTGCAGTTTACCCACTGTTTTGATTTTTACATTTCCAGGGCTTCCTTGACAATGGCACTGATGTGACTCCATCCAGCATCCATTGTTGTGAGAACTCTATTTGGCATATCATCATTGTGGGCATGAACATAATGGAGACTTTCATAGGATGCAATGATTAATATTCAACATTAGTCAAAATTTCTTCTAGTCCTACCCTTGGAGCTCTACTGGGTTGGAAAATATTTTCGGACAAGGACAATCATTTGGTAGAGTTTTAAAAATAAAGGCTACAAATAAATTTTCCATAGCAAGAGTATGAACTATGTGTGGTCCAGAATACAATTTTTTATGGAATGTAACAAAAATTATTTAAATGTATTCAATTTAGATAATAATTTTACAAATAGGCATATATTGCATATATAATAGAATTAACACACTTAAGTATGAGTACTATATATATAGCCAACATTTTATCAAATAATATATTGACTTGTATGTATCTTACATACATGTATGCACATTTTCCCATAAATATGGTAAATTTTAATTTTTTATTGAAATATTAGTTTTAATTTTGTCATTAATTTTCTAAGTTTATAATTTGATTACTAAATATTTACATTTATGCCACTAATTTAAGAAAAAATACATGTGTGTATATATAGGTAGAGGTGTAAATACTGTATCAGGAAGCTTTTATGCATTAATGATTGGTAACTGGCTAAATACACAACTCAGTGACAGAAAATAGTAAACATTTGTTTTCATGTTCATAGATGCTCACGTTCACAGTAATCTGGCTGATCAAGGAAGGGTTCAGGTGAGTGGTTTCTCTGCATGGCACTGAGCTTGTCTTCAGCCTACACATATCAACTGTCTGAGGACAAGGCTGAACAGCAGTGACTACCCATGACTCAAGATTCTTCTGGCAGGTCACAAGAGTGAACAGCATCCCAAACCAAACTGCACAGTTGAGTTTAAGTCCAATAATTTCTAACATAGCTTCACACATTTCAAATATATTGCTTTATTTCAGTGAGTACAAATTTTTAAGAAAATGTTTACTCCATTTAATTATAGAGGTGTTTGATCATTCCATGGACAAATAATTATGTTTTCAACCTTTACAATATTGAAAATATTTGCAAATGTAAATTTGCATTAATAAGAAAATAAAGCTGGATGCGTTTTCAACATGTGGCTTTAAATATAATTTATTTAAATGGCCTCATGGGGGAAAATCATTTTAACTTACATAAATTCTCATTTTGTCTCTCTTGTTTCTTATAGAGTTGCCCAATAAGAAGTCCTCCCATGAGATTTGGAAGTCCGAAAAGGATGACTCAATATTCTCCATTGGTACCTAAGACAGACACAGGGACAGACATGAGGACTAGAGAAACACCTGAAAAGATGCTGTAGGAAGCTGAGAGCATCAGCACCCCCACCCCTAAGCTTCCAGACAGGACTGAGGACCATATGGTTAGAAAGCCCATACTTCAGAGGAAGATGCATTCTGTTGCCTGAGGGAGGATCAGAGATTCCTGCTTCTAATATCAGCTTTCATGACTACTATATCCTTGGCTTTGAAAGGTTGTAGTGGGAAACTTAATCTTAGGAATTTGGTCATTCTTGTCATACCCAACAGAGCAAAGAAACCAGTGGGGAAAGGCACTCAGGGTGCAAAATATTGTTTCTAGAATGCAATTGAAATAGGCCCTATTATCCCATGGAACTAATGTTTATGTTTTTTTGTATAAACATAGAAATTGACTCCCCCAGTCTTAAAACTCAAGATAGTTACATCTGTCTTATCTGAGTTTTTTTTTGTTTGTTTGTTTTTTCAGTAAACCAATGAACAGGCCTCCCAGATACTATCAAGGAGCTGAAACTTACATATCACTGAATCGGGACAGTGAGACATCAGAACCTTCACCCATTATGATTGCCTCACTGACCTCCTGCTTCCTGTTGACCAAATTATCTTCCTTACCCCTCCCTAATTCCTGTTTTCCCACATTTCTTCCCTGCTATATAAACTCCTAATTTCAGTTGGTCAGGGAGATACATTTGAGAATGGTATCACATCTCCTAGGCTGCAGCACCTGATTAAAGCCTGTTCCTTGGCAATGCTTGTTGTCTTAGTGATTGGCTTTCTGTGGGGTAAGCTGCAGAGTCTTCACTGAATCCCTGGCATTTCAGTAACAAAATTCTCTGCAACCTTCACTGCTTTGGCTTATTGTAACCTGAAATCAAATTTGTCCACAACTTCTGAGATAACTTGATATAATTCTAGGATTCATTTTGTCCACCACTGCTTACCAGTCTGAGCTTGCCAGCTCCCAACCCTTCCTAGTGCCAATGAACTTTCTCAAAGAGCCACAGGTAACATTTTCCCTTTTTCATAAAATGCTAATTTTCTCTTCGTTCTTCCAATATCTTGAAGACCACTGAGTTTTCCTGTATGCCCCACCTGGCAAATATTTCTTTGCAAATAAAACTTAAATTTAGAGATTCATCTCTACATTTTATTTTGACTTTAGTAGTTTACTTTAATTCTCTGTATTAAGACAATTCCTGCTTAGAATATCTATAGTGGCTTCTTCTGTGTTATATGAATTCAAGCTGAAGCCATAAACTAGACTCCTCAAGTGTCATGATCTCTGTATTTATCAAATCAGGAGATGCATTGCTATGTCTGTGCAGTTGGGGCTGAGAAAGAGAAAAGAATTAGGGTGCAGAGGCGATTTCACGTACCCCTCTACCAACACCATCAGAGTGTGGCTGCATCTGAGCAACACTCTCAGCCAATGGAGGCATCAGGAGGAGCAGCTGGGGCAGCCCAGCTTCACACATCTGCTTCCCTGGGGGTTTATGTTCGGGTTGGTAACACTGTGGGAGGGAAACTGTTAGCCTGTTGACAATAGTAAGTTGCAAAATCTTCAGGCTGCAGGCTGCTGATGGTGAGAGTGAAATCTGTCCCAGATCCACTGCCGCTGAACCTTGATGGGACCCCACTTTGCAAACTGGATGCAGCATAGATCAGGAGCTTAGGGGCTTTCCCTGGTTTCTGCTGATACCAGGCTAACCAGCTGCTAATACCCTGACTCGCCCGACAAGTGATGGTGACTCTGTCTCCTACAGATGCAGACACGGAAGATGGAGACTGGGTCATCTGGATGTCGCATCTGGAACCTGAGATTGGAAACATAAAAACAAATGTCCACACAATTAATCATGCTGTAAGAGAAGTTCCCTGAATAGTAAAGCAGTACTCAGCACACTGACCGAGTATAATCCTAGTGTTCTCCTTTCTTACCTGGGAACCAGAGCAGCAGGAGCCCCAGGAGCTGAGCGGGGACCCTCATGTCCATGCTGTGTCCTGACTGGGTCTGACTCCTGCACAGGGTGTGATCAGCCTGTTAATAAGTCTTCAGGTCAGGAGACTGTGCTCTGGGAACATGCAAATGAGCAGGGGATGGGGCAGGCTGGGCGCAGCTGCAGGGCTGGCTCATCTCAGTAACTCAGCACCAGCTCAGTGTCCCCAGGTGTCCCAGGTAAGACCAGGGTAGCACAAATTTGTCTGCAGAGAATGTGTTTCTACTGGGAACTATTTTGTTGTGAGTAACATTTTTTGGTTTCTTTTTGACGATTTGAAATATTCCTCAGGAGTTGATGGACTAATGTATTTCATTGGTGTATGGGGATTATTTAGGAGAATATTGTTGTTTGTAGGAAACACATAGTAAAATGTTAGACGGTACAATTCTCAAGTCTTCAAAAGACTCTTATATGATTCCGGCTAGGGAAGGGGGTATTTGTCGTATACATGCAACATTTCTGTGAGTTTAACATTGTTCCTATGTAAAAAAATTAAAAATAAAATTTATTGACATGATGGTACATACATTTGTAAGTATCAGGTAATGGTGTTATGCCATTGTTCTTACCAGTATGAGATCAAACTATGTACTATAGATACACAAAGATGATACCGTGTTTTCTCGATGCATGCAGCAGTCACAGATCCACAATTATCAAGAGCGACAGGTCTCTATAGTACTCAGACACTAAATGGGTTGCACCTTATTCTTGTTTTGGGCACCTTCATAGTCTACCTTCTTTTCTGCCATTCAGTATTATTTCCCAAAGTTCATCTCTCTTACTGAGGGTGACCACTGCATGGAGCATGTCCCTGCCATGCACCATCAATGACACTTTCCTCTTTTACTTTTTATCAGTGATTGGGGAAATCATCCTGACCCAGGCAACAGCCTCCCTGTTAACTGCTTTAGGAAAGAGACACTGAATCTCTTATCAAGCAGTTGCCTATGTACATGGAGAAATCACTTGGATCCAGATGAAACTGGACAGGGATTTGCACTCGTTATATCTCATATCTCTAATGTGCCCAAAAATGTCCCAGCCTGACTCAGTAGCAGGGAAAGTGGATCCAACTACATCAGCATCAGTGGGCTGCCACCTAGGACTCCACAAAATTTTACTGATGCCTGACTAGGGGAGCCAAATCACAGTGCTGCAGGCTGTGCACAAACCTTCCTGCTGTTTTTTAAGCTGCCTGAATTTTAAGGGAACTTGCTTATATTGGGAGAAAGGAAGAAAGCTCCATTTGTCCTCTAAATATTTGCTGAAAATGAATGGACAAAAGAAAGATTAATAAGAGAAAAGACAAACAAAATTCATTTGAAGTGCAGCAGAATATCATAGCAGGGTGATTACCCAGATAACTCAATGGGATACAGTTGTTTATATTTCTTTTCTAAGGAAGAGGGAATTGAGAAGTGTAGGCAACCTGGAAAGAATAGATGAGAACAGAAGTGCATCCTCAAAAGAACAGGTCATAGCCTGTCTGGATAAAGCATCAACTTCAGTCTCTTGTATTTTAGATTCCTCTTTTGTGTTAATATTCCCTGATGTAAAAATTCTCAGGAAGAATTTTTTTGACAATTGGTTTCCTTCTGGAGAATCTGCTATTATGCAGATAAGGGACATTTAGGAAAAGTCTTTTTGTGCATTTGGTGCTTTCTAAATGTCTTTGGTTTTACATAATCATCATACCAGTGCAGCGTAGTTTGAGATGTTATTTTCTGGATTCCTTTACTTGCAACCCACCTGCCAAGATCCTGTTCCAGAGAGATGCAGCTACAGATTGAATGAGCAGTTGACCCTTGAACAACATGGAGGTTTGGGCACTGACCATGGGTGCAGATGAAAACCTGTGTAGAACTTTTGCATTTCTAACTCCAGGCATCATCTTGAAAGTGGAGAAAGCAGACCTTAACCTGCCCATGTCTTGATCTTTAATTTCCCATTCTCCAGAACTGTAAGAAAATAAATTTCTGTTCCTTATGAATTACATAGTGACAATGAATCTGTTATAGCAGCTTGAAATAGAACAAGAGAGACAGCGCACAATCAGTGAGGACACGATGAGGTGTATACATACCCCAGCTTCCTCATCTCTCAGGTGGAATAGCCCAGAGGAACTTAGTCCATGTTTCCACATGTGGTTGATCTTTGGTTATCCTGAGTCAGGTAGGTTGTTGATGTGTCTTTTTCCATTCATCTTCTGTTCTCTTCCTCACTTTCCTCCTTTCCTCCCAGTGTAAATTTGCTGCCTAAACAGGGATCCTCATTGAGGGTGGACCCAAACTAAGATAGTTAAAAAAAAAAATTGTTAATCTTTTGTAAGAGGGGTATTTCTCATCTGAATTCTGATAATTTCTTTTTCTTTGACATGTAGGAATATTCAGGAGGCACTTAATTTTTTTTTTTTTTTTTACCAATCTGTTTTACATTCAATTTGTGAACTGATTTTGTTTTTCTGTGTGTTAAAACCAAAAATTAAGTTGTAAGCCACCAACCTGCTGAATGGACTCCTCTTTTGTAAAGAGCACTTCAAAGAAATTTGAAAAACTAGGTTAGGCCATGACTGGCAGGTGGGTTTAGATGTGCCTCATTATACTTTGGAGTTCAGACACAACTGACCAACATTGTCATTACAACAGAGATCTTTGGGCTGACAAAACAGACGCTTTGTAGCATTAAGATACCATATTCCAACATGACAGATAATAGGCCCTGAAGAAAATCTAAATATTTTACCTTAAAAATATTTCTTCATCATATTCTGAAGTGGTTCTGCAAAGCTGCCAGTTGTGGGGGAAATTTGCATTCTATAGAGAATCTCCTCCCCTTACTAAGTCTTTTTTAAAGTCTGACATTTTTTAAAGCTCTGATAAGCAACATTCACCTTGTACTTTATCTGCTACTGATAGGATTCATCTACATGACAAGAACCTTGGCTTCCACATCCCCTTTTCTACACTCAAGCATTTCTTTATGATGAATTCAACTCTTTAGACAGACCTTAACTCTTTCAACCAGTAGCCAGTAAGGAAAGCTTTGAATTCACCTATGACCTGGAAGCCCCTGCTTCAAGCTATCCCACCTTTCCAGGACAAACTAATGTATATCTTATATGTATTGATTTATGTCTTTCCCTGTATTTCTGTGTTTCCCTAAAGTGCTTAAAACCAATGTGTAATCCAACCGCCTTGGGCACATGTTTACAGGACCTTCTAAGGCTGTGTCACAGGCCATAAGCCTTATCTTTGGCAGAATAACCCTGTAAATTGATTGAGACCTGTCTCAGATACTGTTTTGTTTATACTGGGTCACAAAATTTAAAAATCCTCTAAAACTATCTACACATCAATAAATCTACATTAGAGACAGTGGAGTGAGCATACCCCAACAGATAAAACTCACAAGTTAGAGGAACCTGAGTCTAAGATTTTGTCCACCTCCCTTGATTCATAAAAATACTTCGTGATTTTTTAAATTTTACTTTAGAGAAGGACAATTTTGGGGAATATGTTTATGGTCGGTGGAATGAATAATGTCCCACCCCAAAGGATGTCCATGTCCTCATCTCTGGAACCCAAGTGTTATAGGAGTTTTTAAGAAATTATTTTAGGCAGATAGGAAAAGGGGTCCTTGGGAAGGTTTTGTTTCCTTTAAAGCAGCTCTAGAAACACTTCTTGTCTAGCCAGAAAGCCCTGGCTCTTAGAGCCAGGCTGGGAAGCTTTCCTATGCAAATCATAGCCATTAGAAACTGGATTCACCCAAACATGGTGATTCCCACCGTTTTCTTCCTTGTCAACACATGTGCCTGGGAAAAACCTGAAAGATGCTATAGGAAGCTGAGAGCAGCTGCAACCCCACCCTTAAGCTTTCAGACAGGACTGAGGACCACATGGTTAGATAGCCCATACTTCAGTGGCAGATGCATTCTATTTTCTGAGGGAGTACCAGAGAATCCTGCTTCTACTGTCAACCTGCCTGACTACTATATCCTTGGCTTTGAAAGGTTGTAGTGTAAAAGTTAATCATAGGAATTCGGTCATTCTTGACATACCCAACAGAGCCAAGAAACCAGGAGGGAAAACCACTCAGGGTGCAAAATATTGTCTGAAGAATGCAATTGAAATAGACCCTATTATCCCATGGAACTAATGTTTATGATTTTTTGAATAAACATAGAAACTGACTCCCCCAGTCTTAAAACTCAAGGTAGTTACATTTGTTAATCTGAGTTCTTTTTTCAGGAAACCAACCATCAGGCCTCTAGATACTATCAAGGAGCTGAAAGTTATATATCACTGAATGGGGACAGTGAGACATCAGACCCTTCACCCATTATGATTGCCTAACTGACCTCCAGCTTCCTGTTGACTAAATTATCTTCCTTACCCCTCTCTAATTCCTGTTTTCCACATTTCTTCCCTGCTATATAAACGCCTAATTTATTTTGTCAGGGAGATACATTTGAGAATGGTGTCCCGTCTCCTCGGCTGCAGCACCTGATTAAAGCCTGTTCTTTGACAACACTTGTTGTCTTAGTGATTGGCTTTCTGTGTGGTGAGCCGCAGGATCTATACTGAATCCCTGGCATTTCAGTAACAAAATTCTCTGCAAGCTTCACTGCTTTGGCTTATTGTAACCTGAAAGCAAATTTACCCACAACTTCTGAGATAACTTAATATAATTCTAGGATTCAGTTTGACCACCACTGCTTACCAGTCTGAGCTTGCCAGCTCCCAACCCTTACTACAGCCAACAAAATTTCTCAAAGAACAATAGGTAATAATTTCCCTTTTAATAAAACTCTTTGCTCTTCCAACATATTGAAGACCATTGAGTTTTCCTGTATGCCCCATTTGGCAAAAATTTCTTAGCAAATAAAACATTAAATTTATCTGTACATTTTATTTAGACTTCAATACTTTAGACTCTAATTCTATCTATTAAGACTATTCCTGCTTAGAATATCTATAATGGCTTCTTCTCTGTTATATGAATTCTAACCAAAGCCATAAACTAGACTCTTCAGGTGTCATGATCTCTATCTTTATTAAATCAGCAGAGGCATTGTAATGTCTGTGCAGCTGGGGCTGAGAAAAGAAAAAGAAATTGGGATGCAGAGGTGATCTCATATCCTCCTCTACCAACACCATCAGAGTGTGGCTGCATCTGAGGAACACTCTCAGCCAATGGAGGCATCAGGAGAAGCAGCTGGGGCGGCCCAGTCTCACACATCTGCTTCCCTGGGGGTTTATGTTCGGGTTTGTAACACTATGTGAGGGTAATTATTAAACTGTTGACAGTAATAAGTTGCAAAATCTTCAGGCTGCAGGCTGCTGATGGTGAGAGTGAAATCTGTCCCAGATCCACTGCCGCTGAACCTTGATGGGACCCCACTTTCCAAACTGGAGGCATCATAGATCAGGAGCTTAGGAGCTTTCCCTGGTTTCTGCTGATATCAGGCTAAAGCACTGCTAATGCCCTGACTTGCCCGGCAAGTGATGGTGACTCTGTCTCCTACAGATGCAGACAGGGAGGATGGAGACTGGGTCAACTGGATGGCACATCTGGCACCTGAGATTGGAAGCATAAACACAAATGGTCCACACAATTAATCATGTAGTAAGAGAATTTCCCTGAATAGCCAGGCTGTACTGAGCCCCCTGGGCTGAGTAAACTGCTAGTGTTCTCCTTCCTTACCTGGGAGCCAGAGCAGCAGAAGCCCCAGGAGCTGAGCGGGGACCCTCATGTCCATGCTGTGTCCTGAGTGGGTCTGACTCCTGCAAGAAGTGTGACCAGCCTATTAAGAAGTCTTCAGGGCAGGAGGTTGTGTTCTGGGAATATGCAAATGAGCAGAGGATGGGCAGGCTGGGCACAGCTGCAGGGCTGGCTCATCTCAGTAACTCAGCACCAGTTCAGTGTCCCCAGGTGTCCCAGGTAAGACCAGGGTAGCACAAATTTGTCTCCAGAGAATGTGTTTCTACTGGGAACTATTTTATTATGAGAGACATTTTTTAGGTTTTTTTTGACAATTTGAAATATTCCTCAGGAGTTGATGGAGTAATGTATTTCATTGGTGTATGGGGATTATTTAGGAGAATATTCTTGTTTGTAGGAAATATATAATAAAATGTTAGACGGTATGATTATCAGGTCTCCAAAAGACTCTCATATGATCCCGGTTAGGGAAGGGGTTACTTTGCCCTATACTTGGAACATTTCTGTGATTTTAACATTGTTCCTTTCTAAAAAAAATCAAAAATAAAATTTATTGACATGATGCTATATATACATGTCAGTATTCGGTAATGGTGTTATGCCATTGTTCTTACCACTATAAGATCAAGCAATTTACTACAGATCCACAGAGATGATGCCTATGTACATGGAGAAAGCAGTTTGATCCAGACAAAACTGGAAATGATTTGCAATCATTATATCGCACATATCTAATGTGCCCAAAACTGTCCCAGCCTAGCTCAGTAGCAGGGGAAGTGGATCCAACTATATTAGCATCAGTGGGCTGCAGCCTAGGGCTCCACAAAATTTTACTGATGCCTGAGTAGGGGAGCCAAATCACAGTGCCATAGCCCGTGCACAAACCTTCTTGCTGCTTTGTAAGCCGCCTGAATTTTAAGGGAACTTGCTTATATTGGGAGAAAGGAAGAAAACTCCATTTGTCCTCTAAATGTTTGCTGAAAATAAACTGACAAAAGGAAGATTAATAAGAGAAAAGGCAAACAAAATTCATTTAAAGTGCAGCAGGATATCATAGCAGGGTGATTACCCAAATAACTCAATAAGATCCAGTAGTTCATATTTCCTTTCCAGCGAAGACGGAATTCGGAAGTGTAGGCAATCTGGAGAGAATAGATGAGAACAGAAGTGCATCTTCAAAAGAACAGGTAATAGCCTGTCTGGATAAAGCATCAGTTCCCAGTCTCTTCTATTTTTGATTCCTGTTTTGTGTTAATCTTCCCTGATATAAAAATTCTCAGGAAGAAGTTTTTTGACAATTGGTTTCCTTCTGGAGAATCTGCTTTTTGGCAGATAAGCGATGTTTAGGAGAAGGCTTTTTGTGCATTTGCTGCTTTCTAAATGCCTTTGGTTTTATGTAATCCTCATACGAATGCAGCATAGTTTGAGATGTTATTTTCTGGATTCCTTTACTTACAACTCACCTACCAAGATCCTGTTCCAGAGAGATGCAGCTACAGACTGAAAGAGCAGTTGACCCCTGAACAATGTGGAGGTTGGGGCACTGACCACAGGTGCAGATGAAAACCTGTGTAGAACTTTTGCATTTCTAACTTAAGTACTAATAGCTTACTTTTGACTGCTAGCCTTAATGATAAAATAAATAGTTGATTAACACTTTTTTAAGTTATTTATATCATATACTCTATTATTCCAATAAACTATGCTAAAGAAAAAAATGTAATTAAGTAAATTATAAAAATGAGAAAATATATTTACTACTTATTAAGTACTTGCTTACAGGTGACACACACAGAAGAAAATACAAGTGGATCTGCAAATTTCAAACCCAATTTATTCAAGGGTTAACTGTACCAGGATGAATATAGGAGTCTCTATCTGTATTCTAGGGCTTTCTCTTTGCTGTACCTCTGCTCACTTCCAATGGCAATATACATGTCTTATGTTCTTTACAGTCTTGGGCAGAGAACTCTGCCTGCATGCATTGCTGACCAAATGACCTGGAATGTGTATCTCTTAGGAAAGTGCTATGGTTTCACTGTGTCCTCCAGAATCCATCTGTTGTAAAGTTAATTCTCAGTGTAATGGTATTGCCAATTGGGGCCTATTGGGATGTGTTTAGATCATGAGTGTGGTGCCCTCTAGTGGAATACATTAATGCCAGTATAAACAGCAATTGTGGGGCTGGGATCTCTCTCTCTTCTGCTTGTCTGTCATGTTAAGACATGGCCTTCCTTCCTTTGAAGGACCCCAAACTCCAGGCATCATCTTGAAAGCAAAGAAAGCAGACCTTAACCTGCCCATGCCTTGAACTTAAATTTCCCATTCTCCAGAAGTGTAAGAAAATAAATTTGTGTTCTTTATGAATTACTCAGTGAAAAGGAATCTGTTACAGCAGCTTGAAATAGAACAAGAGAGACAGCTCACAATCAGTGAGGACAGGATGAGGTGTATACATACTTCAGCTTCCTCATCTCTCAGGTGGAACAGCCCGGAGGAATTTAGTCCATGTTTCCACAGGTGGTTGATCTTCAGTTCTCCTGAGTCAGGTGGGTTGTTGATGCGTCTTTTACAATTCATCTTCTGTTCCCTTCCTCACTTTCCTCCTTTTCTCCCAGCGTAAATTTGCTGCCTAAACAGGAATCCTTATTGCAGGTGGACCCAAACTAAGACAGTTAAAAAAAAAAAAAAAAAAAAAATCGTTAATCTTTTGTATGAGGGGTATTTCTCATCTGAATTCTAATAATTTCTTTTTCTTTGACATGTAGGAATATTCAGGAAGCACTTAATTTTTCTTTACCAATCTATTTCAGATTGAATTTGTGCAGTGATTTTGTTTTTCTGTGTGTTAAAACCAAAAATTAAGTTGTAGGTCACCAACCTGCTGAATGGACTCCTCTTTTGACAGAAAGCACTTCAAAGAAATTTGGAAAACTAGATTAGGCCATGACTGGCAGGTTTAGATGTGCCTCATTATACTCTCCTCCCTTTGGAGTTCAGACACAACTGACCAGCATTATCATTACAACAGAGATCTCTGGACTGATGAAACAGATACTTTTTAGCAATAAGATACCATACTCCAATGTGACAGATAATAGGCCCTGGAGAAAATAAAAATATTTTATCCTAAAAATATTTCTTTGACATATTCTGAAGTGGCCCTGCAAAGCTACCTGTTGTGGGGGAAAATTGCATTCTATAGAGAATCTCCTCCCCTTACTAAGTCTTTTCCAAAGAGTCTGACATTTTTTTCTAAGGTCTGATAATCAACATTCACCATCTACTTTATTTACTACCCATAGGATTCATCTACATGACAAGAACCCCCCATTTTCTAGACTCAAGCATTTCTTTATGATGAATTCAACTCTTTAGGCAGAGCTTAACTCTTTCAACCAGTTGCCAATCAGGAAAGCTTTGAATCCACCTATGACCTGGAAACCCCTGCTTCAAGCTATCCCACCTTTCCAGGACAAACTTATGTGTATCTTATATGTACTGATTTATGTCTTTGCCTGTAATTTCTGTGTCTCCTAAAGTGTATAAAACCAACGTAAAATCCAACCACCTTAGGCATATGTTTGCAGGACCTCCTAAGGCTGTGTCACAGGCCATAAGCCATATATTTGGCAAAATAACCTGTAAATTGATTGAGACCTGCCTCAGATAGTGTTTTGCTTACACTAGGTCACAAAATTTTAAAATGCCTAAACCGCAGCAGCCCGGCATTCCTCCAGGACCTCCTCCCCCGGGATCTTGCTTCAAGTGCTGGAAATCTGGCCACTGGACCGAGGAATGCCCACAGCCTGGGATTCCTCCTAAGCCGTGTCCCATCTGTGCAGGACCCCACTGGAAATTGGACTGTCCAACTCTCCTGGCAGCCACTCCCAGAGCCACTGGAACTCTGGCCCAAGGCTCTCTGACTGACTCCTTCCCAGATCTTCTCAGCTTAGCTGCTGAAGACTGATGCTGCCCAATCGCCTTGGAAGCCTCCTGGACCATCACAGACACTTTGGGTAACTCTTACAGTGGAGAGTAAGTCCATCCCCTTCTTAATCAATGTGGAGTCTACCCACTCCACATTACCTTCTTTTCAACGACCTGTTTCCCTTGCCGCCATAACTGTTGTGGGTATTGACGGCCAGGCTTCTAAATCTCTTAAAACTCCCCAACTCTGTTGCGAACTTGGACAACATTCTTTTATGCACTCCTTTTTAGTTATCCTTACCTGCCCAGTTTCCTTATTAGGTCGAGACGTTTTAACAAAACTATCCACTTCCCTGACTATTCCTGGGCTACAGCCACACCTCATTGCCACCCTTTTCCTCACTTCAAAGCCTCCTTTGCATCCTCCCCTGTGTCTCCCTGCCTTAATCCACAAGTATGGGATACCTCTACTCCTTCCTTGGCAACTGATCATGCACCCCTTACCATCCCGTTAAAACCTAATCACTGTTACCACTAGAGCCTGTTATCACCCACCTGTTACAACATGGCCTCTTAAAGCCTACAAATTCTCCTTACTGAGGGAAGAGAGAGACCCTCTCATATTGTTTTATATTGTTTTATACTCAGTACCTGTTTTAAGAGTAAAAATCAAGGAAGTGAAATCAGAGACAGGCAGCCCGGCGCCAGGCCTGGGCCTGCCTGGCCTAAACCTAGTAGTTAAAAATCATCTCATGACTTAGCAACCAATGTTATCCATAGATTCCAAGCATTGTATGAAGAACATTGTGAAACTCCCTGTTCTGTTCTGTTTGACTCTGACTACCAGTGCATGAAGACCCTGTTACATAACCCCTAGATTGCTCAATCAATCACGACCCTTTCATGTAAAATCTTTAGTGTTGTGAGCCCTTAAAATGGACAGAAATTGTGCACTCAAGGAGCTCCGATTTTAAGACAGTAGCTTGCCGATGCTCCCAGCTGAATAAAGCCCTTCCTTCTACAACTCGGTGTCTGAGAGGTTTTGTCCATGGCTCATCCTGCTACATTACAACTCCCCTATCCTACCCATCCAGGAACCAGACAAATCTTACAGGTTGGTTCAGGATCTTTGCCTTATTAATCAAATCGTCTTTCCCATCCACCTTATAGTGCCAAACCTCTACACCCTCCTATCTTCAATACCCCCTTCCACAACTCACTATTTTGTTATTGACCTCAAAGTCACCTTCTTTACTATCCCCTTGTATCCCTCCTCTCAGCCTCTTTTTGCCTTTACTTGGACTGACCGTGACACCCACCAATCCCAACAACTCACCTGGACTGTTCTGCCCCAAGGCTTCAGGAACAGCCCACACTACTTTGGCCAGGCCCTTTCTCATGATCTGCTTTCTTTTCACCTGTCTGCCTCCCACCTTATTCAATATTTTGATGATCTTCTTCTTTGCAGTCCCTCTTACCAATCTTCCCAGCAGGACACTACCCTGCTTCTTCAACATCTCTATTTAAAGGGGTACCGAGTATCCCCCTCCAAGGCACAAATTTCTTCCCCTAGTGTTACCTATCTCGGTATAATCCTCCATCAGCATACACATGCCCTTCCTGCAGACTGTGCTCAGTTAATCTCCCAGACCCGAATCCCCACCACAAAACAACAACTCCTTTCCTTCTTAGGCATTGTTGGATATTTCCGACTCTGGATACCAGGCTTTGCTATCCTAACAAAACCACTTTACAAGCTCACAAAAGGTAACTTAACTGATCCCATAGACCCTAAGTTTTTTGCCCATTGTTCTTTTTGCTCTCTCAAAAAGGCCCTGGAGACAGCTCCCACACTAGCACTCCCCAACTCGTCCCATGCTTTTTCCTTACACACAGCTGAAATACAAGGCTGCGCTGCTGGAGTCCTCACACAGGAGCCAGGCCCATGACCTGTTGCCTTTCTATCAAAACAACTTGACCTCACAATTCTGGTGCAGCCCTCATATTTGCGTGCAGCAGCAGCTGCTGCTGTAATACTTCTGGAAGCCCTCAAAATCACAAGCTATGCTCCACTTACCCTCTACAGTTCTCACAACCTTCAAGCATTAATATCCTCCTCACACCTTTCACACTTACTGTCTGCCCCTCGACTCCTCCAGCTCTATTCATCTTTTATTGAAACCCCAACAGTAACTATTGGCCATGGGCACGATTTCAACCCAGCTTCTCAGTTAGTAACCAACACAAGTCCTGAACCACGTGACTGCATTTCCCTAATACACATAGGATCTTCCTCCTTTCCTCGTATTTCTATTCTTCGAATTCAAAATCCAGACCACCCAATCAATTTTCACCAGGTAAGCTGGATATGCTGTCATGTCCCACATCTCTATTATTGAAACTGCTGCACTTCCTCCCTCCACCACTTCCCAACAAGCCAAACTGATTGCTTTAACTCATGTGCTCTCTCTCGCTAAGGGAATGCACATTAACATTTATACTGACTCCAAATATGCTTTCCACATCTTCCATAACCATGCTGCCATCTGGGCTAAAAGAGGCTTCCTTACCACACAAACCTCTTCCATTATCTATGCCTCCCTAATAAAGGTCCTCCTTAAGGCTGCTCTCCTGCTGGCCAAGCCTGGAGTCATTCATTGTAAAGGACACCAGAAACCTACTCATCTTATTGCAAAAGGAAATGCCTATGCCGACAGGACAGCAAAAGAAATAGCCAATGCCTCCACACCCGCTAATATTCCAGCTCCCACTCCAGAGGACCAGTATTTTTCTTCCTTATCTATCACTACCACCTACTCTTTTGAAAGCCTGCTCTACTAGTCTTTTCCAACTCAGGGAAAGTGCTTCTTAAATCATGGAAAATTCATTCTTCCTGCCTCACAAGCTCAGTCCATGCTTTCTTTCCTTCATGACCACTTCCATGTGGGATACAAGCCTCTGGCTCGCCTCCTGCAGCCCCTCATCTCCTTCTCTTCATGGAAATCCATCCTTAAGACAGTCACCTCTCAATGCTCGTCTACCATGCCACCAGCCCCCAAGGCTTTCTCAGCCCTCCTCCTTTTCCTACGCATCAGGCTCATGGATTTACTCCAACACAAGATTGGCAGATTGACTTCACTCATATGCCCCATATCTGTAAATTTAAATATCTCCTGGTTTGGATTGACACCTTCACTGGGTGGGTTGAGGCATTTCCCACTATCTCTGAAAAGGCTACTGCAGTCATTTCTTCCCTTCTAACAGACATAATTCCCTGATTTGGCCTCCCTACTTCTATTCAATCTGACAATGGTTTGGCTTTTATTAGTCAAATCCTCCAAGCTGTCTCTCAAGCTCTTGATATTCAGTGGAAACTTCATACCCCCTACCATCCTCAGTCTTCAGGAAAGGTAGAAAGGAGTAATGGTCTTTTAAAAACACACCTCACCAAGCTCAGCTTCCAACTTAAAAGGGACTGGACAGTATTTCTACCACTTGCCCTTCTCAGAAGTAGAGCCTGACTTCAAGATGCTACAGGGTACAGTCCATTTCAACTTTTATATGGACTTACTTTCTTGCTTGGCCCCAACCTTGTTCCAGACACCAGCCCTCTGGACAACTATCTTCCAGTCCTCCAGCAGGCTAGACAGGAAATTCGCCCGACTGCTAATCTTCTCTTTCCTACTCCAGATTCCCAGCCATATGAAGACACCCTAGCTGAATGATCAGTTCTTGTTAAGAGTCTGAGCCCTCAAACTCTACAGCCTCGATGGACTGGACCCTACCTAGTCATCTATAGCACCCCAACTGCTGTCCATCTGCAGGACCCTCCCCATTGGGTTCACCATTCCAGAATAAAGCTGTGTCCATTGGACAGCAAGCCTGATCTCTCCTCTTCCTCCTGGAAGTTGCAAGTACTCTCCACTACTTCCCTTAAACTCACTCACATTTCTGAAAACAGTAATAACCCTTATGAACCTAATATGTTCCTTCATTCTATTAGGTCTATTCATCCTTACTCTACTTTTTGCAACAGGGCTTTACACAGTCACCCCCACTACTTGGACTGTGCCCCAAAACTTGTCATCCCTACTATCTTCTGTCTAGTCATACTCCTATTCACCATTCTCAACTACTCATAAATGCCCTGCTCTTGTTTATACTGCTGGTTTACACTGTTTCTCCAAACCATCACAGCTGATATCTCCTGGCCCTATTGCCAAACCACCACTCTTGACTTCCTCTTGGAGTGGATAGATGATCTTTGCTGGCAGGGCACACTCCAATATTTTCACCATGATGAAGTCCTATTCTTTATTTTTATACTCACTCTTATTCTCATTCCCATTCTTATGCCACCCTCTCCCTCTCCCCAACTATCTCCACTACACTATCAGTCTCACTCACTCTCTCCAAGCCATTTCTAATCCCTCCTTAGCGAACAATTGCTGGCTTTGCATTTCCCTTTCTTCCTGCGCTTACAAAGCTGTCCCTGCCTTACATACCTACTGGGCAACATCTCCTGTCTCCGTACATCTCCGAACTTCCTTTAACAGCCCTCACCTTTACCCTCCTGAAGAACTTCTTTACTTTCTAGACAGGTCCAGCAAGACCTCCCCAGACATTTCACATCAGAAAGCTGCTGCCCTTCTTCGCACTTACTTAAAAAACCTTTCTCCTTATATCAACTCTACTCCCCCCATATTTAGACCCCTCACAACACAAGCTGCTATTCCTGTGGCTGCTCCTTTATGTATCTCTCGGCAAAGACCCACTGGAATTCCCCTGGGTAACCTTGCATCTTCTCGATGTTCCTTCACTCTTGATCTCCAAAGCCCAGCTACACATACCACTGAAACAATTGTGGCTTTCCAGCTCCATATTACAGATAAGCCCTCTATCAGTACTGACAAACTTAAAAACATTAGCAGTTATTATTGCTTAGGAAGACATTACCCTGTATTTCACTCCATCCTTTGCTGCCTTCCCCTTGCTCTTCAGACTCTCCTCCCAGGCCCTCTTCTTGTTTGCTTATACCCAGCCCCGTAAATAACAGTGAAAGGTTGCTCATAGACACTCGACACTTTCTCTTACACCATGAAAATCGAACCTTCCCCTCTATGCGGTTACCCCATCAGTCCCCATTACAACCTCTGATGGCTGCCGCGCTAGCTGGATCCCTAGGAGTCTGGGTACAATACACCTCTTTTAGTACTCCTTCTCATCTTTTCACTTTGCAGCTCCGGTATTGCCTTGCACAAGGTCTCTTCTTCCTCTGTGGATTCTCTACCTACATGTGTCTATCTGCTAATTGGACAGGCACATGCACACTAGTTTTCCTAAGTCCCTAGATTCAATTTGCAAATGGGACCAAACAGCTTCCTGTTCCCCTCATGAAACCGACACGATAAAAAAGTGTTATTCCACTAATTCCCTTACTTGTCAGTTTAGGAATTTCTGCCTCCACTATTGCTCTCGGAACTGGAATAGCAGGCATTTCAACCTCTGTCACAACCTTCCTTAGCCTTTCTAATGACTTCTCTGCTAGCATCACAGACATATCACAAACTTTATCAGTCGTCCAGGCCCAGGTTGAATCTTTAGCTGTGGTTGTCCTCCAAAACTGCCAAGGCCTCGACTTACTGCTGAAAAAGGAGGACTCTGTGTATTTTTAAATGAAGAGTATTGTTTTTACCTAAATCAATCTGGCCTGGTATATGACAACATAAAAAAACTCAAGGATAGAGCCCAAAAACTCACCAACCAAGCAAATAATTATGCTGAACCTCCTTGGGCACTCTCTAATTGGATGTCCTGGGTCCTCCCAATTCTTAGTCCTTTAATACCTGTTTTTCTCCTTCTCTTATTCAGACCTTGTGTCTTCCGTTTAGTTTCTCAATTCATACAAAACCGCATCCAGACCATCACCAATCATTCTATATGGCAAATGCTCCTTATAACAACCCCACAATACCACCCTTTACCCGAAAATCTTTCTTCAGTTTAATATCTTCTACACTATGTTCCCATGCCACCCCTAATCCCACTCGAAGCAGCCCTGAGAAACAATGCCCATTCTCTCTCCATACCACCACCAAAAATTTTTGCCACCCCAACACTTCACCAGTATTTTGTTTTTTCTTATTAATATAAGAAGATAGGAATGTCAGGTCTCTGAGCCCAAGTTAAGCCATCATATCCCCTGTGACCTGCATGTATGCATCCAGATGACCTGAAGCAACTGAAGAACAACAAAAGAAGTGAAAATAGCCAGTTCCTGCCTTAACCGATGATATTCCACCATTGTGATTTGTTCCTGCCCCACCCTAACTGATCAATTAACCTTGTGACATTCCTTCTCCTGGAAAATGAATCTCAGGAGCTCCCCCACAAAGCACCTTGTGACCCCTGACCCTGCCCACAAGAGAACAACCCCCTTTAACTGTAATTTTCCACTACCCTACCCAAATCCTATAAAACTGCCCCACCACTATCTCCCTTTGCTGACTCCTTATTCGGACTCAGTCAGCCTGCACACAGGTGATTAAAAAGCTTTATTGTTCACACAAAGCCTGCTTGGTTGTCTCTTCACACACACATGTGTGACAGATTACAGCCCTACTGACACCTTAACATTAGCTCAGTGAGACTTCTGACACGGGGTACTATATTTTATTTGTGTGAAGCCAATAAGACTGTGGTGATTTAAACAGCAGCATTGGAAACTAATGCAAGGGGAAGAGATGTCTTTCACCTCACTGAGAGCATGGTTGTCCTCTGTTCTTGGAAATATTTCCACCTTGTTATCTGGTGTCAATTATGACATATTTTCTAGTATTTAAAGAAAAGATCTGCTGCCCTAAAATCCTATGTCCAGTAAAATTATTATTTAGAAATGAAGGACAAATTGAGAAGTCCTCAGTTGTAGAAAAACTAAGAGTATTTGCTGCCAGCAGATCCACTTTAAACATAGGCAAAATGAGCCCTAGGAAGATAAAACTAAAGATAAAGAGAGGATGTTAAATAATGTTAGGGACAAAAGGCTACAAAAATGAGAAGATAGATGGATATAATGCATTGCTAAATCATGTGTGATAGTTGTATCAAAGTTGTAATACTGTTTTGTTCCTAATATATGCAGATAAATTACTTTTAAAAAACAATCTATTTACAATGGGGGAGGAAACATGACATAAAAAAGGTAAAATTCTATATTTATTTTAAATGGTAATATATTGATGCCAACATACTGTGAGAAGCTATGCATATAAAGGAAATACCATGACAACCAATTTGAAAATCATTATAAAAAGAGATACCCCAAAATTAGGTAAAATTAAAATGAAATTGTGAAGATGTTCAAGTAACCCAAAAGAAGGCAGCAAAAAGAAAACAGAGAAGCAAAAAAAGATATAGCAAAAAAGTAGAGTGCAGACTTAAATTTTAATATATCAATATCAATATATTAAATATGCAAATTATGAAACTTTGAAAAAGACAACAATTGATGAATAAAAAGAAATGTCCCAACTGTATGTTATCTACAAGACACTCACATCAAATATAACAGTATAAGTAGATTGAATATAAAAGGAAGGAAAATGGTATACTATGCAAACATTAATAAAAAGAATCAGTAGCAAATACTAATATCAGATAAAGTAGACTACAGAGCCAAAGAATGTTACCAGGGGCAGAAAGGTACATTACATAATGAAGAAAGTCATTTTGGAAAGAAGACAGAGCAGTTCTAAGTGCGTAGACACCAAGCAACAGAGCGATATAGTGCATGTGGCAGAAACTAACAAAACAATTGCACACAGAGACTTCAAAAACCCCTTTTTAATCTTCGATAGGACAACTGGACAGAAAATCAGCAAGGATTTAGGACTCAACAATATCATCAACCCACGAGATCTAACTGACATTTATAGAACACTCCAACCCATAACAATAGAAGTTCACATTTTTTTCTTCCAAGTGCCCACAACATATACCAAGATAGGACATATCCTGCCCACATAACCTCTCAACATATTTGCAATAATTAAAATCACAGTGAATGTGTTCTCTGACCATGGAGGGATCAAACTAGAAATCAATATTGAAAATGTAACCCCCAAATTTTCAAATATATGGGAACTATACAATATTGTTCTTTCCAAAGAACCAGCCTTTGGCTTGCCTGGTGTTCAGTGTCACTTTTTCTGTTTGCAGTTTTATTGATTTCTGCCCTAATATTTATTATTTATTTTGCTCATGTTCTACTTCAGATATAAATTGCTCCTCTTTATGTAGTTTCATAAGGTGGAAGCTGAGATTATTGGTTTTATCCCTTTTATTTTCTGAAAAATACTCATATGCATATGTTTATCTACGTGCATACACATGCATAAATATGTGCAGATGCATATGCATACACGTGGTTTTAATACCATAAATTACCCTGTAAGTGCTGCTGAATACCTATGCGTATTTTCTTTTCTCTGAGCTCAAACTCCACTCACTTGCAAACCTGCCCACTTAATCTGCATGTTCATTGGTGTCTCAATCTAGAATTGAGCAAAAATAACAAACTCCTTTCATTTTATCTCAACTTTCTTGACCGCTAATACATTTAACATCAGTAAGTCAGAATCTATCTAATAGATTAAGGCCAAAGCTGCCAGGTCACTCCTAATCTGACTCTTCTCACACCAAGGAGTGTAAATGACATTGATTTAAAAATATGGTATCATCTGCCTATGTCTCCAACAATCTTCACTGCCCCAAAACTAGTTTATGCCAGGATCCACTTTGCCCAGATAAGCATCTCTTCTGCTTCTCACAGCCCAATTCGAGTCATTACTTTGCTAAAAAATAAATATGACCATGGGGGTACTTTGGTTAAAAAAATTCCCAGAATGTCCTGCTGTACTTACAAAGCATTTGCTCCCCAAACAGAAAATGAAGGCCTTATTAATTTCACATCAGTCACATGTGGTGATCTTTAAGACACTGAGAGAAAATGGCTCTGACCTGCCCCCTCACGAACTTTCTCTTTTTTACCTCGGTTGGTTAAGTCACTCTCCTCATAGTGCCTTTCTCTGTCCTTCACACGTTCATACTGTATTCCTTCTAAGCGCCTTGATTGTCATGAACCTCAGTGCCCTTCAGAAACTTCTCTTCAGGTCAGTTGTTCTCCTCATCCAGGTCAGTCACCTCCTCAGAAAAAGTAGCCTCTACCTCCCTAACTAACTGACTCCTTTTCCTCATTAACCACTTCCTCTTCCCTTGCCATTTTTTTCCTTTATGACCCTTAACTTTTTCTAGAATCTTTTTGTTGATTTATGTTTAATTAGACATGGCCTTTTTTTCACCAGAAAAGATATAGGTAAATGAGAGTCAGACACTGACTTTCTCAGGGGTGCAGCCTAGATACGTTCCTGGTCCAGCATAGTTGCTCAATTAACACTTTATTGAATGAATGAATAATGAAAAGTTAGTAAGAAACTCTCCAAGACATAATCAACACTCATAACCTATACACGTTGAAAACAACCCACTGAATGTAAAACATGGATTATTCTGAGTAATGAGAAGTTTGAATAGCAGTGTGCTGCTCTTCATAGTCAGCTCTTCATAGTCAGTGTGCTGCTCTTCATAGTTTGTATTTTGCTGGGGAGATAAGGAAGACATCCAAAGTCCATGATAATCAGGTAAGAGTATTCTTATCTTTTTTAAAAAACAAGCAAATAGACTTTGCAGTCACAAAAAAATTGCAATAAATGGGACTACACTATCACTTAACTCTATTGGCTCCTGTTCACAAAAACAGGTTGTATTATTAACTCTTCTTTGAAAACAAACCAGCTCCAAACAAAATGCCATAAAATGAGTATGTGCAGTCCTCCCTCAGTATCCATGGGAAATAGTTTCCAGGGCACCCTGCAGATATTCCAATTTTTGGAGACTCAAAACCTTTATGTAAAATGCACAATATTTGCATATAACCTACACATATCCTCCCGTACATTTCACACCATCTCTAGCCTCCTTATAGTACCTAGTACGATGTCTACACATGACTTAACTTGTGTAGATTCATCCAAGTGTTACTCAGCACATGGCAAAGTCAAGCTTTGCTTTTTGGAATTTTGTGGATTTTTTTTTCAAAATATTTTTGATCCAGGATTAGTTGAATCCATGGATGCAGTTCCCATGGATAGAGAGCTGACTGTACAGCTCCTTATAATTCTGAGGGTCAGCTCTGTGGTTCTTCCATTCTGGGCTGGCTGGACTGATCTCTGCTGAGTCCGCTCTTGTGTCTGCAGTTACCCTGTGGTTCATTTGCGACTGGATGGTCTGATGTGACTTCTTTAACCTATCTGGAAGCTGGTTTGATGTGCAGGTTGGACAACTTTTGGTATCGGTTTACATGGGTCAGGAAGATGGGTCCTATTCCCCAATCTGTATTAGGTTTGTTCCCAGATCAACTCTGGGGTTCAAGTCTATTCATTGTGGGTTGTTTGGGAGAAATTCTACATGAACAAAGCTGAACTGCTGTCATTTATTGCTGTTAGCAGTTATTGTTATCCTCTGAAATGCATCTTATATAACCAAGATCTCCCCAGGGTGGCCCAACAGTACAGCTCAGCTCAGCCCATCCTGTCACTTCGCTGGATGACTGCAGGTGTGAGAAAGGCAATATGCTCAGTCACAGGAAAGGCAGGGGCCCACCCTGGGGCTGAAACCTGCAGACACAGCGTTCACACAGCTTCTTTGCAAAATACGAAGACTTCATTTTCTTTATACTTAAGATAGTTATACATTTTTTTCTATAATGTCCCTATGCTATTTAACTATTTTTAATTTTCAGAACTGGTTGTATTTATTATTTCTGTGTTAGGTGCTCTTAGTCACTTATGGCAAGAGTGAGTTAATAGAGACAACATACAGAGTAGCCATGGAACAATAGAGAAGTGTGTGTATTCAGACAGGATAAAGATCAAAGGGGTGACAAATACATTCTTTTGAGAAGCAGATTCTCATAGATCACCACAAGTCAAGGTCCACATTCAAGGTGCAGTGGCGTGTCAGTCACATTGTGCAAATGGTCAGCTCTGCACATTAAACTTGGCTAGCACATTGCAGGACCAAAATTACCTGTAAAGGTATGGGGAAAATAAACCATCATGGAAATAACAATTTGAAGGAGTTCTCAATTATTTATACTTGGATATAAAGCAGAACGCTACAATGAATGAACCTACAACCTAAAACCTTTAAGCCTTTTAAAGAGGTTTCTTTTTGTCAGGGTATTTCTCAGCAAATAATGATAAAAAATTTATGGATAAACTACTTGCACAATTAGCCACAATAAATCCCTTCCCTGTACTCATCCTTTGGTTGGCCTCATTCTAAATGGATGCAGGTGTTGCCCATGTGTCTTGCTCAGGCCAATAGGATAATAGCAGATGTGACACAAGTGGAGTCTTGGAAAGGGCTTGCACATCGAAGCTTTCCTCTCTCTCACAGTGCTTGGAAACCCTAAGGTCACAATGAGAATAAGCCTGTGCCCATCTACAGTCAATGTCAGTGGCATGGCTGCTCTTCGGTCTACTATTTGTTCTTAAAATGTGTGCTAAGTTTGTTATGGCCATGTAACAAATTACCACAAATTTATCAGCTTAAGACTACACCCATTTATCATCTCTCAATTTCTGAGTCAGCAGTTGGCACATGGCTTTGTCGGGTCCTGGCCATTGGATTTCACAAGACTGTGCCACAGTGTAGATTGGGCTTCATTCTCACCTGTGAGTCCCCTGAGAACATAGATACTTTAGAGCTCTTTCAGGTAGTTGCAGAGCTCATTCCTTAGCATTTCTATGACTCAGGGCTTCAATTTCTAACTGGCTCTTGGCTCAAGGCTGCTCTTAGGTCCAAGAGGCTGTGGACAATTCCCTGCCATGTGATGCTCACACAGGCAATGCCCACATGGCTGGTTGCTTGTTCATGGTCAGCAGAAGGTTTCAGAGAGTGTCTCTTTCCAGTCTGCTATGACAGAGGCTTATAGAATACAATCATTGGAAAGACATCTCATAACCTATGACATATCATATGGATTAGAAGCAAGTCTAGGTTCCGCTTGCTCTCTGTGGAGGTAGATTATACAATTGTGTGATTCACTGGGGAGAGGGTTCTGCTAGGGTGTTCTGGCATCTTTAGTTTCCTCAAATATCAGGTACTTGTACTGAGTGTGAAATCTGTCCTGTACTTACTGGCATTGACTAGTCCTGTGACCCCTGGGAACATCTTGGGAAGCATACTTTGTAAGAGAGGTTTTAGGGTAACCTAGCTATTGGAAGCATAACATTTGCAAAATATCCTAATCTTTGTGATTTCTAACATGTCCTCAAGGTTCCTTAATTGCAATTATCATAAGCCAATTATCTCTAAATATCCGCAAAATTTATATTTAATAGTAGGAAAATGATTTATTAAGGAGTCTATTAAACAAGACTCAGGGAAATGATGTCAACACCCAATTGCTGCTGCCCACTGCTAGACTATGTGAGACAATTTTCATGAACAATAGAACAGATACTGCATGCTAGACACTTCTGTGAGCACCACTGGCCTGCTACCTCTAGAAATGTTTGCAGAACAAGGGCAATTGCTATGAGTCTCAAAATATATATTTTTTTATTATACTTTAAGTTCTAGGGTACAAGTGCACAACGTGCAGGCTTGATACATAGGGATATATGTGCCATGTTGGTTTGCTGCACCCATCAACTCATCATTTACATTAGGTATTTCTCCTAATGCTATCCCTCCCACTGCCCCCGACCCCATGACAGGCCCCAGTGTGTGATGTTCCTCACCCTGTGTCCAAATGTTCTCGTTGTTCAATTCCCACCTATGAGTGAGAACATGAGGTGTTTGGTTTCTTTTCCTTGTGATAGGTTACTGAGAATGATGGTTTCCAGCTTTATCCATGTCCCTGCAAAGGACATGAAATCATCCTTTTTATGGCTGCATAGTATTCCTTGGTGTATATGTGCCACATTTTCTTAATCCATTATATCATTGATGGACATTTGGGTTGGTTCCAAGTCTTGCTATTGTGAATAGTGGCATGATAAACATATGTGTGCATAGTACCATGATTTATAATTCTTTGGGTAGGTACCCAGTAATGGGATTGCTGGGTCAAGTGGTATTTCCAGTTCTTGATCCTTAAGGAATTGCCACACTGTCTTCCACAATGGTTGAACTAATTTACACTCCCACCACCAGTGTAAAAGCTTTCCTATTTTTCCACATCCTCGCCAGCATCTATTGTTTCCTGACTTCTTAATGATTGCTATTCTAACTGACGTGAGATGATATCTCACTGTGGTTTTGATTTGCATTTCTCTTATGACCAGTGATGATGAGCATTTTTCATGTGTCTGTTGGCTGCATAAATGTCTTCTTTTGAGACGTGTCTGTTCACATCCTTTGCCCAATTTTTGAGGGGGTTGTTTGGTTTTTTTCTTGTAAATTTGTTTGAGTTCTTTGTAGATTCTGGATATTAGCCCTTTGTCAGATAGGTAGATTGGAAAAATTTTCTCCTATTCTGTAGATTACCTGTTCACTCTGATGGTAGTTTCTTTTGTCATGCAGAAGCTCTTTAGTTTAATTAGATCCCATTTGTCTATGTTGGCTTTTGTTGCCATTGCTTTGGTGTTTTAGTCATGAAGTCCTTGCCCATGCCTACGTCCTGAATGGTATTGCCTAGGTGTTCTTCTAGGGTTTTTATGGTTTTAGATCTAACATTTAAGTCTTTAATCCATTTTGAATTAAATTTTGTATAAGGTGTAAGTAAGGGATCCAGTTTCAGCTTTCTACATATGGCTAGCCAGTTTTTCCAGCACGATTTATTAAATAGGGAATACTTCCCCATTTCTTGTTTTTGTCAGGTTTGTCAAAGATCAGATGGCTGTAGATGTGTGGTGTTAATTCTGAGGCCTCTGTTCTGTTCCACTGGTTTGAATCTCTGTTTTGGTACCAGTACCATGCTGTTTTGGTTACTGTAGCCTTGTAGTATAGTTTGAAGTCAGGTAGTGTGATACCTCCAGCTTTGTTTTTTTTTGCTTAGGATTGTCTTGGCAATGCGGGCTCTTTTTTGATTCCATATGAACTTTAAAGTAGTTTTTTCCAATTCTGTGAAGAAAGTTATTGGTAGCTTGATGGGGATGGCATTGAATCTATAAATTACCTTGGGCAGTATGGCCATTTTCACTATATTGATTCTTCCTATCCATGAGCACGGAATGTTCTTCTATGTGTTTTGTGTCCTCTTTTACTTCGTTGAGCAGTGGCTTGTAGTTCTCCTTGAAGAGGTCCTTCACCTCCCTTGTAAGTTGGATTCCTAGGTATTTTATTCACTTTGACTTAATCTGTGAAGTGTATTTAAATTCTCATTCTAGAGAAGAAAAATCCAAAGTACTTGGAAAAGAGAAATCTTGCCATGAGATACACAGTTCTTCAGTTTCAAAGCAGAGATTATCTCTCAGATATTCTGGCTCATACAATTTTCAGTACACTGCAAGACAGAAGATGTGAAGACAACACTACCCAATTGGCCTTACACTTGCTTTGCTCACTGTTAACTAAGTTCACTGTAAAAAAAAAAAAAAAGATTACAATAAAACACATTGTCAATGAACTGTCACAAATAAATACATCTTTAGAACCACATCCAAAATCCAGACATAGAACATTTCTATAGCTCCAAAACATTTTGACCCACTCTTTTGGAATCAACTTGCTTTCTGCCTCACAGATCAGGGAATTTTGATCTGCTTCCTGTCAGTACAGATTTCATTTTCCTTGTAAGAGTTTCACATAAATGAAACATAGGATGCGCTCTTTTGTGTCTGGTGACTTTTGTGCAGCATGACTCTTTCTCAGATTCATTCAGATGTCCTGTGTTCTAATTATGTGCTCCTCTTTATTTTTGAGTATTATTTAACTGTTCAGTAATTTTATGATGGATCCCTTCATCTATTGATTGCCGTGTGGGTTGTTTCCATTTTGGGCTATTATGGATAAAGTTGCTGTGAATGTTCTTGAACAAGACTTTGCATGAACATATGTCTTCATTTCTTTTGGGCTAATACCAAGGCGTGTAGTTGCTGTGTTTATCAGTAAGTGTTTAATACTCTGTCCGACTTTACCGAAAGTGGCTATAATATTTTATATGTCCACCAATAACTTATTATAGCTCCACACCCTCCAAAATATTTCAATTTTTTTTTTAAGATTTCACCTAATTGTCACTCAACAGTAACCAGAATAGCTAGTGATTATTAAGCTATGTTTTTCTTCCCATTTTCTTGTCAATTTGGGGAATTGATGTGTTACAGGACATTGAGAACAGAATCAATACTGTCCTAGTTCCCTATCAAACACTTTTATCAAGCCATAATATTTAGGATGGTAACATGATATATAAAGGGAGTGTTGGAGTAGTAATAAGTATTTTCAATACTTATTATATTCCATAAAGCAATATATCTTCAATGAAATGGCATTTAACTAGACTTAGCATAGTAAGGTTCTCATCTCAACCCTAGTATTCAGTATTAGCAAAAGTTTGAGGAAAAAAAATATCCAGCAACATAAGCCAGAGAGTGTTTTGCTAGTCAAGTAGCACTGCAATACTGATGCTCTTCTAATGCCAGCCCTTCACAATAATTTCCACTCAGAACATTTGGTTGCCTCCTTGCCTTGTTCTCCTTATGGGACTTCATGCTGAGGGCATGTGGCATCACAGAGGGAGCAGTGCACTTGGGTGCAGAAATATAGCTTAGTAGATTGTCTGGCCTTAGAGGTGGCTGCAATGGAATACACATTTTCAAGGAAGTTCCCTGTTAAACCTCCTGGTAAACTGATAGTTAAGACCAGGTGCGGGGACTTATCCCCGTTATCCTAGATGTTTGCAAGATCAAGTAGGGAGGGTAGCAGAAATCTAGGAGTTCAAGACCAGCTTGGAAAACACAGGGAGACTCCCTCATCTCTAGAAAAAAAACACTGTTTGTTAAGATGTGGTGTGAACAATGGCATCTCTAAGTGATTATTTATTAACATTTGCTGAGAAAATTAGAAAATAGAACGATGCCTTCTGATCCAATAATATCATAATAAAGATGTGAAGTTTTTAAACTATGGTAAGTATAGAGAACATAAAATTGCCCATCTTAGCCATTTTCAAGTGTACAGGACAATGGCATTAAGTATAGTCACATTGTTGGGCTAGCATCAATAATATCCATCTCCAGAACTCTTTCCATCTTCTAGAACTGAAACTCCATAGCCATTAAATGACAACCCCCTCCCCGTTTCCCCTGCTCCCAGTCCCTGGCAACCTGTAATCAAGTTCTGTCTCTATGACAGTGACTGCTGTGAAGCAGGTTTGCTGTGCCCTGGTTACCAACCTGTCAGAGTCCAGGGAGACAGAACAATCATACACAACAAGTTACAAGAATCTAGTTTAGTATTTACAGGTGACCAGCAAGGCACGGCAGAAGCTGAGGATTTATTGTGGGTCTTTACCCTGAGGCACAGGTAAGTGGGGCTGATGGAATCTTGACTGTGTGTACCCCTCTTGGACCAGAGCTAAGGAACCCCAGAAAGAAGATGCTCTGGGTTTTAAACCCTGGTGTCACAGGACACATGGAGCTAAAGTACTGGAGGACTTAAGTACAGGAGGACAGTACTAGAGGGAGCTGGATCAGAAGCCAGTCTGTTCTGACCTGTCCCTCGCTATTTCAGAATGTTACATTTCCAGCACATTCTACAATTATTATTGAGAAGTGTAAGAAAGAGAGTGGGGAAAATCAAGTGAGTCCAGGACCATCAGAGGACTGGAGTGAAGTCGTCCCCCAACACAGACATCCTCCGTAGAAAGCTATTCCATTTTATACGCCTACCAACCACCGTGAACTGGAGGCACAGGTGTGTCTTGTCAGACGGATGAAGCACCTTGACTGACACAATCTCAAAGCAACATCATTGAGACAGAGCCAGAAAAGATTTCACTGGGCCAATGAAAACTACTACCAGAGGCAGAATGATCAGGCCCACCTGAAGCAGTTATGTAGCCCAGGATCCCATGATCCACAGAAGAAGTTGCTAAAGGGGTGAAAGAAGAATCCTTCAGGTGGGATTTTCTGAATCTGCAGAATCCATTTTCTGCAATTATGAGCTTGTTTCCAGATCTCCTCTACTTGAATTTCTAGGATACCTGAGGTGTTTATCCAGGTATAGCAGGGGGTATTGGAAATTGTATACATTCCTCCCAGTTGGGATTTTTTAAAGGTCTAGAGCAACACTGTTATCTTAAACATCCATCCCGATGGAGTTAAGGGATGTCTGCTGGGTTACCAAGGCAGTGGCTATGGAGGAGGAGCAATATCTGCCATGGTCAGGGACAAGTTCCTTATCATTTCACTTTTTTTCATGAGCACTGACTCCTATACATAGTACCAAAAATATCATAAAAGACATAAACCTATCATCTGTTGTACCTTCTGGTAGGTCCCTAGTAAGTCTGAGGTACAGCTTTGGGCTTCAGGCTCTATGATTTACCTAATTCCAAGGAGCAATATCCAGAGACAACCCCAGCATGCCCAACATGCAGGATCTCACTATTCCACAGATATCCAGAGATGGCATCACATATCCTGCATTTTGGTCACTCCCAAACCGCTTACAGAGAAAGATGTAGCCCTTGGGTGCATACAGCCCCCCTTTTCCCATTTTTCTTCAATCACTCTGTCATGGTTATGCTGGTATTGGTGCGTTCATTAGCCAAGTCTCACTGATAGTAGAGTTGCATGAGCAAAGTTTTGCTCATACAATATTGTCTGTAGACAGAGGGCTAGCATTAGTCCAGTCCTTGTTTTTATCATTGCCATTGGGATGTTTCTCATCTATGCAATCAAAAAAGTATGGTGCATCAAAATATTAGTCCACCAATGTTTTTTTTAATTGTGGTCATGACATTCGCCAGAGGCAATTAAGTTAAACAGGGGTCCTCCAGTTTCCTCCCATGTGGCAGGTGTCAGATTCTCACTTTGTGGGCCAGTGCTTGGGTCCTTTTGATGTACACCTTAGTATTAGGAATGTTGGTGTAATTTACCCTTGGTAGAATGAAAGGGAACCTCTAGTTAATGACAGAATGAGGTCAAGAATGGGAGATTCACTATTTTGAAAGATCACCCTGGTGACCTAAAAGAAGCTAACAAAGACATTGTGCTTCTAGGCCTTTGCTGCCTCATTCTTGTCAAAATGCAGCCTCACAGGTTAATGCATCGTCTCTCACCCATCCCAGGGTCTCAGGTGTCCCCTACCCATCTACAAGGGTTGGGCCGTGTTGGTGTAGGAATGCGGTCTGGCTGTCCTTGCTCTGTGAACAATCCATTGCCTTTGTCACTTGATCCAGATATTTCAGTCCTGATTGTCCACTCCAGGAAGGGAGATTCTGCCCTGTAAAAACTGGACATATTTCATAATATCACCAACACTAAAGGGAGGATAAGATGTCCCTGGCACCAGAAGAGGGCCCCTAGCTCCGTGATATTTCTTAGTCTTGTTATCCATCACTGTGGGATCTTGTAGAAAGGAAGCACCCAGAGGAAACATAATCCTCCTATTAGAGTTAGGGGGCCTGTCTGGGGCATTGTAATGGCCTAGATTGCAAACCACCCCAGAGCATGTATTCTAAAGGAAAAAAAGAAAAGGAATGGTTAGGAACACTGAAATAGCTTTCACAGGTCCAGACTAATATAAGTGTCTGCCTGGCCTACCTTTACTTCCACCCAGCTCTGTGTTTCTCAACATGCACTATTTCCCTTTTTGTGGCCCAGGATCTTTAATGTACATATTTCTCTAGTCAGATGGGATACCACCCCATTAACAGACTTTGTAGATGTCCTTTCTGCATATTGCTGTGTGATTCCACTGATCTAGCATTCACTAGGATCATTGGCCTGTGGATGCAGGGTGCATGGAAAGTTCATCGTGTTCCATGAGAGTGTGCCTATTGTCACGTTGCTTGGGCAGTGAAAGATGCTCCTTTGTGAGTGAGAAGTCTCATGGAGTATCCAAAAATATGACATAAATTGCACTCAAGGGTTACCTAGGTAGTCCCAGCATCAAATTCAGCATCATATTTCTTTTTCCTGCAGGTGGAAAGCTGTGGCCATAGTCCTTTCCTTCACACTGGGGATTCTTTAATAGTCCAGTCTCTCAGTTGCCATTTTCCTGAACAGATGGCAAGGCTGTTGACAATGGCCGAGGATTTAGTGGATATGTGGCATGGTGCGTTGTTGGGACAGCCTGCATGGCCATTACCACTGAATGTAGTTTTGCCCACTGGGTAGAAAGCCCATGTTAAGTTTCAGTTAAAAAAGTGGCCATCCACTGGCTGAATGGTGGCCACACCTAGTGGATCTGTCAGTTAGCATTTTGCTCAGCCTTCAGTGACTCCTGCCATATGGAAATCTCTGAATCTTGGGCTCCACATGGGCAAATAAAGAGCCAAATTATCACCTACAAGTTATTTGGTCCCTTCTAGCAAGCTCCCCATTTGTTCATGGAGCCACAGATCCTGTGGGGTCCTGACTAAACCTGATCAAGAATGTGCCATTTCCATTTGATAACATGGCTCTGTTCAGATTGTTCAGTTTTACTAATGGTGTTTGTAAGTATCTAAGTGAGAATGGACAGCTAAGGGACCAGTGTCACAGTCACACATGGTGCTGAAGCCTTAACATGTTCAGTCTCCATCAGTGCCTAATAGCAAGCAAGGAGTTGCCATTCAATATAAACACATTCAGTGGCTGATTCAGGCAACTTATGTGTCCTAAGATTGAGAGGCTGGTGCACTCATTGATAGTTTTCTGTTGCTATACGCTCCACTGAGTATGCATAGAGGTTGTGGATACCTGGACTTCCATCTGGTTAGCAGGCTGTAAAAATCTTAGAGAAGTGACTGGGCCAGGCCTTGTTGAACAGATTCCAAGGCTACTGTTGCAAAACGCCTTTTTCAAAGTTGGCAACTTTGTTCATGATTTTGACTAAGGGAACCAAAAGAACACCCAGGTGAGGTTTATGCCGTCTCCCATTCGCAAAGGGGCCTACCTGCCACTGAGTCTCCTTTTATTCAGTGGGTGCCACAGCGACCAATGTTTCCAGCTGTTCAGTTGGCATAATAATTAACTATGAGTACACAGCTCACTTTCACTATACATATATTCCTTGATGGAAGTTACAGCATCATACATGATTAGCGTGTCAGAACCTTCACCACATCTGATAGGGTATCAATTCAATTACCTAGGGTTTGTGTGTCAGTTTTGCTTGACTAAGAATATGTTTTCTCCTTTCTATAGAGACGGCTGCACCTGTGCAGGTGATAAGATCATGAACTGCACCCTTTGCCTTACTTTTTTGTTGTAAATAATTTGCCCGATTCAATGCCATATTATGGAAGAATTTCTTAACTGTGATGAAAGCACTTGGAAAATCCTCAAATAATATTTCATGCAGAAATATAACTGAAAGAAAGACAAATGCATATACAGGAAAACAACTGCTGCTCTTCTCATGTTGGATGAGGCCTGCTAAAAACACCTGACACCAGCTGTTAGTCTGATCCTTGATGTCTGGTACAATCTTGGGTTATTCTCCTTGGAAAAGTGGATGCTCAGAAGTGCCAGTATCCCCATGAGTCCCAGTTAACTGAAATTCATATTGTTAAGCCCATGCATGGATAGTCATGACATCAGTTCATGAGATTCCCTGGGAAAGCTGGGAAAGGTAACTGATGAAGTCCATGTTTTGAATTATTTTAATTATTTTGAGCTCCTGCTTCTAATGGCCTTTAGATAAATATTCACTTGGAAAGGATTTATTTTTTCTACTGGTCCTTTTTTGGAAGGTCCAGTCATATCTCCTCCAGAGTGACTTTGTGTCCAATCCTTCAGATGTGTTTCTTCTAAGGCCTGATGATCTGTCAAAACCACTAGTCAAGATAGTGATATTGTTGGTAATATCCAGAGCGGGGAGAGGACAATAGTACTCCCAATATTGCGGGAGGTGTACACCCCTCTTTGTGTTATTGTTCTTAATATCCAGGGGGAAAACAGGATGACGTTACTACCAATATCGTGGGGGGTTTACACCCTCCCTTGTGAGATTCTTCATAATATCCGGCAGGGGGGTGGATAGGACTATATTATTCCCAATATCGTGGGGGGTGTACACCCCTCTTGTGATATTATTCATAATATCCTGGGGGGAGACGACAATATTACTCCCAATATCGTGGGGGGTGTACACCCCTTATTTTGATATTGTTCGTAATATCCAGGGTTGGAGAGGACGCCATTACCCCCAGTATTGCGGGGAGTGTACAACCCCCTTGTGATATTGTTCGTAATATCCAGGGAGAGAGGAAGATATTACTCCCAATATCGTGGGGAGTGTACACCCCCAACTTGTGATATTGTTCATAATATCCAGGAGGGGAGAGGACGATATTACTCCCAATATCGCCCGGGCTGTACACGCCCCCTTGTGATATTGTTCGTAATATCCGTGGGGGAAGGGAAGATGGTATTACTTCCAAAATCGTAAACACATTGTGTGTACACCCCCCTGTGATATTGTTCGTAATATTCGGGGTGGGGGGGAGAGGATGACGTTACTTTAAATATCGTAAACACGTTGTGTGTACACCCCCCCACCCCACGATATTGTTCATAATATCCAGGGAGAGAGAGGAGATGATATTACTTTCGATATCGTAAACACGTTGTGTGTACACCCCCCTGTGATATTGTTCGTAATATCCGGGAGAGGAGAGTATGATATTACTCCCAGTATCACGGAGGGTGTACACCCCCCGTGATATTGTTCATAATGTCCAGTGGGGGAGAGGAGATGTATTACTTTCAATATCGTAAGCAACTTGTGTGTACACCCTCCTTTGGTATTGTCCATAATATCCAGGGTGGGAGAGGATGATATTACTGGCAATATCTCGGTGGCTTTACACACCCCTGTAATATTGTTCGTTAAGGAGTTAAGAGGATGATATTACTCCCAGTATCGCGGGGGAGTGCACGCCTCTGTGATATTGTTCATAACATCTTGGGAGAGACAGGAGGAAATTACTCCCAACATCGCGGGGCATGCACAGCCCCCTGTGATACTGTTCGCAATATCCAGCGGGGAATAGGATGACATTACTCCCAATATTGCCGGGGATGTTCACCCCACTGTAATATTTTTCTTAATATTCAGGGGGGAAGGATGATATTAATCATAACACTGCGGGGGGTGTACACCCTTCTGTGATATTGTTCATTGTATCCAGGGATGGTTGGAGATGATATTACTTTCAATATCGTAAACACCTTGTGTGTACACCCCCCTGTGATATTGTTCCTAATATCCAGTGGGGGAAAGGATAATATTACTCCCAACATCTCGGGAAGTGTACACGTCCCTGTGATATTTTTCATAATATCCAGGGGGGCAGAGGATGATATTACTCCCAATTTTGCGGGGGGTGTACAACCCACTGTGATATTGTCGTAATATGAAGTGGGAGAGAGGATGATGTTACTCCCAATATCGCCGGGAGTGTACACCCCCCTGTGATATTGTTTGTAATATCCAGGGGGGGATTGGAGGTGATGTTAGTTTCAATATCGTTGACACCTTGTGTGTACACCCGCCTGTGATATTGTTCGTAATATTCAGAGGGGGAGAGGATGATAATACTCCCAATATTGCGGGGAGTGTACACCACCATGTGATATTGTTCATAATATCCAGAGAGGGGAGAGGATGATATTATGCCCAATATCGTGGGGGGTGTGCCCCCCCTGTGATATTCTTGGTAATAATCGGGGGGAGATGACATTACTTCCAATATTGTGGGGAATGTACACCCCCTTTTGATATTGTTTGTAACATTTGGAGGGGAGAGGATGATATTACTCCCAATATAGTGGGGGGTGTAAAATCCCCCTGTGATATTGTTTTTAATATCCGGGGGGATTTGAGATGATATTACTTTAAACATCGTAAACACCTTTTGTGTACACCCCCCTGTAATATCGTTCATAATATCCAGGTGGGGAGAGGATGATATTACGCCCAATACCACGGGGTTGTACATACCCCTGTGACATTGTTCCTAATATCCAGGGGAGGAGGGGTTGATATTATTCCCAATATCTCAGGGAGTGTACACCTCCCTGTGATATTGTTCATAATATCCAGGGGTGATTGGAGATGATATTACTTTCAATATCATAAACTTTTTGTGTATACACGCCCCTGTCCTATTGTTTGTAATATCCAGGAGGGGAGAGTATGATATTACTCCCAATATTGTGGGGGGTGTACACCCTCTTGTGACATTTTTTGTAATATCTGGGAGGGAGAGGATGATCTTACTCCTAGTATTGCAGGTGGCGTACTCCCTGCCATGATATTGTTTGTAATACACAGGGCTGCCAGGATGATATTACTCCCAATATCTTGGCATTGTACCCTGGCCCAGCATGATGTTGTTGTTCGTAATACCCAGGCAGGGAGAGGATGATATAACTCCTAATATCACATGCAGTGTACCCCCTCTGTAATATTGTTTGTAATACCCTGTGGTGGAGAAGATAATATTATTCTCCATATCAGGGGTGATTTACTCCTCTTTTGTGATATTGTTCCTAGTACCCTGTGGTGGAGAGGATGAAATTGCTCCCAATATCACCACCGATGTGACATTGTTCATAATACTCAGGGCAAGTCTTTCCTGTGTTTGTCCCATGATAGGGAATAAGTCTCTTGAGATCTGATGGTTTTATGAAGAGGAGTTCTGCACAAGCTCTCTCTCTTTGCCTTTTGCCATCCACGTAAGTTGTGTCTTGCTACTTTTTGCCTTCTGCCATGGCCGTGAGGCCTCCCCAGCCATATGGAAGTGTAACTTAATTAAACCTCTTTTTTTTGGTAAATTGCCCAGTCTCGGATATGTCTTTATTAGAAGCATGAAAATGGGCAAATACAGTCAATTGGCACCAGGAGAGTGGGCCGCTATTGAAAAGATACCCAAAAATGTGGAAATGACTTTGGAGCTGGGTAACAGGCAGAGGTTGGAACAGTTTGGAGGGCTCAGAAGAAGACAGGAAAATGTGGGAAAGTTTGAAACTCCCTAAAGAGTTGTTAAATGGCTTTGACCAAAATGCTGATAATGATATGGACAATGAAATCCAGGCTGAGGTGGTCTCAGATGAAGATGAGGAACTTGTTGGGAGCTGGAGCAAAGGTTATTCTTGTTATGTTTTAGCAAAGAGATTGGTGACATTTTGCTCCTGCCCTACAGATTGGTGGAACTTTGAATTTGAGAGAGATGATTTAGGGTATCTGGTGGGAGAAAGTTCTAAGCAGCAAAGCATTCAAGAAATGACTCAGGTGCTTTTAAAGGCATTCAGTTACATAAGATAAGCAGAGCATAAATGTCCAGACAATTTGCAGCCTGCCAATGTGATAGAAAAGGAAATCCCATTTCTGAGGAGAAATTCAGGCCAGCAGCAGAAATTTAAAAAAGTAATGAGGAGCCCAATGTTGTTAATCCTCAAGACAATGGGGAAAATGTCTCCAGGGCATGTCAGAGGTCTTCATGGCTGCCCCTCCCATCACAGGCCCAGAGGCCTGGGAGGAAAAAGTGGTTTTGTGATCCAGGCCCAGGGCCTTCATGCTGTGTGCAGACTAAGGACTTGTTGGCCTGTGTCCCAGCTCTTCCAGCCATGGCCAAAAGGGGCCAATGTAGAGCTCAGGCTGTGGCTTCAGAGGCCCCAAGCCTTGGCAGCTTCCACGTGGTATTGAGCCTGCAGGTGCACAGAAGTCAAGAATTGGGGTTGGGAAACCTTCGCCTAGATTTCAGAGGATGTATGGAAACACCTGGATGCCCAGGCAAGAAGTTTGCTGCAGGGGTGGGGTGCCATGGAGCACTGCTAGGGCAGTGCCGAAGGGAAATGTGGGGTTGGAGCCACCACACTGAGCCCCTACTGGGGCACTGCTTAGTGGAGCTGTGAGAAGAGGGGCACTGTCCTCCAGATCCCAGAATGGTAGATCCACTGACAACTTACACCGTTCACCTGGAAAAGCCACAGATGCTCAACGCCAGCCCTTGCAAGCAGCCAGGAGGGAGGCTGTACTCTGCAAACCTACAGGGACAGAGTTAGTCAAGTCCACAGAAACTCACTTCTTGAATCAGTGCGACCTGGATATGAGACATGGAGTCAAAGGAGACCATTTTGGAACTTTAGGTTTAACTGCCCTCCTGGATTTCAGACTTGTCTGGGGTCTGTAGTCCCTTTGTTTTGGCCAATTTCTCCCATTTGGAACAGCTGTATTAACCCAATGCCTGTACCCACAATTGGGCCTAGGAAGTAACTATCATTCTTTTGGTCTTACAGGCTCATAGGTTGAAGGGTCTTACCTTGTCTCAGATAAGACTTTGGACTGTGAACTTTTGAGTTAATGTTGAGATGAGTTGAGACTATGGGGGACTGCTGGAAAGGCATGATTGGTTTTGAAATGTGAGGACATGATATTTGTGAGGGGCCAGGGGCAGAGTGATATGGTTTGGCTGTGTCCCCAACCAAATCCCATCTTGAATTCTCACAGGTTGTGGGAGGTACCCGGTGGTTGGTAATTGAATCAGGAGGGCAGGTCTTCTCTATGCTGTTCTTATGATAGTGAGTAAGTCTCATGAGATCTGATGGTTTTATAAAGAGGAGTTCCCCTGCACAAGCTCTCTCTCTTTGCCTGCCACCATCCACGTTAAGATGTGACTTGCTCCTCCTTCTGCCATGGTTGAGAGGCCCCCCCAGCTTATGGAATCGTAAGTCCATTAAACCTCTTTTTTTGTAAATTTCCCAGTCTCAGGTATGTCTGTTTCAGCAGGGTGAAAACAGACTAATACAGGATTCAGACAGATTTAGAATTTTAATGGCTTCTTGATGGATTTACCAATTTATAATTATAAAATGTCCATTTTATCTCTTGCGTTAAAGTCATGACCTAGTTTCTGTTGCTCAGTTTTACATGATATGTACTTTTCATCCTTTCATTTTCAAAGCCATTCTATATTCTTACTATAGTGTGTATTTAATGATTAACATACATCTTTGATTTTAATCCTGTCTGATAATTTTATGATTTACTTGGAAAAATTTGTTTATTTACGATGCAATTATTGTAAAGTTAGGGTTAAACCTACCGTCTTGTTTCCTCTGATTTTCTTGATTCATGCTTTCATTTGAATTAGTTTAATTATAGATTTTTTCTTATATTAACTTGCTAAATATGCAAGATTATTATACAGAAGATATCCTCAACTTATTAATGCCTAATACACATATAGTGTATTAAAATTTCTCTCTCAAATTATTTCTAGGTAAGTGACACAAGCAGAATCAACCTTCGGAAGATCATCTATTTCCTGCTGGGTTGACCTGGAATGTGTGATATGACCTAAGGTAACCTTTGAGTCACCACACAGACCTAGAGCTCTGTGTGATGCAGCACTTCCTCAGGAGCTTGCAGTGGCATCAGGGCCCAGCCTTGAATGCCAGGCAGGGGTCTCTCGACTCTGTGATTCTTCCCAGGAAATACATAAGAACTTGCATCTGGGTTCATATCTCAAACGCAACCCACCAGTCTCTCACGTACTGACCTCTGCTCCAAGTCTTCAGATGGTTATTTTTCATGGGGTAAAAATATGGCTTACATATTATCTTGTAATTCTGTTTAAGATGGCATACTTATGTTCCTTTATTCTTTCAAACTTGGTCCTTATTGTTGAAACCCAGCTTTGGAGTTCAGAAAACTACTTTTTACTTCAACATGCTGTGGTTGAGACTGTGGAAAGACTTTTGGCACTAGGTCTTTATTTTTGCATACATTTGCAGCAACATATCTAGTAACTTAAAAATCTAGACCGTGAAGAGTTATATTTTGGTACTCCCTGAAAAAAGTAGGAAAAAATACAGTGCCTGCTGGTGTCCTGGTCAGGGGTCTGCCTTCGGAAAAGTGGTGGGGGGAGGTGGAGGAGGGGAGGGAAACTGTTTTAATATTACCAAACCTTATCAACATACATATACTCTAGTAACTGCTAAACCAAATCAAAAGAATGTATTAGTTTTGCGTTGCCAGTAATCAGTCTCAATTAGGTGCCTGTTACGCAGAACGAATTTACTTGATGAATGAATGTAGGGAAGGAAGAGAGGCTTAGAATGAGCTTTCATTGAGCTTTCTCTTCTCTCGTGTCTCATTGCTCAAAGGGGAGGTGTACCTCCTCCTTTTTGCAGACTCTGTCATGCAAAGGCCGCTGCAGCTGATGGGAACTTAAAATGTGGTGCCTGAGGTGTAGCTGAGAAATTTATGGTCATGAGCCCTCAGCTGTACCAAGTCCTCTGAGTTCTCCAACATCTTGGTCTTTAGGCATCTAAGAGAATCCACAGTGCCTGCTCTCCACAGAAACAACACATCTGGGCAGCTAGGCCACAGCAAGCAGGGAGGTTTGTGTTCAGGACTGTACCATTGTGGGAGAATAATGTGTACTTTGCTGGCAGCAATAAACCCCAACATCCTCAGCATCCATCCTCCTTATTTTAAACATGAAATCTGTCCCCGACCCACTGCCACTGAACCTGTCTGGGACTCCAGGGTCCCTGTTGGAAACCAAATCAATCAGGAGCCGTGGAGGCTGGCCTGGCTTCTGTAGGTCCCAATTCAAATAGGTGTATCCATTACTGTGAAAGGGGCTATGACTGGATCTACAGGAGATAGAGGCTGGCTTTCCAGGGGTGACGGGCAGGGAGAGTAGAGGCTGGGTCACACAGCATCTCCATTGGATCCTGAAATAATAAGAGAGAAGTGCAAGGTTATGTACAAACATTGTGAGCCATTTTAATAATTTTCTGTCTGTTATTTATGTTTTGCTCAATTATTTTTTGTGTATGATTTTGGTTAATACTCCCAAAACATACAGGTTTAAAAAGAACCAAGATTTGCAAAGCACAAATAAGCCTCTAGAAGTCACCTATCCCATCCCCCTCTTTCTGTGTCACAGCTTTCACTAAAGTACATGTCCTTGCTCCTTCTGGAATCTTCCTCACTCTCACAGATCTAGACATCACATGCCCCATCCTGGAGGACAAGACACATCTAACACGAGGACAGAACACACATGGGAGGTGGCAGGGCCCACAGAGTTCACCCTCCCACCCCATCATCCTCCCTCATTTCCCTTCTGCTCTCAGCAGGGACCCAGTGCATTAGCAGCCCTGGGAGCTGAGCAGGGAGCCTCACTGTGGGAAGGTGAACTGAGGAGTCCTGATCAGTCAAGGCAAGGTTAGAGCTGAGCTTTTATCTCAGACTCACAAGGGAAGGTCTTCCCTAGGGGACAGTATGCAAATCCCCTGGTGGGTGCAGTGGGGTGGAAAGAGCCAAGGAGAAGGTGGGGACCTCTCTTGTGAGCAAAATGACATAAATATATTTTATGTTTTTAAGGATATCAAGAGAGGTAAAATCTGTTTCCTGAGTGGCAGAAGGGACATATTTAGATGTTTCCTGCTATTTCCTCTACCCAATTTCTAGTTCGTTAGGACTTTCTCAGGCATGTTTTACACTTCTCTTTAATAAGGTTGAGCTTTCATAAATATTTGGTGATTCTTATTTCTTGGTTCAGGCTTATTTAAAAGAGCCTAGGTTTGTTTTATTTTATTTTATTTAAGGAAAAACACACAGTGCAAAAGGTTCAAATCTTAAGGGTGCAAATGAATGTCAAAATCCAGATCATTTCATGTCATGATCCACATCAAAATATGGAAGGTTTCCAATTCTCTTGCTGCTTTCATTATGCACCTTCCCAGTCAGCAACTGCTGCTCAAAACACAATCAATGTAACTGATACTGTGACATCTATTATAATTGTTTTTTTTTCCTGTACTTAATCTTCATATCAGGTAAACATTTTTTGTAGCTTCTTTCTTATTTCTTTCATTTTTTGAGGGCTTGATTCCTTCTTATCAATTTGAATTGCTGTCTGCTCTCATTCCCTGTTATTCTGAAGGATTTTCTCTTGAATTTTCCACAAGGCACATATGCTATAATGAATTAGTCTTTGTGTATGAAGGAACATTTCTACCTTGCTTTTATGTTTAAATGATTGTTTTGCTGGATATAGCATTTGTGGCTGACTTTTCTCCCCCAGCATTTAAATATATCATTCCACTCTCATCCCACCTCTATTAGTAATGATGAAAATTTAGCCAATACCTTTATTATTGCTTCCTAGTATAGAGTAAGTCAGTATTTTAGTGATGCCTTCCAAATTCTCTGTGTCTTTGTCTTTCAACATTGGTACTATAATGTGTATTGTTATGAACTGTATTGTGCTTATCCTAGAAGGGTTTCACTGAGTTACTTTCATGTACAGACTAATGTGTTTCATCATTGTGAAAAATGTTTTTCATTATTTCTCCATTTTTTTCTTTTTCAGTTTTTATTTTAGAATCAAACCATACATGTACAGATATGTTACAAAGTTATTTTGCATGATGCTGAGGTTTGGGGTATGACAGAAATTATTAACCAGTTAGTGAACATTGTACCCATAGGTAGTTTTTCAGCCCCTGCCCTTTCTCCCTTTGTGTTCCTTCTAGCACAATGTCTATTGTGCCCATCAACCAGGGATTCAATAAAGAAACTGTGGTATATATGCACCATGGAATACTATGCAGCCATAAATAAGAACAAAATCTTGCCCTTGCAGAAACTTGGATGCAGCTGGAGGCCATTTTCCTAAGTGAACAGATGCAGAAACAAAAAACCAAAAACCACATGTTCTCACTTATAAGTGGGAGCTAAACATGGGGTATTCATGGGCATAAAGATGGGAACACATTTTTAGCCTCTTTCTGTCTTCTCCTTTGTGATTCCTAATACAAATTTGTTGGTATTATACACATGGACCTATAATGTCTGAGGTTTTATTCATTCTTCTTTATAATTTTTTCCTTCTTTATATGAGACCATTTCTATTGACTTGTTTTTCAGTTCACTGATTCTTGTGTCATCTTAAATTGCTATTGAGTCTATCTAATACATTTTTCAATTGAGTTGTTGTACTTTTCATTTCTAGATTTCCCAGTATGCTTGTTTTCATAGTTTTGTCTCTGTTTGAGAGCCTCTATTGGTTGAATCATTGTCTTTACAAATTCCTTTTTCAGTCTTTTATTATAGGTTAAAATAATTCTTTGAACATATATTTGATAAGGGTGGAGCACATAGACACCATGGAGATGGACCATAAGGCAGGGAGCTCCGAATTAGATTAGGTGAATTTTGAGTCTCTGACTATATGATGCTCTTGTGGGTTTTAATTATTTCCCATGTTTTATGTTTCTCATATTACAAATAGCTTTTATTTTTAAGATAGTAACTATTATAGAAATTCAGCTTATAAATCCCTGGAAATTTCTAACAGAAAGATTGATGAAAAGAGGGTTTTTTTAGGCCCCCACACCAGCCTCTGCCTGGGACCTGACTTTGTCTCTGAGCCAGTGGAATCTGTGATGAGGTTTTGAGTTGGGCAGTGAAATCACCACAGGGCAGGCTGTGCTCTGGGTGCTTTGGATGACAGGAGGACACTCCTTCAGGGTCAGTGATGCTGGGAGTTCAAAGGGAGACTCAGCATGGAGCTGCCTGTGAGTTATCCCAGCAATCCTGTTTGGACAGTGATCATCTCACAAGTGTGCTCGGAAGCCACTGGATGGCCAAAATGTGGGCTCAGGTTGGAGAAGGACAAAGCTATAGGGATGAAAATATAAGACTCATTTGATACTCTGAAATATCAGTACAACCATCATGAATTATATGGGAAGAGAAAGGAGTCACAAGATTGTGATTTTTTATTTGATATTAAAATATGTCACCTCTGCTCATTTTTCCCTCAAGGATGTACCTACTGATATACATTTAACCAAAGTCACTGTTTTTAATTTTCATTTTAGTAACTGACAGCCTATGTGCAGAGTTCCTAAATAACGAAGCCAGACCATCATTGCTATGGGTGAAGCCAGGAAGTGACTGTGGATGTGAACAAATGTGAGATTCATGTACACGTCTCCAAAGACAGAGGCCACTGATCTGGGGAGAACCTGCAGTCATTTCACTTTCCCATACCCAGATGAGAGGACACCTTGATCTGTGTTCATCTGATGAACTCTAAAATCTGGACCATATTCTGAAGGTGTAGTTCACACTTCTTTTCTGTGCTAGTGGGACTCTCTCACTGACGTGTATTGTACCCTCTGCATAGGACAGTCTGTGATACATACTACTTGTTTTCTGCTAAACACCCATCAATCATGTCATTTATGAGTCTTCCATAGGTGTTACCTAACCTATGGCTATGGGGTCTTCCAAAAGAATGGGCCGGAGGTGGAGCTGTGAAACTGTAGCTGGATAAAAAGTGTAAATGTCAAGAAAGGGTATTGAAGTGGTGATAATAATAATAATAATCCAAATTAGTCTGGGCTCTTGGCTGTGATTACTGGTAAATGTGAAAGAGTCTAGGTTTGGTTTTTATTAGTTTTATTTCAACTGATAAAGTAGCCAGAGTAAAGTGCATAAATCTTGAATGTTCAACTGAATACAGTTTTTGTGTAATTCATTGTCCAAATGGAATGATAGAATATTTCACATTCCCTTGTGCTTCCCTCATGGACAATCTTTGTCAGTTATCACCCCTCCCACCCAGCAAAATTAACTGTCTTTCTGACATCTATACAATCATTTAGGTTTTCCTGTCTTAAACTTTATATAAATAGCATTAAGTGTATTTTTATCTTTTTAGACTTGGTATTGCTCCTTACAACTTTTGAGGCCTTCATTTCTTTCAGAGGATTCAAGGTCCTGTCTTATGTCATTTCCTGTGATTCTGAAGGATTTTCTCTCAAATGTCTTGTAAGAGACATAGCTGCTATGAATGAATGTATTTTGTTTATCAAATAATTTTTTTGCTTTTTCTTTAGATTTGAAGGGTATTTTCGATGGATATAGATTTCCTGGTTGCCTTTTTTTTTCCTTTCAGCATTTAAATATGACATTTCACTCCTTCTAGCCTCTATTGGTCCTGATGAAAACTCAGCCAATGGCTATGTTGTTGTTTTTCTGTATATAGTATCTGCTTTCATTCTTGATGCAATGAAGATTTTCTCTTTGTCTTTCAATATTTTAATATAATGTGTTCAGTTATTAATTCCTATTGATTATCTAAAAGATTTTTATTGAATTTTTTCATCTAAGAATTTTTTATTACTTTTGAAAAGTTTTTGTCATTATTTCTCCAAAGATTTCTTCAGCCACTTTCTCTTTCTCTCCTCCTTTGTGACTCTTATTATACATTTGTTGGTATTCTTCACTCTGAGCTATAAATCTCTGAAGTCTTCTTTTTTTTCTAAACTTTTTCTTTAGACTCAATAATTTCTATACCTCTATTTTCAAGTTAACTGATTGTTCTGCCATCTCAATTTGCTATTAGACCTAGCTAACAAATATTTAAATTGGTTTATTGTACTTTTCATTTCTAGAGTTCCAATTTGGTCATTTTTTATATTTTCCATGTCTTTTCTTGAGCCCCTACTTGCCGAATCTTCTTTTTTTTTTTAAATATTTTCTTTTTTATGTCAATGATCATAGATTTAAACATAATTATTTGAACATCTGCATATTAACTGCTTTGTAGTCTTTGCTAAATCCAATAATTGGGACAAGTTAGAATTAGCTTTCATTGACTATTTTCTGTTGTTATTATTGTAGCTGCTTTATTTTTATTCCTTTAATATTGTTCATACTTCTCTGCTTTTTTCCAGAAGTTGTGAAACTAAAAATTGTACATTTTTGATAGCATATTATAGTAGCTGTCTTTAGATTTTGGGCTTTTTTATTTTAATTTTAACTTTTTTAGAAATAGGGTCTTACTTTTTCACCCAGGCTGGAGTGTGGTGCTGTGACCATAGCTTGCTGCAGCCTCAACCTCTTGGGGTCCAGAGGTTCTGCAGCTTCATCCTCCTGAGTAGCTGGGACTATAAGGGCATGCCACCACTCTCTGTTATTTTTTTTTTTAATTGTAAGATAAGAGTGTCACTATTTTGCCCACCCAGCCTGGTCTCGAACTCCTGGCATCAAGTAATCCTTCTGCATCAGCCTCCCAAAGTACTGGGATTACAAGCTTGAGCCACCATGTCAGGCCTGGAATTTGTTTTGTTTTTCTGATCATTTTTTAATTTTCTTCTTAGTTTCTTGTCTGAACTTACTGATAGTACCTGACTTATGACAGTTGGAGTTATAATGTTTTGACTTTCAGATGGTGTGAATGTGATATGCATTCAAGTAGAAATAGAAATTCTAGTATTTACACAACTATTCTATTTTCTCTTTCAATATAGTATTCAATAAATTACATGAGGTATTCAACACTTTATTGTAAGATAAGCTTTGTGTAAGATAATGTTGACCAACAGTAAGCTAATGTAAGTGTTCTGAGCATATTTAGGATAGGATAGGCTGAGGCATAATGTTAAGTGGATTAGATGTATTAAATGTATTTTCAATGCAAGATATAGAAAAATCTGTATCTCATGTGGCGTTTGACCACAGATATCTCTGCTTCTTTCTGTTCTTAATATTAATATTTAGTTTGATTTTATAGGAACTACACATGTATCTGCATAGCGAAGTGGTCACCAATGATCTGAGACATTTTGCTCAAATATCTGGAGGTTATAAATCTATCTTCTGTCAACCCATCTGTGTGTAGTTTAAAAAGCAAACTGCATGCAAAATGCAGCTAGTTCTTACCTCCCTCTGGTTTTACTTTGCACCGGAAACTCCTAGTTCTCATCACTCATATCTATAACTTCTAGGTCACTAGGAATATGTGCAGAGATTATTTCAGCAATGTGGGTCTATCTTATCCAGGAATCTGCTATTTACTATCAGCAGATGTACTACTTGCCTCAAACAAGGCATCATCTTGGACTAGCAAGGCTGTGGGCTTTTTCTGTTCATTTCCTATGGTGTTCTCCCTGTTTAGCTGGAAACACTGAAGAATTATTTCCCACTCCTTGGCTTCACTCAAGTCCACCCACTTTGGCAGCAAGCTGCCAGTTTTATTTGCTATCCTTACATGGGTAAAACTCCAGTTCTGCAATTCATATTGACTGAGCTGGGAATAGAAGGGTGCTGTCACAGGCAAAAGGCTACAGACATTTTCTGTCCTTACTCAAAGCACTAGTACTTTTTTTTTCTATAAAGAATATGCATCCTTAATTATTTTATGCTTTGCCAATTTTCAGAGTGCTGAAATAGTTTTGATATTTCAACTTTATATTTATAGGTGTGTTTGTTGTTTATTCTTGCACAGATTTATTAAACTCTTTGTGATGCCATAAACAGAGATGCCTTCTGAAATGCGTTTAAATGAATGTAATAGCCACACTGAAATGGTATGATGTAATGGACTAACATAAGTAATTTTGGACTTGAGAACTTGAGCTCCAAAATGGCCAAATAGAGCAGAGATGCTAAAACTGAGTGGCCACCACACTAGCTGTCTGTAAAGGAAGCAGCTGGTATAATCTAGTAAACACTGATGGTCTTCTTGAGGTTTTTGTTTCATGTTGAATCACTGTGGGAGGCCAGTTATTATACTGCTGACAGTAATAAACTGCAAAATCTTCAGACTGCAGGCTGCTGATGGTGAGAGTGAACTCTGTCCCAGACCCACTGCCACTGAACCTGGCTGGGATACCAGTGGCCCTGGTGGATGCACCATAGATGAGGAGCCTGGGAGCCTGGCCAGGTTTCTGCTGGTACCAGGCTAAGTTGCTGCTAACACTCTGACTGGCCCTGCAGGAGAGGGTGGCTCTTTCCCCTGGAGACACAGACAGGGTGGCTGGAGACTGCGTCATCACTATTTCTCCAGTGGTATCTGAAATTGGAAATAAAACAGAAATGCACTCATGTAATCAAAATCAAACCCACTGTCTTTAAGTAGAGCCAAAATTGTTGATCTACATTGAATTTTAATTATATTTCTTGCTGAGCAGAGGTGGCAGGAGTTTTCACTGATGTGCAAAACCACCTCATATTCCCCTCACCTGGGAGCCAGAGTAGCAGGAGGAAGAGAAGCTGCGCTGGGGCTTCCATGGTTCCGTCTGGGTCCTAACTGAGCAGTTCCTCCCCAGAGCTCTGACCCAGGCATTGATATGGGCTCTGGAAGGTAGGGCAGCTGGGAGGGACATGCAAAGCAGCTGGGGTGGGAGCTGAGCTTTCAGCTGCAAAGACCACCTGCTTCTTCCTCTCTGCACTGAGCATCCTGCGCCGCCCTGGTTGTCAGGCCAGAAAAGTCTGTTGGCTCAGTCTGAGTGTAGAACTCCTCCCTTGTGCTCAGAGAATTTCGCTCCTGTGTCTTTCTTCTCCTCAATCACCTAAATCCACCCAGAAGATGTTTGGCACAAGCCTGTTAAGAACAATATAAAAAGCTGTGTTTTCACTTCTCTCTTCCTATCCTCAATATGCCCAGTCATCTCCCTAAGTGCATTATTGGATCGATGGAAATGAAGAGTCTGTTAAAACTTAATCTTCCAGATACACCTTTCATTTGCTTGTTAGTAATGTTTTCTGAGGGTCCTGAAGCTTTCCATTAACCCAGCCACATACCCTCTTTGAGTTAAAAAGTGAAAAACTTCTGTTTACAGTCACATGTCCTGGCAGCCCTGACATAGATGCTCCATGGCTTGCCGATTGCTTGAAATTGATCAAGTAACTTAACTTCCCTGTGTCTCGGTTTCCATATCTGTGTAACTGTGACAATACTGGTACCTACCTTATAGTGCTGTAGACAGTTTAAAGAAAATAAGATAAAACATTTACAATAGTATTCAGGACATTATGTATGCGGCAATTAATTTTGTTTTTATTTATTAAATATTCAGCACTACAGTCATCATCATTATCATAAATATACTTACTTAGCACAGAAAAGAGTCTTCAGTCTAATCCAAGAATGTTTTATCCACAGCCAAATTTAATTCTAAGGCTTTTCCTTCACTAACTCTACACAACTCTTTAAATCCTAATGATTTGGTCTTAATCTGTGCTAAAGTACTCACACCTTCAATCATTCCCACCCATCCCTGTCTAACTCATTAATTCTCATCATCCATTATCAAAATGTTACTCTATAAAAGGTTCCCATGTCCTGTTGCTGTCCTTCTTTCTTACACAATCTTTATTCTACCCTGTTATCTTTTGTCTTATTCTTGCCCCAGGACAATAAGGAAAAGCTACCATCATTACCTGTTGACTTGCTCCAGTATAATTTTTTCAGGCTTGTTACCTTGGAAATGAGGACTATGTCTGGCAAAGAAACATATTCATCGGGTCAATGTGTTATGAAATAAAATATTTTATCTACTTATGATCCAATAATTAATTTAGACCTACTTGAACGGTTTTTTTTTAATGAACGAAGAAGAAGATGATATAAGAGGAAAATACAATACAATAGAAAACACAAGCTATTATAACTCTTGCTTCACGGATTTCTACATATATATTAGACATATGCTGGGTATATGTGTGCAATGGTGATCCAAAAACTGAACGCTAACTGGCTGAAGGAAAGCCTGTATTACATTGGGTCTTGTCTATTTTTCCAATTATGAACAGAAAGCTACAGTACTATTTGTATGAGTATCAAACCTTCTAGCTGCTGTGATGGAGGTAGAGAAGATTTACTGAGACTAAAGCCTTGGAAGTACTAGAAGTTTGTCCTGTGATGTTATGGGTGTTGCTGTGGTTGTTGTTGTTAGGAAATACAGTGGAAGTCAAAGCAAGTAGAAAATTTACAAGCTCTGCTCTTCCTCATACTCACAACCCCTTCTAGAGATGACAGATAGTGGCATAGGAATCTCTGACACCTCTAAGGAAGTCTTTTTTGCTCTTTCCGGGATCTTTCCTGACAAGTATTGTTTTGAGTCACAGATGATGTGGAAGTAGGTGTAGAAGAAAGGACTAGAGCAAGGGAAGAAGTTTTCAATCCCAGGTAGTTGTTGTAGGCACAGGGAAATGGAATTTTTCATAGATTTATGCTACACTTCTATCATGTTGGGGAGAGAGGCATCAAACCAAGCTTATTCTTGAAAGAAACATTACATTATTTTAAAGAGAAGGAACTATGCATTTCTTGTCAAATAGATGTTTAAAATTCAAAGCTACAATTTTTTTTTTTGACAGTATCTTGCTCTGTCGCCCAGGCTGTAGTGCAGTGGTGCGATCTTGGCTCACGGTAACCTCCATCTCCCTGGTTCAAGTGGTTCTCCTGCCTTAGCCTCCCAAGTAGATGGGATTACAGGCATGTGCCACCACACCCAGCTAATAACAGGAGGGAGTAAAGGGCCACACAAGCATGTACACAAGAGACAACTTTTCTTCTTTTTTACAGAATAAGTCTAAATGTAAAATAGCGTTATAATGTATGGACTCATGTTTAAGACAAGTCTCTTGGTTTTCTAATTTGTGTTGAACCCAAGCAGTGTTGTGATAGAAAATGAGTTTCTTTTTCTTTAAGCTGAATTTGAATTTGCTCCAATAGCCTAATAGACACCCTAGTGGTAAGTCCTCTGTGATGCTCGCCATTGTCCCCATGTCTAACAAGGATTTCTACTGGACATAGAAGTTTTTCTAAGTCCAACAAGAGGGAAAGAGACTGGGCCATCATTGTTCTCATCTCAGATTTCCACTTCCTGCATAGAAGGTATACATATAGGTAGCCAGACGTTATGAAAATGGATTGTAAGCATTTGTTAGTGAACAAAATATGACTCAAACAGTATTTTTATTTTTTATTTTTAAATTTCTATTGCTTATTATTTGAGACAGACTGTCACTCTGTCACCCAGGCAGGAGTGCAGTGGGTGCAATCTTGGCTCACTGCAACATTCACCTCCTGGGTTCCAGTGATTCTCAAGCCTCAGCCACCCAAGTAGCTGGGATTACAGGTGTGTGTCACTACGTCCAGCTCATTTTTTTTTTTGTATTTTTAGTAGAGACAGGGTTGCACTGTGTTGGCCAGGCTGGTCTTCCTGACCTGAAATGATCCGTCCATCTTGGCCTCCAAAAGTGCTGGGATTACAGGCGTGAGCCACCGCACTGGGATTTAAGCAATATTTTTATTAAGTAAAGTGTAGAAGAAAAAGTGTAAGTAAGGTGACAATAAGAAAACAAAATGCCGTAATGGAAAACGATAACTTTAGGGCAGAAAACAAGAAAAGGCAAACCAAGATTCCTGTAGGGCAAGCCTCCAATGCACAATCCAAGGAGGAATGTCAAGGGTGAAAACTCTGGAGCATCCAGATAGTGGCCCAAAATACCAAATGCTGAAAACCCAGAATACCCAAGTAACAGCCTATGAGTGTCCCCACACCAAATGCCAGGAAACCCTGGAGTATCCAGGGGCTGACCAGTGCAGAAAATCCTGGAGCCTCAGTGGGGTGGCCAACAATGAGCCCCAAAGGCCTGGTTGGGGCCATAAAACAATGTGACTCTGGCTTCTTAGAGTCAACAGAACAGGAGAATTCTTACATCCAAGTGTCCTGCCTTAAACAATTGCACAAACATAATTAGCAGGGACCCAAAGAAAAAACTGCAAAGCAAACACATATATCGGGGCAGAAAATAAAATAAAATGGCTGATGGATAAATAAAATGGCATTAGAGGAGAAATGACTAAGAGAAAGAACAATGAGGATGTAGTCAGGTGTGCTATGGGGGAATTCAAATGGACTATCTAGCCAAAGGCCTTATTTCCTGGATCATCTATATAGGCAGGTGGATAGATGGGACACTTACAGGTGTGCAGGAGCCAAAATGGGGCCAAGCAGTGTCTGACATGGGGCCTGCATGAAGATCTCTCCAGGCTTCCCAGCTCGGATGGGTTGGGCTCCTATGGGGGAACTGGAGCACGGAGCGGCTGGCCTGCATGAAGCAGTGGCTCTGTGGCCTCTTGCCCATCCCCAGAGCTCCAACACCTGTCAGGAAAGATGATGGTTCTTAAAACAGCCTTTGGCTAGTGTTAATAGCTCTGCAATGTTAACAACTCAGCATAAAGTCACACAGACACACAGACACTGTAGCTTTGATCGCTGTAGCGCTGATCACCGTCTCATCCTCTCTCACTGATCGCTGTCTTGCCACTTCTCCAATAGCTGTCTTGCCCATTGCTGATCACTGTGTCCATCTTCTCATAAAGTGCCATCTCTTGCTGTCTCTTGCTGTCTTGCTTCTCCGCTGTTTCCACTGTCTTACTGCCACATCAAATGCTGCTTCTCACCATCTCTAGTGGTGAGTGGCTGGCTCAATATTGATGCAAGGCAAGTCCTCAGCTTTGCTCAGGAAGGAATGTAAGAGTAAGCCAGTAATAGAAGAAAACAGCTTTATTGATGGGGCAGCAGTGTTACAGCTCTGTGACTACTCCTGCGGAGCAGGGGTAATTCATAGGCAGAGGGCCGAGAGTAGCAGCCAGGGGCATTTTTACAGTCACATTTATACCCACTTTTAATCATGTGATAATTAAGGGGTAGGTTGTTCAGAAATAGCTAGAAAATGGGTGGTGTTGCCCCAACTTCCAGGTGTTGCTATGGCAGGGGCAGGAATTTCCAGGTGTTGCCATGGCAAGCGCTGTGACTTCTGGATGTTTCTATGGCAATGGTAAACTCTCATGGCACTGGTGGGTATGTCTTATGGAGAGGTCCTTTCAGAACCCTGTTCCTGTTTTGGCCAGCCTCACATCTGGTCCTGAGCGGAGTCCTGCCTACCTCTTGCCTCAAAAGTAACAAGAAATCTGTAATGAAAATTTACCCAGACAGAAAACTCCAATTTTATATTTGGTAGTTAGTGACATGGTACTTATCAAAGTTACACAAAGATTCAAGTGAATAAAAAATACTCTCAGAATTATTATAGGAGGTCATAATGTCCTGTAGTCCAAAAATTAATATGCACATAACAAAACAAAGAAATTAAAGGCTGATATCCATTGTGAATATAAAAATAAATATCTTAAGAAAAAAAGAAAAATGCAATCCCACTGTATATCTGCACATTTAGTGAACACACATTGTAAAAAGTGTTACAGTTTTTATAAAAACTCTTGATAGGTAATTTTAATTTCTGAAAAATGTATATGAACTATAAGGTATGTTGGATCTCTTCCCCTAACTTAAAAAATATTTCTTCACATTTAAATTCTTTACCAATTTTTAATGACTTTTTATTGCTTAGAATTTTAGTTGATATAAATAAGAAATGTGTATTAAAAGCCTACCATTTTGATTTAACCTATGAAATATATTTAAATTCTTGGAAAAATCCAAAAATACCTAGAAAAGTGAGCTCTTGCCAGAAGATACACAGTTCTTTAGTGTCAGGCTGAGATTATCTCCCAGAAATAACTTTTGGCTCATATAGCTTCCAGGACACTGCAAGAATAAAAGATGTGAAGACAATGTTACTTAATTGGATTTGCAATTATTCACTATTCACTGTTAACCAATTTTATTGAAAAAAAAGATTCCAATCAAATACACTGATTTTAAGTGTACTGTTGGGTTTAATAAATAAATACATTCTTGGAAGCAAAATCAATACACACAACATTTCTGTAACTCCAAAAAGTTTTGTCCTGCTCTTCAGCAATCAACTTGCTTCCACCTCACAGAACAGACCATCCTTATTCAGCTTATTGTTAGTATAGATTCCACTATCTTTTTAAGAATTTCACATAAAGGAATATAGCACATGTTCTTTTGTGGCTGGTGACTTTCGTGCAGCATAATTGTTTCCTAGGCTCATTCATGTCGCCTTGTGTCCTCGTGATGTGTTACTCTTTACTTTTGAGTACTATTTAAATATGTAGTAATTTCACAATGTATCCCATCACCTGCTGATGACCATGTGGGTTGTTTCCACTTTGGGCTATTATGGATAAAGCTACCACGAATGGCATTATACAAGGCTTTGCATGAATATTTCTTTATTTCTTTTAGGCAAATACCTAGGAGTGCAGTTACTGGGTCTTACAGTAAGTGTTTAATACTCTGTCATACTGTTTTCCAAAGTGGTTATACCATTTTACATCTCAGCCCAGAATTGATGAGAGTTCTCAATGTTTCAGCTACTTGTTTTTAAGACTTTTTCTTAATCATCACTCAACAGTGACCAGAATGGCTAATGATCATTAAGTCATGTTTTCCTTACAATTTCCTTGACTTTTGTGGGTGCTTGACTTGTATCAGGATATTGAAAACAGGATCAATATTGTCTTAACCCCTTTTAAACACTTTTTCTAAGTAATGATATTTAGGATGATAACAGGAGATCTAAAGGGAATGTTGGGAGTAGTAACAGGCATTATCCAATATTTATTATCATACTCCTTAAGACAATACATTTTGAGTGAAATAGCATTCAGCTAGACTAGGGATAAAAAGGTTCTAATCTCAGCTTTAGCATTAAATATTAGGAAACCTCTGAGAAAACAATCCAGGAAGACAAATCAGAGGGTGTTTTGCTAGTGGAGAAGTGCTGCAACACCTAAAACCTATTAATGCCAGATTTTTGCAGTGATTTCCACTCATAAAGTTGGGTTGACTCCTAGCCTTGTTCTCCTATGTGTCTGTGTGACTTTATGCTGAGGGGATGTGACATCACAGAGGGAGAAGTGCACTTGTGTACAGAAACATGGCTTAGGAGATTGGCTTTGGATGTGGCTGCAATGAAATATATATTTTGAAGAAGTCCCCTATGAAATGTCTTATACATTGTTTCTTATGGCAGGGTGCTCGGGCTCACACCTGTAATCTCAGCACTTTGAGAGACCAAGGAGGAAGGATCACGTAAGGCCAAGAATTTGATACCAGCCTGGGCAACATAGGGAAACCACATGTGTACACACACACACACACACACACACACAATTTGTGAACAGTGGCATCACGAAGTGATTATTTATGAACAATTGGCTAAGAAAATTACAAAATAAAGCAATGTCTTCTGAGCTAACAATACTATAATAAAGATGTCAATTATTTAACTGTAGAAAATACAGAGAACATAAAATTGTCTATCTTAACCATATTTAAAAGTGCAGTGCAGTGGCATTAAGCATATTCACATGTTCTGCTATTATTACCGATACTGTCTCCAGAATTCTTTTCGTCTTATAAAAACTAATATCTATACCCCTTAAACAATACTCCCCCCGTTTCCTCTATCCTTATCCCTAGCAACCTCCATTCCAGTTCTGCCTCTATGTCAGTGACATCTTTGAAGCAGGTTCACTGTACACTGGTTACCAACGTACCTGAGCGCGAGGAACACAACACCCCCACACAGCAAGTTACATGAAGGGGGTTTATTATTACAGATAAGCAGCAAGGGATCACAAAACTCTTGGACTCATTATGGATCTGTCCCCCAAGGCATACGAAAGTTATGTGGAGCTGATAGAGTCGACTGTGTGTACCCCGCTTGCATCACAGCTCAGGAATCCGGAAAAGCAGACACTCTGGGTTTTATATCCTGGGGTAATGAGACGCACAGGGCTAACGTGCTTAAGGACATTCCATTCTATGAGAAACTGGAATACAGCACAGGTAGGCTGTTCTGGCCAGTTCCTCTCTATCTCAGGATGTTACAATTCCAGCACATTCTACAATTATTCTTGAGAACTCTTAAAATAATCAAGAAAGTGGAGAGAACTAAGTCAGCCCAGGGTCATTGGAGAACTGTCTTGCAGTTACCCCACCACCTAGACATCCCCCTTAGTAAAGCTAGCATATTTCCTACACCCACCAATGTCCCCCAAACTGAAGGCAGAGGTTTATCTTTTCAGATTGACGAAGCACCTTGATTTACACAATCTCAGTGCAGATTATTAAGCCATAGTGAGAGTACATTTCGCTGGTCTAAGGAAGGCTACTACCACTGGCAGGAGGATAAGACCCCCAAAAGCAGTGACCTAGTCTAGGATCCCATGATCAAGAAATTAAGATGCCAAAGAGGTGAAAGGGGGATCTTTCAGATGCCCCATTGTCTGCAGCCATTGAGCCTGCATCAGGATCACCTCTACTTATATTTCTAGGATACCTGAGGTGTTTATCCAGGTACAGAAGGCAGTGTTGGGTGTTGGTAATTACATGGAACATCCGTTATGTTCCACGAGAATGTGCCCATTGTCACGCTGATTGGGCAGTGAGGTTGTTTCTTGGTCAGAGTGAAGTCTCATGGAGTATCCAAAATATGACATAAATTCCTCTCAAGGGTGGCCATGGTAGCCCGAGCATCTAATAGAGTGACATATATTTAGCAGTCCAGGAAGCAAGCTATTGCCATAGTCCTTTTCTCCACACAGGGGATCCTTTAGTAGTTCAGTCACTCAGTTGCTGTTTTCCTGACCAGATGACTGGGTTGTTGAAAGTGGCCCATGATTTAATGGAAATGGAGCAAAATATAGTGTTAGGGGCAGCCTGCATGGCTGCTATCATTGTATGTAGTTTGGCCCATTGGGCAGAATGGCCATGTTTAGTGTCAATCAAAAGATGCCATCCCCTGGCTGGATGGTGGCCACACCCAGTGGACCCACTGGCATGTGTTTTGTACAATCATCAGGGCCCCATGCCATATTGACATAGGCATGTCTTTGAATCTTTGACTCTATGTGGCCAAAGGAGAAGCTGAATTGTCCCCTGTGGGTCATTTGTTCCCTTCTTGCAAGCTTGTCATTTGTTTATGGGGCACATGGGTATTGTGGCATCCTGGTTAGGGCTGATTCTTACTGTAACATTTCCATTTAGTAATTTGGATCTGTTGGGCCTGTCCAGTTTTATTGATTGTGTTTGTAGGCACCAAAGTGAGAATCTGTAGTTAAGGTAGCAGTGTCACTCCTGGTCCTCTAGCTCTGAGATACTCAGGCCCTATCAGTTTCCTACAGCAAGTAAGGAGTTGCCATTCAAAAGAGGCACAAATGGTGGCTGCTTCAGGAAACATTTGCCTCCAAAATCTAAGTCTGGTGCACCCAGTGACAATTTTACATTGCCACAGACTCCAGTCAGCATGCCTAGAAATAGTGGACACCTGGATTTACATCGAGCAAGCAGGCTCTAAAGGTCTTAAAGAAATGCCTTGGACATGTATTGTTGAATAGATTCGAAGGCTACCGTTGCAAAGGGCTCCATTCAAAGTTGTCAAATTTGTTCATGCTTTTGACTAAGGTGACCAAAAAAAAAAAAAAAAAAAAAAAAAAAAAGACTCAGGGGGACAGTGCAGCTAGGTAAGAATCCAGTGGCTTTCCCGAGCTTATTTGTCTTGCATTTTTGGTGACATGGATTGTTGTTCATATCGGCTTCCTCTGGCAGGTCCACCTGGAAAGCATTATATTTAGCAAGAATAAAGGAGGCTGTGAATGATGTCACTGCGGACTGCGTATATTCCCTGTTGCAAATGTCAAATCCATGAAGCAAAAAGGGATTTACTAGAGGTTATTAAATTCCTTACAAATTGTTGAAAAGCCTTAAAAAACAGGCTCCAGTCAAAGCCTCTAGAACAATTCCAAGAATCGTACTGCTGGCACAGGTCGGGGGAGCATCTCCTGCGCCTGAGACTCCACATTCAAGCTGTCTCTTGCAGCAGAAGAGAGAGCAGCTCTTCTCACTACTGCCCCCAGAAGGACAGCAGCTCTGGTATCAACTATCAACTGCTAGAAATCTGACCCCTTTCTCTGACTGCCCATCAGATGTGTTACTACAGAGTCGTTTTGGATTGAGATGAGGGAGGGGAAATGCCTGATCTCACTCAAATGTGCTCATTTTCCTGGTCTGAGTCACAGCCAGGCAGCACAGTCCTGTGGGCACAATATCTTCACTTGCCAGGTTCCTATAAAATGGGAGTATCTTTCTTGACTGTGGAAAATATGGAGGCGAGGAGGGTCAAGCAATAGCAAAAGGAGTACTTGGAGTTGCCTGAGCTTCCACTCTGGTTTCCCCAAATGTTTTCAATCCATTTAATTCATGATAATAAACACCTTTCTGCCTAACCAGCCATAATCGCTTTTCTTAGGTCCAAATGATTCAGTGATAAAACTAAAGAGAAAAAATAAATACACTTTTCAACGTTGAAGCTGACCAGGTGTCTGTCTCTGGTGTTTACCCCTCCACATCCCACGATGTGTTTCATCTTCCCTTTGCCTCACTGGAGATCCAAGTGCAAGTAATGCTTCACATGACTGTGATCCCTAGAACTTCATCCTGATGACTGTTGAAATCTTCTCTGAGTTTTACCAGTGGAAATGGCAATAAATAGAAAGATTCCAGAAGGTCCCCTAGGGTCCATATTTTCTGTACTTCCTCTCTAAAATATGTAAAGTCAATTATGTTTGCTCTTGCTTTATATGGGCTAGATCTATGGCCCCAGCACACATCTGAACGCCCTGTGTTGACAACTTATCCAGTATTGTATTGAGTCTGAATGGTCACATGCTTATCATATCATTTCTTCCAATTTCATGCAATAATTGTCATGTCAACTGTTTGGATTAAGAACCATCAGCCAGAAAACCACAGCCCTGAGAAAATAGAAATAGAGTATTTCAAGCTGTTCAGTGGGCATAGCAATGATGAGTCTACAGCTCATTTTCAATATATAAATATTCTGTTTATGAGAGTAACAGTGTTTCAGAGCCTCCACCACATCTGACAGCATAACAATGCAATAGCACAAGAGTTTGTGTGCCAGCGTTGCTTGACTAATAATGGGTTTTTCTTTGTCTATAGGGTAAGCTGCACCTGTGCACATGACAAGATCATGAGCTACACTTTGCTTCACTTTTTTTGAGGTCAATAAACTGCTTGATCCAAAGCCATATTATGGAAGAAATTCCTGACTCTGATGAAAACACTTGGAAAATCCTCAAATAATATTTTATGCAGAAACATAACCGAAAAAGAAGGCAAATTCATATATTGCAAATAACCAGTGCCTTCCTCATGTTGCATGAGGTCCACTAGAATCACCTGACACCAGCTGTTAGTCTGAGCCCTGATGTGTGGTACAATGTTAAGGGTTCAAGAGGCATCAGTTTTCTTGGCAAATTAGGTGTTCAGAAGAGCCAATAGCCCTGTACATCTCAGTTAGTTGAAACTCACATTACTGAGTCCCCACAGGGACCTTATTAACATTGGTTCATGAGGCTACCTGGGGAAGCTGGGAAAGGTGATTGACTGAAGTCCATGTGTTGAATCATCCTGATTATTAAAAGCCCCTGCTTGTTAATGGCATTTCACTTAATATTCACTTGGAAAGCATTTTTTTTATTATGGCTCATTTTTGAAATGTCTGGTCATAGCTTTTGCAGAATGACTTTGTCTGAAATCAGCCTGTTGCATTTATTTTAAGACTTGATGATCTGTCAAAACCAACAGCCAATATTTATTAAACTGCTGTTATCTTGCAATGGGATCATCAGATGTAACCATTGCAGTTTACCCACGGTTAGGATTTTTACATTTCCAGTGCTTCTTTGACAATGACACTAATGTGACTCTATCCAGCGTGCATTGTTGTGAGAACTCTATTTGGCCTATCATCATTGTGGGCATGAACATAATGGAGACTTTCATAGGATGCAATGGTTAATATTCAACATTAGTCAAAATTTGCTCTAGTCCTACCCTCGGAGCTCTACTGGGTTGGAAAAATATTTTAGGTAAGGACAACCATTTGGTAAAGTTTTAAAAATAAAGGCTACAAATAAATTTTCTGTAGCAAGAGTATTGCATACATAATAGAATAAATGTGCTTAAATATGAATACTATATATATTTGTAGCCAACATTTTATCAAACAAATATATATTCACTTCTATGTATCTTATATATATGCACATTTTTCCATAAATAAGGTAAATTTTAATTTTTTATTGAAATACTAGTTTTAATTCTGTTCTTAATTTTCTCTTAATAACTTCATAAATTGATCACTAAATATTCACATTTATACCACCAATTTAAGAAAAAAATACATATGTTTATATACACGTAGAGGTGTAAATACCGTATCAGGAAGCCTTTATGCATAATGATTGGTTACTGGTTAAATACACAACTCAGTGACAGAAAACAGTAAACATTTGTTTTCGTGTTCATGGATGCTCACGTTCACAATCCTCTGGCTGACCAAGGAAGGGCTCTGATGAGTCGTTCCTCTGCAGGGCACTGAGCTCACCTTCAGCCTACAGATATGAATTGTCTGAGGACAAGGCTGAACAGCAGTGACTACACATGACACAAGATTCTTGTGGCAGGTCACAGGAGTGAACAACATCCCAAATCAAACTGCACAGTTGAATTTAAGTCCAATAATTTCTAACATAGCTTCACACATTTTAAATATATTCCTTTATTTCAGTGAGTACACATTTTCAAGAAAATGTTTACTCCATTTAATTATAGAAGGGTTTGATCATTCCATGAACAAATAATTATGTTTTCAAACTTTACAATCCTGAAAATATTTGCAAATGTAAATTTGCATTAATAAGAAAATAAAGCTGGATGTGTTTCCAACATGTGGCTTCAAATATAATTTATTTAAATGGACTCATTGGGGTAAAAATCATTTTAACTTATGTAAATATCCCTTTTTGCTGTGCTTGTGTCCTATAGAGTTGCCCAATAAGAGTTCCTCCCGTGAGATTTGGAAATCAGAAAAGGAAGACTCAATATTATCCATTGGTAACTAAGACAGGTACAAGGACAGAGGTGAGGACTGGAGAAACACCTGGAAGGATGTTGCAGGAAGCTAAGAGCATCAGCACGCCTACCCCTAAGCTTCCAGACAGGACTGAGGACCACATGGTTAGAAAGCCCTTACTTTAGGGGCGGATGCATTCTGTTTTCTGAGGGAGAACCAGAGAATCCTGCCTCTAATATCAACTTTCCTGACTACTGTATCCTTGTCTTTGAAAGGCTGTAGTCTGAACGTTAATCATAGGCATTGGTTCATTCTTGTTATACCCAACAGAGCCAAGAAACCTAGTGGGGAAAGGCACTCAGGGTGCAAAATATTGCTGCTGGAATGCAATTGAAATAGGCCCTGTTATCCCATGGAACTAAGGTTTATGGTTTTTTGAATAAACTTAGAAATTGTCTCCCCCTCCCTGTCTTAAAACTCAAGATAGTTACATCTGTCTTACCTGAGTCCTTTTTTTCAGTAAACCAACCATCAGGCCTCCCAGATACTATTAAGAAGCTGAAACTTACATATCACTGAATTGGGACAGTGAGACATCAGAACCTTCACCCACTGTGATTGCATAACTGACCTCCTGCTTCTTCTTGACCAAATTATCTTCCTTACCCCTCCCTAATTCCTGTTTTCAACATTTCTTCCCTCCTATATAAACCCCTAATTAATTTTGTCAGAGAGATACAATTGAGAATGGCGTCCCATCTCCTCGGCTGCAGCACCTGATTAAAGCCTGTTCCTTGGCAATACTTGTTGTCTTCGAGATTGGCTTTCTGTGTGGTGAGCTGCAGGATCTACACCAAGTCCCTGGTATTTCAGTAAGAAAATTCTCTGCAACCTTCAGTGCTTTGGCTTATTGTAACCTGAAATCAAATTTATCCACAATTTCTGAGATAACTTGATATAACTCTAGGATTCACTTTGTCCACCACTGTTTACCAGTCTGAGCTTGCCAGCTCCCAACCCTTCCTAGTGCCAATGAACTTTCTCAAAGTGCAATAGGTAATATTTCCCTTTTTCATGGAACACTGACTTTTTCTTTGTTCTTCCAACGTACTGAAGACCACTGAGTTTTCCTGTATGCCTCATTTGGCAAATATTTCTCTTCAAATAAAACATTAAATTTAGAGATTCATCTCTACATTTTATTTAGACTTCAGCAGTTTATTCTAATTCTCTGTATTAAGACTATTCCTGCTTAGAATATCTATAGTGGCTTCTTCTGCATTATGATTTCCAACTGAAGCCATAAACTAGACTCCTCAGGTGTCATGATCTCTGTTTTTATTAAATAAGGAGAAGCATTGCTATGTCTGTGCAGTTGGTGCTGAGAAAGAGAAAAGAATTAGGGTGCAGAGGTGACTTCATGTCCCCATCTACCAACACCATCAGAGCGTGGCTGCATCTGAGGAACACTCTCAGCTGATGGAGGCATCAGGAGAAGCTGCTGGGGCAGCCCAGCCTCACACATCTGCTTCCCTGGGGGTTTATGTTTGGGTGTGTAACACTGTGGGAGGGTAACTATTATACTGTTGGCAGTAATAAGTTGCAAAATCTTCAGGCTGCAGGCTGCTGATGGTGAGAGTGAAATCTGTCCCAGATCCACTGCCGCTGAACTTTGATGGGACCCCACTTTGCAAACTGGATGCAGCATAGATCAGGGACTTAGGGGCTTTCCCTGGTTTCTGCTGAAACCAGGCTAAATAATTGCTAATGCCCTGACTCGCCCGACAAGTGATGGTGACTCTGTCTCCTACAGATGCAGACAGTGAGGATGGAGACTGGGTCATCTGGATGTCACATCTGGCACCTGAGATTGGAAACATAAAAACAAATGTCCACACAATTAATCATGTTGTAAGAGAATTTCCCTGAATAGTAAAGCAGTACTGAGCACCCTGGGCTGAGTAAACTGCTAGTGTTCTCCATCCTTACCTGGGAAACAGAGCAGCAGGAGCCCCAGGAGCTGAGCGAGGACTCTCATGTCCATGCTGTGTCCTGACTGGGTCTGATTCCTGCACAAAGTCTGACCAGCCTATTAATAAGGCTTCAGGGCAGGAGGTTGTGCTCTGGGAACATGCAAATGAGCAGGGGATGGGGCAGGCTGGGCACAGCTGCAGAGCTGGCGCATCTCAGTAACTCAGCACCAGCTCAGTGTCCCCACGTGTCCCAGGTAAGATCAAGGTAGCTCAAATTTGTCTGCAGAGAATGTGTTTCTACTGGGGACTATTTTGTTATGGGAAACATTTTATGGTTTCTTTTTGACAATTTGAAATATTCCTTGGGAGTCGATGGAGCAATGTATTTCATTGGTGTATGGGGATTATTTAGGAGAATATTCTTTTTTGTAGGAAACACATAGTAAAATTTTAGACCCTACAATTTTCAGGTCTTCAAAAGACTCTCATGTGATTTCTGTTAGGGAAGGTGGTACTTATCATATACTTGCAACATTTCTGTGAGTTTAACATTGCTCCTTTCTAAAAAAAAATTAAAAATAAAATTTATTCACATGATGCTACATATATTTGTAAATGTTAGGTAATGGTGTTATGCCATTGTTCTTACCACTGTAAGATCAAGCAATTTACTTCAGATACACTAAGTTGATACCGTGTTTCCTCAATGCATGCAGCAATTACAGATCCACCATTATCAAGAGCTCTAGGTCTCTTTAATATCCAGAGACTAAATGGGCTGCACCTTATTCCTGTTTTGCACCTTATTCCTGTTTTGGGCACCTTCATAGTCTACCTTCTTTTCTGCCATTAAGTATTATTTCCCAACATTCATCTCTCTTAGTGAGGGTGATCACTGCATGGAGCATGTCCCTGCCATGCACCATAGGTGACACTTTCTTCTTTTACTTTTTATCAGGGACATCATCCTGACCCAGACACCAAGATCCCTGTTAACATCTTTTGGAAAGAGGCACTCAATCTTTTATCAAGCAACTGCCCAGGTACATGGAGAAATCAGTTGGTTCCAGATGAAACTGGACAGGGATTTGCACTCGTTATATCTCATATCTCTAATGTGCCCAAAAATGTCCCGGCCTGGTTCCGTGGGAGGGGAAGTGGATCCAACTACATCAGCATCAGTGGGCTGCAGCCTAGGACTCCATAAAATTTTACTGATGCCTGACTAGGAGAGCCAAATCACAGTGCTGTAGCCTCTGCACAAACCTTCCTGCTGCTTTATAAGCTGCCTGAATTTTAAGGGAAATTGCTTATATTGGAAGAAAGGAAGAAAGCTCCATTTGTCCTCTAAATGTTTGCTGAAAATAAACTGACAAAAGGAAGATTAATAAGAGAAAAGGCAAACAAAATTCACTTAAAGTGCAGCAGGATATCATAGCAAGGTGATTACCCAGATAACTCAATGAGATCCAGGTGTTTATGTTTCCTTTCTAGGGAAGAGGTAATTGGGAAATGTAGGCAACCTGGAGAGAATAGATGAGAATAGAAATGCATCCTCAAAAGAACAGGTAATCACCTCCCTAGGTAAAGTATCAACTTTGAGTCTCTTCCATTTTTGATTCCTCTTTTGTGTTAATCTTCCTTGATATAAAAATTCTCAGGAAGAGTTTTCTTAAAAATTGGTTTCCTTCTGAAGAATTTGCTTTTAGGCAGGTAGGGGATATTTAGGAAAAGCCCCCTGTGCATTTCCTGCTTTCTAAATGCCTTTGGTTTTATATAATCATCATACAAATGCAGCACAGTTTGAGATGTTATTTTCTGGATTCCTTTACTTGCAACCCACCTGCCAAGATCCTGTTCCAGAGAGATGTGGCTACAGACTGAAAGAGCAGTTGTCCCCTCAACAACGTGGAGGTTGGGGCACTGACCACTGGTGCAGATGAAAACCTGTGTAGAACTTTTGCATCTCCAAGTTATGTAGTAATAGATTACTTTTGACTGGAAGCCTTAATGATAAAATAAATAGTTGATTAACCCTTTTTTATGTTATACATATTATATACTCTATTCTTCCAATAAAGTATGCTAAAGAAAAAATGTTATTGAGAAAACCTTAAAAATGAGAAAATATATTTAGTACTTATTAAGCGCTTGCTCACAGGTGACACACAGAAGAAAATATAAGTGGATCTGCAAATTTCAAACCCAAGTTATTCAAGGGTTAACTGTACCATGATGAATGTAGCAGTCCCCATCTATAGTCTAGGGCTTTTCCCTTTGCTGTATCTCTGCTCATTTCCAATGGCTATATATATGTCTTATGTGCTTCATGATCTTGGGCAGAGAGGTCTGCTTGCATGCCTTGCTGGCCAGATGGCCTGCAATGTGTATCTCTTAGGAAAGTGCTATGGTTTGACTGTGTCCTCCAGAATCCATCGTTGTAAAGTTAAATCTCAGTGAAATGGTATTGCCAGGTGGGGCCTATTGAGATGTGTTAGATCATGAGGGTGGAGCCCTCTAGTGGAATACCTTAATGCCACTATAAACAGGGTTTATGGGGCTGGAATCTCTCTGTCTCTTCTGCTGGTCTGTCATGTTAAGACATGGCCTTCGTTCCTTTGAAGGACTGAAAGCTCCAGGCGTCATCTTGAAAGCAGAGAAAGACGACCTTAACCTGCCCATGCCTTGATCTTAAATTTCCCATTCTCCAGAAATGTGAGAAAATAAATTTCTGTTCTTTATGAATTACACAGTGTCAAGGAACCTAACCTGTTATAGCAGCTTGAAAGAGAACAAGAGAGACAGCTCACAATCAGTGAGGACAGAATGAGGTGTATACATACCTTAGCTTCCTCGTCTCTCAGGTGGAATAGCCCAGAGGAATTTAGTCCATGTTTCCACATGTGGTTGATCTTCAGTTATCCTGAGTCAGGTGGGTTGTTGATGTGTCTTTTACCATTCATCTTCTGTTCCCTCCCTCACTTTCTTCCTTTCCTCCCAGTGTAAATTTGCTGCCTAAACAGGAATCCTCATTGCTGGTGGACCCAAACTAAGATAGTAAATAAAATCATTAATCTTTTGTATGAGGGGTATTTCTCATCTGAATTCTTTTATCATTTCCCTTTCTTTGACATGTAGGAATATTCAGGAAACACACAATTTTTTTTTTAACCAATCTATTTTAGATTGAATTTATGCGGTGATTTTTTGTGTGTGTGTGTTAAAACAAAAAATTACGTTGTAAGCCACTAACCAGCTGAACGGACTCCTCTTTTGGTAGAGAGAACTTCAAAGAAATCTGAAAAACTAGGTTAGGCCATGACTGGCAGGTGGGTTTAGATGTACCTCATTATATGGTCCTTCCTTTGGAGTTCAGACACAACTGACCAGCATTATCATTACAACAGAGATCTTTGGATTGACAAAACAGATGCTTTGTAGCAATAAGATACCATACTCCAACACGACAGATAATAGGCCCTGAAGAAAATCAAAATATTTTACCCTAAAAGTATTTCTTTGACATATTCTGAAGTGGCCCTGCAAGCTGCCTGTTGTGGGGGAAATTTGCATTCTGCAGAGAATCTCCTCCCCTTACTAAGTCTTTTCCAAAGAGTCTGACATTTTTTTTAAGGTCTGATAAACAACATTAGCCACCTACTTTGTTTGCTACCCATAGGATTCATCTAGGTGACAAGAACCTTTGCTTCCACACCCCCTTTTCTAAACTCAAGCATTTCTTTATGATGAATTCAAGTGTTTAGGCAGAGCTTAACTCTTTCAACCAGTTGGCAGTCAGGAAATCTTTGAATCCACCTATGACCTGGAAGCCCCTACTTCAAGCTATCCCACCTTTCCAGGACAAACTAATGTAAATCTTATATGTATTGATTTATGTCTTTCCCTGTAATTTCTGTCTCTCCAAAGTATTTAAATGTGTATTCTTGTCACCCTGGGCACATGTTTGCAGGACATCCTAAGGCTGTGTCACAGGCCATAAGCTTTGGGAAAATAAACCTATAAATTGATTGAGACCCGTCTCAGATACTGTTTTGTTTATACTGGTCACAAACTTAAAAATCCTCTAAAACAATCTACACATCAATAAATCTACATTAGAGACAGTGGAATGATCATACCTTAACAGTTAAAGCTCACAATTTAAAGGAACCTGAGTCTAAGATTTTGGCCAGCTCTCTTGCTTCATAAAAAATACTTCGTGATTTTTAAAATTTTACTTTAGAGAAAGGCAATTTGGGGGAATATATTTATTGTCAATGGGATGAATAATGTCTCTACCCTAAAAGATGTCCATGTCCTCATCTCTGGAACCCAAGTGTTACAGGAGTTATTAAGAAATTATTTTAGGCAGATAGGAAAAGAGTGTCCTTGGTAAGGTTTTCTTTCCTTTAAAGCAGCTCCAGAAACGTTTCTTGTCTAGCAGGAAAGCCCTGGCTCTTAGAGCCAGGCTGGGAAGCTTTGATTTGCAAATTCCGGCCATTAGAAACTGAGTCCAGCCAAACCTGTCAATTCCCACCATCTTCTTCCTTGCCCCCACATGTGCCTGACAACAAGGCTGCCCCCACATATCCCCATGTGTAGAGAATATTTTGGCACCCTGCATTTGCATATTAAAAGTCTTGTTGGGAAGGCCAGTTATTTTGCAGGCTTCATGAATGGCATGCCTGGTCAAACCAGTCCCTAGAGCCCTATATAAATCAGACACCACCTCCTCCAGCCTCCTCATATAAGAGCCACTTTTCTGCTGCAATGGAGTTTTGTCTTTGTTGGAATCCCTCCTCCCTCTGTCTCTGTGTGGGGGAGCTGTTTTCTTCTTCCTTCCTTCTTGCATATTAAACCTTTCTCTCCCTAAAACCACTCCACGTGTGTCTGTGTTGTTTTATCCAAAGTGGTGTGAGACCAAGAACCCTGGTGTTCCTCCAGTCAACGGAGCCGTATCATAAAAATTCTACCTTACATAGCAAAAAGAGAACTTGACAGATATAAGTGAAGAATAAGCGACCCAGTTATCTAGATGAAACCAATATGATCACAAAGGTCCTTAAAATAAAAGAGGAGGCTTGCAGTCAGAGAGGAGCTGGGACAATGGAGAGGGATGTGGTTTGAAGAGGGAACGGGTTACTCTGCTACAAAAAAAAATATGACCACGGGGGTACTTTGCTTAAAAAATATCCCAGAATGTCCTGCTATACTTAGAGAGCATTTGCTTCCCAAATAGAAAATGAAGGCCTCCTTCATTTCACACCAGTTTCTGCTACATGCACTGTATCGCTCTGTTGCTTGGTGTCTACGCACTTAGAACTGCTCTGTCTTCTTTCCGAAATGACTTTCTTCATTATGTAATGTACATTTCTGTCACTGGTAACATTCTTGGCTTTGTAGTCTACTTTATCTGATATTAGTATTTGCTACTGATTCATTTTATTAATTTTGCATACTATGCCATTTTCTTTTCTTTTATATTGAGTCTACTTCTAGTGTCATATTTGATGTGAGTGTCTTATAGACAGTATACTGTTCGGACATTCCTTTTTGATTCATCAATTGCTGTCTGTTATAATTTACTAATTTGCATATTTAATATATCGATAATTATTGATATACTAAGATTTAAGTCTTTGCTCTACTTTTTTGCTGTATCTTTTTTTGCTTCTCCGTTTTCTTTTTGCTGCCTTCCTTTGGGTTACTTGAACATTTTTAGAATTTCATTTTAATTTTACCTAATTTGAGGGTATCTCTTTTTATAGTGATTTTTAAATTGGTTGTCATGGTATTTCCTTTATATCCATAGCTTCTCACAGTATGTTGGTGTCATAATATTACCATTTAAAATAAATATAAAATTTTACCTTGTTTTATGTCATTTTTCTTCCCCCATTAGTAATAGATTGTGCACATATACTCATGTACCCTTCACACCATCTCTAGCCTACTTATAATACCTGACGCGATATGTATACATGACTTAACCTGTGTGGATTCAACCAAGTGGTACTAAGCACATGGTGAAGTCAAGTTTTTCTTTTTGGAACTTTGTGGATTTTTTTTCTATATATTTTTGATCCAGGTTTAGTTGAATCCATGGATGCAGATCCCATGGATAGAGAGATGACTATACTGCTCCTTATAACTCTGAGGATCAACTCTGTGGTTCCTCCATTCTGGGCTGGCTGAACTGATCTCTGCTGAGCCTGCTCATGTGTCTGCAGTTACCCTGTGGTTCAGTTGTGACTAGATGGTCTGATATGACTTGTTTAACCTATCTGGAAGCTGATTTGATGTGCAGGTTGGACAACATTTGGTTTCGGTTTACATAGGTCAGGGAGATGGGGCCTGTTCCCCAACCTCTATTCAGTTCGTTTCTAGATCAACTCAGGAGTTCGTCTATTCATTGTAGGTTGTTTGGGGGAAATTCCACACAGAACATTGGTAATGAAGAAGCTGAACTGCTGTCATCAGTTATTGTTATCATCTGAAATGCATCATATATTACCAAAGTCTCCCCAGGGTGGCCCAACAGTGCAGCTCAGCTCACCCCATCCAGTCACTTCCCTGGTTGCCTGCAGGTGTGAGAAAGGCAATGTGCTCAGTCACAGGAAAGACAGGGGCCCTCCCTGGTGCTGAAACCTGCAGATAGTTTTCACACAGTTTCATTCCAAAATACAAAGACTTCATTTTCTTTGTCTTTAAAATAGTTATACATTTTCTTTCTATAATGTCCCCATGCTTTTCAACTAATTTGAATTTTCAGAACTGGAAGTATTTATTATTTCTGTGTTAGATGCTCTTAGTCACTTATGGCAAGAGTGAGTTAATAGAGACAGGATATGGATTAGCCATAGAACAATACAGAAGTGTGTGGATTCAGATAGGATAAAGATCAAAGCGGTGACAAATACATTCTTTTGAAGCGGATTCTCATAGGTCACCAGTCAATGTCCGCATTCAAGGTGCGATGATGTGTCAGCTACATTGTGCAAATGGTCAGCTCTGCAGAGTAAACTTGGACAGCACACTACAGGACCAAAATTACCTGTAAAGGTATGGGGAAAATAAACCATCATAGAAAAAATAGTGTGAAGGAGTTCTCGGTTATTTATACTTGGATATCAAGCAGAACACTATAATCAATGAAGCTATAACCTAAAAACTTTAAGACTTTTAAAGAGGTTTCCCTTTTCTCAGGGTATTTCTCAGGAAAAAATTTATAAATTATGGATAAACTACTTGCACAATTAGCTACAATAAATCCCTTCCCTGCACTCATCCTTTGGTTGGCCTCATTCTAAATGGACTCAGGTGTTACCCATGTGTCTTGCTCAGGCCAATAGGATAATAGCAGATGTGACAGAATTGGAATATTGGAAAGGGCTTGCACATCGAAGCTTTCCTCTCTTTCACAGTGCTTGGAAACCCTAAGGTCACAATGAGAATAAGCCTGTGCCCATCTCCATTCAATGTCAGTGGCATGGCTGCTCTTAGGTCTATTATTTGTTCTTAAAATGTGTGTTCAGTTTGTTATAAACATGTAAGAAATTACCTGCAAATTTATCAACTTAAGACTACACCCATTTATAATCTCTCAATTTCTGAGTCAGCAGTCAGCACATGGCTTTGCTGGATCCTGCCCATTGGATTTCACAAGACTGTGCCACAGTGTAGACTGTTCTTCATTCTCACCTGAGACTCCCTGAGAAGAGAGATATTTTAGAGCTCTTTCAGGTAGTTGCAGAGCCCATGCCTTAGCACCTCTGTGACTCAGGGCTTCAGCTTCTTACTGGCTCTTGGCTCAAGGCTGCTCTCAGGTCCCAGAGGCTGTGGACAATTCCCTGCCATGTGATGCTCACACAGGCAATGCCCACATGGCTGGTTGTTTGTTCAAGGCCAGCAGAAGGTTTCAGAGAGTGTCTCTTTCCAGTCTGCTATGACAGAGGCTTACAGAATACAATACAATCATTGGAAAGACATCTCATAACCTCTGCCATACCATATGGGTTAGAAGCAAGCCTAAGTTCTACCTGTTCTCTGTGGAGGTAGATCACACAATGCCATGACTCACTGGAGACAGGTTTCTGCTAGGGTGTTCTGGCATCTTTAGTTTCCTCAAATATCAGGGTACTCGTACTGAGTGTGAAATCTCTCCTACATCTACTTCATCGTGCTGTGTCTGACTGATCAGACATTTGACACATGACTTTTTTTTTTTTTTGTGACGGAGTCTCACTCTGTCGCTGAGGCTGGAGTGCAATGGCATCATGTCGGCCCACTGCAACCTCTGTCTCCTGGGTTCAAGCAATTCTCCTGCCTCAGCCTCCCGAGCAGCTGGGATTACAGGCACCCACCACCATGCCAGGCTAGTTTTTATATTTTTAGTAGAGACGGGGTTTCACCATGTTGGCCAGGCTGGTCTCAAACTCCTGACCTCCGGTGATCCACCCATCTCGGCGCCCCAAGATGGGATTATAGGGATGAGCTACCATGCCTAGCCTACTTTAGTTTTTAAGTAGATTTAATGAAATCTATTTAGTAGCCAAAAGCCAAGAATGCCAATAGTTTTACCTGGCTACTCTCTGAAACAATGGTATTAAAAAGGGTCTTTCCAGCCCCTTTCCAGCAGAAAGACAGGTGCTAAGAAACAGTGGAAGTGTGAAGGTGGGGGAAGGGACTGAAACAGTTTTTATATACCTAAACTAACCCAGCTGCATGTAAACCAGTAACTACTCATCAAAATAAAATACAGAAAGCATATTAGTTTTGGTTTGGTGTGAACCAGCCTTAAATACAAAGTTGTTACACTGAATGGGTTTAATTGACCAAAATGCGTAGGGAAGGCAGAAAGGATTAGGATGCCCTTCTACTCAGCTTTATCTGCTGTCAAGTCTGGTTCCTCAGGGGACACATGGATCCCCTCCATTGTCCTGCAGATTCTGCCAGGCCAAGGCTGTTAAATCTGGCGGGGTCTCATGTGTGGACTTCTGGGTGTATACAGGGAGAAACTAGAGAAAGGCCGAGCAGATTTTTACTGCATGTAGGTAATCTACGTGGGCTTTTAGAGAAAAAAGGCTTTAGATAAAAAGTGTTTGACAAAGTCACACATGGTTTGTAAAAAAACAAAAAATAAAATACAACTTGAAAACTCTTGGAGAAGTGACACTTTAGTTTCCCAAATCACTCTTCTTCATACACTTCCACTTAGCTTTTTTTCACCTTCTAGCTCTGTGGTCTTAGAAGGACATGCACTTAAAATAATTTGTTTCCATAGGAATCCAACAAGTAAAAGCATAAACAACATCAAATAAACTACATCATTAGCATAGAAGCATGTCAAAGAAACTGAGATTAGATTTTGAGTTTTGGCACAAGTATTAGAGAAATAGAGAAAAGATTTAAAAGATAGAATAAGACTTACACAAGAAAGCAGGACAGCAATACGACAATTGAACCTATCATAGAATAATAGGTTGTGATAATGGATGGTGAGAAGAAATGCATTGGACAGACATGCATGGGCATGATTGATTTGAGCAATTTAGCATGGATCAAGACAAAATCTTTAGGATTTAAAGGGCTGTGAGCTGGGTAGTAAAAAGCCCCATTTTAGCACCTCTTGGGGCTGTAGATGGAAAGAACTTGGATTTAAAACTATTTTCAATAAGTGTCTGCTAAGTGCTAAGTATTATAGCTATAAGGATACCTAAATTAATAGAAGCACATATTATCTGTTGGATATATTCTAAATCTTTTACCTTGTTTAAATTGTAAACCGACCTATGAGGTAGAACCTATTATTGTCACAGCATTGCGGGTATAGAAAAGGAGGCAAAGGGGGGTTAAGTTACTTTACTAATGTCACACAACATGTAAGCGGTAAAGCTCCATCCCCAACCCCAAGGGTTTGACTTCAGGGCCTGCCAAGACAACATCTGGACTGTTGCATGGATCTTGCCTGGCTGTACATGAAGCTCTAATTCCAGGATGGATGAAGATTCCATTAGAACTTGGAGTAGCATTAATAAAATTGCTTCCTTGAGACCAGGCGAAGTGTCCAGAAAGCAAAGGAGTTTAACTGCTTAAAGGAAAGGTGCAGATTTGTAGGAAATGAAGCTCTGGACTGTGAACAGAGTTTTTCAAAACAATTAAGGAGAAGAGAAATTGAGTCTAGTTTGATAGATGTGTTGTGCAGAGTGAGTGTAGTGGAGATTAGAGAATCAGCCAAGGAATTATCCCCTGCCTTCATGGATGGCATCAACATCTGTCTTCATGGCAATTGTATTGGCAGCCTGAGTGTCAGAGCCTGGGTCCTGCCCATCCATGCAGCTGTGGTCACCTTTGCACCTGCAGTGCTGGAGTTACTTGAGTGTTACTCTTTGAGGTAGCTTCAGGACACTTGGTAAAAATCACTAAGTGGCAAGTGAAAGGCTTGGAAGAAAAGTTCTAATCAGCTCTTCATTCCCACCTGATGCAATTTTTGCTGCTGCTGGGACCCCAAGTTCTTTGTCTCCTCCCCGCCGCTTTTTTTTTTTTTTTTTTTTTTTTGAGACAGAGTTTTGCTTTTGTTTCCCAGGCTGGAGTACAGTGGTGTGATCTCGGCTCACTGCAACCTCTGCCTCCTGGGTTCAAGTGATTCTCCTGCCTCAGCCTCCCAAGTAGCTGGGATTACAAGTGTGTACCCCCACGCCTGGCTAATTTTGTATTTTTAGTAGAGATGGGGTTTCACCATGTTGGTCAGGCTGATTTCAAACTCCTGACTTCAGGTGATCCACCCACCTTGGCCTCCCAAAGTACTGAGATTATAGGTGTGAGCCATCGCGCCTGACCCCTTGCCTCTTTTGTAAATAGAAATCAACACCAGGCCAAACAGAAATTGTCTCAGGCAAGGTTTAATAGGTTTGTGGCAAGAGCAAAGCAAGGGAGCAGCCTATGGGTAAGAGATCCTGGTGGCTATTCCTTGAAGTGCCCAGCTCTTACCATTTTAAGGAAGCTGAGGCGGAAAAAGGAATGACATACAAGCATGGTTAGGCAAAGTTTTCTTTGCATTTGTGCAGTGGAGCGTCATGCTCTAACATATATAACATGGTGAGGAAATGGAGGATAAGCCCTGCCTTGGGTGGATATTTTAGTATTACAATGAGATTATAATGAGGAAAAATCAGTGAAAGGTCAGTTCTGGGGACCATCCCACCTTCAGCTGGCTAGATCTCATTTGGTGCTTTGGGGAAATGCCAGCTCTATCAGCAACCTTGGAAGATGGTCAGGTTCTTATCAGGAATGTTAGAGTTCCACTTTAGAAACCTTGGGAGGCTGGGCACAGTGGCTCACGCCTATAATCCCAGCACTTTGGGAGGCTGAGGAGGGCAGATCACTGGAGGTCAGCAGTTTGAGACCAGCCTGGCCAACATGGTGAAACGCTGTCTCTACTAAAAGTACAAAACATAGCCGGGCATGGTGGTGTGCACCTGTAGTCCTAGCTACTCTGGAGGTTGAGGCAGGAGAATCGCTTGAACCTGGAAGGCATAGGTTGCAGTGAGTGTAGATCGTGCCACTGCACTGCATCCTGAGTGACAGAGTGAGACTCTATCTGAAGAAAAAAAAAAAATGAAATCTTGAGATACTCAGGCCCTATCATTTTCCTACAGCAAGCGAGGAGTTGCCATTCAAAAGAGGCACAACTGGTGGCCACTTCAGGAAACTTTTGCATCCAAAAGCTGAGTCTGGTGCACCTAGTGACATTGCCACAGACTCCAGTCAGCATGCATAGAAATAGTGGATACCTGGATTTCCATCGAGCAAGCAGGCTCTAAAGGTCTTAAATAAATGCCTTGGACATGTATAGTTGTATAGATTCCAAGGCTACCGTTGCAAAGGGCTCCATTCAAAGTTGGCAACTTTGTTCATGATTTTGACTAAGGTGACCAAAAAAAAAAAAAAAAAAAAAAGACTCAGGGGGACAGTGCAACTAGGTGAGAACCCAGTGGCTTTCCTGAGCTTATTTGTCTTGCATTTTTGTTGACATGGATTGTTGTTCACATTGTCTTCCTCTGGCAGGTCCACCTGGAAAGCATTATATATTTAGCAAGAAAAAAGGAGGCTGTGAATGATGTCACTGCGGACTGCGTATATTCCCTGTTGCAAATGTCAGATCCATGAAGCATAAAGTGATTAACTAGAAGATATTAAATTCCTTACAAATTGTTGAAAAGCCTTAAAGAACAGGCTCCAGTCAAAGCCTCTAGAACAATTCCAAGAATCATACTGCTGGCACAGGCTGGGGAGGAGCTCCTACTGCTTGAGACATTCAAGCTGTCTTTTGCAGCAGAAAAGAGACCAGCTCTTCTCACTACTGCCCCCAGGAGGACAGCAGCTCTGCTATCAACTCTCAACTGCTGGAAATCTGACCCCTTTCTCTGACTGCCCATCAGATGTGTCACTACAGAGTCGTTTTGGATTGAGATGAGGGAGGGGAAATGTCTGATTTCACTCAAATGTGCTCATTTTCCTGGTCTGGGTCTCAGCCAGGCAGCACAGTCCTGTGGGCACAATATCTTCACTTGCCAGGTTCCTATAAAATGAGAGTATCTTTCTTGACTGTGGAAAATATGGAGGCGAGGAGGGTCAAGCAATAGCAAAAGGAGTACTTGGAGTTGCCTGAGCTTCCACTCTGGTTTCCCCAAATGTTTTCAATCCATTTAATTCATGATAATAAACACCTTTCTGCCTAACCAGCCATAATCGCTTTTCTTAGATCCAAATGATTCAGTGATAAAAGTAAAGAGAAAAAATAAATACACTTTTCAACGTTGAAGCTGACCAGGTGTCTGCCTCTGGTGTTTACCCCTCCACATCCCACTATGCATTTCATCTTCCCTTTGCCTCACTGGAGATCCAAGTGCAAGTAATGCTTCACATGACTGTGATCCCTAGAACTTCATCCTGATGACTGTTGAAATCTTCTCTGAGTTTTACCAGTGGAAATGGCAATAAATAGAAAGATTCCAGAAGGTCCCCTAGGGTCCATATTTTCTGTACTTCCTCTCTAAAATATGTAAAATCAGTTATTTTTGCTCTTGCTTTATATGGGCTACATCTATGGCCCCAGCACACATCTGAATGCCCTGTGTTGACAACTTATCCAGTATTGTATTAAGTCTAAATGGTGACATGCTTATCATATCATTTCTTCCAATTTCTTGGAATAATTGTCATGTCAATTCTTTGCATTAAGAACCATCAGCCAGAAAACCACAGCCCTGAGAAAATAGAAATAGAGTATTTCAAGCTGTTCAGTTGGCACAAGAATGATGAATCTGCAGCTCATTTTCAAGATATAAATATTCTGTTTATGGAAGTAACAGCACCATTCATGATTAGTGTTTCAGAGCCTCCACCACTTCTGACAGCATAGCAATTCAATAGCACAAGGGTTTGTGTGACAGCTTTGCTTGACTAATAATGGGTTTTTCCCTGTCTATAGGGAAAGCTGCACCTGTGCACATGACAAGAGCATGAGCTACATTTTGCTTCACTTTTTTTGAGGCAAATAAGTTGCTTGATCCAAAGCCATATTATGGAAGAACTTCCTGACTCTGATGAAAACTCCTTGAAAATCCACAAATAATATTTTATGCAGAAACATAACCGAAAAGGAAGGCAAATCCATATATAGTAAAATAACCACTGCCATCCTCATGTTCCATGAGGTCCACTAGAATCACCTGATACCAGTAATTAGTCTGAGCCCTGATGTGTGGTACAATGTTAAGGGTTCTGGAGGGGTCAGTTTTCTTGGCAAATTGGGTGTTCAGAAGAGCCAGTAGCCCTGTACATCTCAGTTAGTTGAAAGTCATATTATTGAGTCTCCACAGGGACCTCCATAACACTGGTTCGTGAGGCTAGCTGGGAAAGCTGGAAGAGGTAACTGAAGTCCATATGTTGAATCATCCTCATTATTAAAAGCCCCCTGGTCGTTAATGGCATTTCAATTAATATTCACTTGGAAAGCTTCTTATTCTTGATTATGGCTCATTTTTGAAACTTCTAGTCATAGCTCTTACAGAATGACTTTGTCTGAAATCATCCTGTTGCATTTCTTTTAAGGCCTGATGATCTGTCAAAACCAACAGCCAATATTATTAAACTGCTGTTCTCTTTGCAACGTGATCATCAGATGTAGGCCTTGCAGTTTACCCACTGTTATGAGTTTTACATTTCCAGGGCTTCCTTGACAATGGCACTGATGTGACTCCATCCAGCATCCATTGTTGTGAGAACTCTATTTGGAATATCATCATTGTGGGCATGAACATAATGGAGACTTTTATAGGATGCAATGGTTAATATTCAACATTAGTCAAAATTTGCTCTAGCCTTACCCTTGGAGCTCTACTGGATTGGAAAAATATTTTAGGTAAGGACAACCATTTGGTAAAGTTTTAAAAATAAAGGCTACAAATAAATTTTCTGTAGCAAGAGTATGAATTAGGTGTCATCACAAATACCATTTTTTTTGTGTGGAATGTAACAATTATTTAAATGTATATAATTTAGATAATATTTTATAAATAAAATATGTATATATTGCATATATAATAGAATAAATGTACTTAAATATGAATACTGTACGTAGTTGTAGCCAACATTTTATCAAATAAATATATATTCACTTCTATGTATCTTAAATATATATGCACTTTTTTCCATAAAGAAGGTAAATTTTAATTTTTTATTGAAATACTAATTAGTTTTAATTTTGTGTTTTTCTCTTAATAACTTCATAATTTGATTACTAAATATTCATATTTATACCACCAATTCAAGAAAAAATATGTATGTTTATATAGGTAGAGGTGTAAATACTGTATCAGGAAGTGTTTATGCATTAATTACGGTAACTGGTTAAATGTACAACTCAGTGGCTGATAACAGTAAACATTTGTTTTCATGTTCATAGATGCTCATGTTCACAATCATCTGGCTGATCAAGGAAGGTCTCTGCTGAGTGGCTCCTCTCAGCAGAGAGGAGCCTGTAGATTGTATTCAGCCTGTAGATATCAGTTGTTTAACGACAAGGCTGAACAGCAGTGACTACACATGACACAAGATTCTTGTGGCAGGTCACAGTAGTGATCAACATCCCAAACCAAACCGCACAGTTGAATTTAAGTCCAATAATTTCTAACATAGCTTCAAACATTTAAAATATATTCCTTTATTTCAATGAGTATAAGTTTTTAAGAAAATGTTTACTCCACTTAATTGTAGAGGTGTTTGATCATTCCATAGACAAATAATCATGTTTTCAACCTTCACAATCCTGAAAATATTTGCAAATGTAAGTTTGCATTAATAAGAAAACAAAGCTGGATGTGTTTTCAACATGTGGCTTCAAATATAATTTTTTTAAATGACCTTTTTGGGGGAAAATCATTTTAACTTATGGAAATATCCCTCTTTACCTCTCATGTCCTATAGGGTTGCCCAATAAGAGGGTCCCCCATGAGATTTGGAAGTGAGAAAAGGAAGACTCAGTATTATCCATTGGTACCTAAGAGGCAGAGAGACAAAGGTGAGGACTGGAGAAACACCTGGAAAGATGCTCTAGGAAGCGAGAACTTCAGCAATTCCAGACTTAAACTTCCAGACAGGACTGAGGACCACATGGGTAGAAAACCCTTACTTCAGGGGTGGATACATTCTGTTTTCAGTGGGAGCACCAAAGAATGCTGCTTCTAATATCAACTTTCCTGAATACTATATCCTTGGTTTTGAAAGGTTGTAGTGTGAATGTTAATCATAGGAATTGGGTCATTCTTGTCATACCAAACAGAGCCATGAAACCAGAGGGGAAAGGCACTCAGGGTGAAAAATATTGTTTCTAGAATGCAATTGAAATAGGCCCTATTATGCCATGGAACTAATGTTTATGGTTTTTTGAATAAACATAGAAATTGACTTCCCCGATCTTAAAACTCAAGATAGTTACATCTGTCTTACCTGAGTTCTTTTTTCAGTAAACCAACCATCAGGCCTCCCAGATACTATCAAGGAGCTGAAACTTACATATCACTGAATCAGGACAGTGGGACATCAGACCCTTCACTCATTATGACTGCATAACTGACCTCCTGCTTCTTGTTGACCAAATTATCTCCCTTAACCCTCCATAATTCCTGTTTTCCCACATTTCTTCCGTGCTATATAAACCCCTAATTTTTGTTGGTCAGGGAGATACATTTGAGAATGGTGTCCCATCTCCTCAGCTACAGCACCTGATTAAAGCCTTTTCCTTGGCAATACTTGCCTTAGTGATTGGCTTTCTGTGTGGTGAGCTGCAGGATCTACGCTGAATCCCTGGTATTTCAGTAACAAAACACTCTGCAACCTTCACTGCTTTGGCTTCTTGTAACCTGAAATCAAATTTGTCCACAACTTCTGAGATAACTTGATATAATTCTAGGATTCACTTTGTCCACCACTGCTTCCCAGTCTGAGCTTGCCAGCTCCCAACCCTTCCTAGTGCCAATGAACTTTCTCAAAGAGCCATAGGTAATATTTTCCCTTTTTCATGAAACACTAACTTTTTCTTTGTTCTTGCCACATATTGAAGACCACTGAGTTTTCCTGTATGCCCCATTTGGGAAATATTTCTGTGTAAATAAAACATTACATTTAGAGATTCATCTCTACATTTTATTTAGACGTCAGTAGTTTACTTTAATTCTCTGTATTAAGACAATTCCTGCCTAGAATATCTATAGTGGCTTCTTCTCTGTTATATAAAGTCCAACTGAAGCCATAAACTAGACTCCTCAGGTGTCATGATCTCTGTCTGTATTAAATTAGGAGAGGCATTGCTATGTCTGTGTAGTTGGGGCTGAGAAAGAGAAAAGAATTAGGGTGCAGAGGTGACTTCATGTCCCCTTCTACCAACACCATCAGAGTGTGGCTGCATCTGAGGAACAATCTCAGCTGATGGAGGCATCAGGAGGAGCAGCTGGGGCAGCCCAGCCTCACACATCTGCTTCCCTGGGGGTTTATGTTCGGGTGTGTAACACTGTGGGAGGGTAACTATTATGCTGTAGACAGTAATAAGTTGCAAAATCTTCAGGCTGCAGGCTGCTGATTGTGAGAGTGAATTCTGTCCCAGATCCACTGCCGCTGAACCTTGATGGGACCCCACTTTGCAAACTGGATGCAGCATAGATCAGGCGCTTAGGGGCTTTCCCTGGTTTCTGCTGATACCAGCCTAAATCATTTCTAATGCCCTGACTTGCCCGGCAAGTGATGGTGACTCTGTCTCCTACAGATGCAGACAGGGAGGATGGAGACTGGGTCATCTGGATGTCACACCTGGCACCTGAGATTGGAAACATAAAAACAAATGTCCACACAATTAATCATGTTGTAAGAGAATTTCCCTGAACAGTAAAGCAGTACTGAGCACTCTGGGCTGAGTAAACTGCTAGTGTTCTCCATCCTTACCTGGGAACCAGAGCAGCAGGAGCCCCAGGAGCTGAGCGGGGACCCTCATGTCCATGCTGTGTCCTGAGTGGGACTGATTCCTGCATGAAGTGTGTCCAGCCTATTAATAAGGCTTCAGGGCAGGAGGCTGTGCTCTGGGAACATGCAAATGAGCAGGGGATGGGGCAGGCTGGGCGCAGCTGCAGGGCTGGCTCATCTCAGTAACTCAGCAGCAGCTCAGTGTCCCCAGGTGTCCCAGGTAAGATCAGGGTAGCACAGATTTGTCTGCAGAGAATGGGTTTCTACTGGAGACTATTTTGTTACGAGAGACATTTTTTAGATTTTTTTTGACAATTTGAAATATTCCTCAGGAGTCGGTGGAGTATCATATTTCATTGGCGTATGGGGAGTATATAGGAGGATATTCTTTTTTTGTAGGAAACACATAGTAAAGTTTTAGACGATAGAATTCTAAGGTCTTTAAAAGACTATTGTATAATTCCGGTTAGGGAAGGGGGTATTTATTGTATACTTGCAACTTTTCTGTAAGTTTATCATTGTTGCTTTCTAAAAAAAATTAAAAATAAAATATATTGACATGATGATGCATATATTTGTAAGTATATGCAGCTAGAGAGAAAAAACAGATCACCTACAAAGGGAAGCCATCAGACTAACAGAAGACCTCTCAGCAGAAGAGATTGGGGGCCTATATTTAACATTCTTAAAGAAAATAAATTCCAACTAAGAATTTCATATTTGGACAAACTAAGCTTCGGAAGCAAAGGAGAAATAAGATCCTTTTCAGACAAGCAAATGCTCAGGAAATTTGTTACCACCAGACCTGCCTAACACAAGCTTCTGGAAGAAGCACTAAATATGGAAATGAAACACCGTTATCAGCCACTATAAAAACACACTGAAGTACACAGACCAGTGACATTATAAAGCAACCACACAAACAAGTTGGCAAAATAACAGGCTAACAGCATGATGGTGGTATCAAATCTAACATATCAATATTAACCTTGAATGTCAACAGGCTAAACGCCCCACTTAAAAGACACAGGGTGGCAAGCTGGATAAAGAAGCAAGACCAAATGTTATGCTGCCTTAAGGAGACCCATCTCACATGCAATGAAGCCCATGGACTCATATAAAGGGATGGAGAAAAATCTACCAAGCAAATGGAAAACAGAAAAAAACCAGGATTTTAATTCTAATTCAGATGAAACAGACTTTAAGTCAACAAAAATCAAAAAGACAAAGAAGGGCATTACATAACAGTAAAGGGTTCAATTCACCAAGAAGATCTAGTTACTCTAAATCTATATGCTGCCAGCTCAAGATCACCTAGATTCATAAAGAAAGTTCTTAGACACTTTGAAGGAGACTTAGATTCCCACACAATAATAGTGGGAGATTTCAACACCCCACTGACAGTATTATACAGATTATAATCTGTATAATTAATTTTCTGAGGCAGAAAATTAACAAAGGTATTCAGGACTTGGACTCAACCCTGGATCAAATGGACCTTATATAAATCTGCAGAACTCTTCACCCCAAAACAACAGAATATACATATTCTCATCACCACATGGCACATATGCTAAAATTGACCACACAATCGGACATACATCAATATTCAGCAAGTGCAAAAGAACCAAAATCATGCCAACCTCTCTCGGACCACAGCAAAATGAATGTAGAATTCAAGACTAAGAAAATCACTCAAAACCATGGAAATTAAACAACATGCTCCTGAATGACTTGGGTAAATAATGAAGTTAAGGCAGAAATCAAAACGTTCTTTGAAATGAATGAGAACAAAGATACAATATACCAGAATCTCTGGGACACAGGTTAGGCAGTGTTAAGAGGGAAATTTATAGCACTAAATGCCCACATCAGAAAGTTATACCTCAGATTAACAGCCTAATATCACAACTAAAAGAACTAGAGAAGCAAGGGAAAACCAATTCCAAATCTAGCAGAAAACAAGAAATAACCAAAATCAGAGTTGAACTGAAGTAGATAAGACACACAAAAAAATTCAAAAGATCAATGAAGCCAGTGCCTGTTTTTATTTTGAAAAAGCTAATGAGATAAATAGACCACTAGCTAGACTAATAAAGAAGAAAAGGGTGAGTATCCAAATACATAAAATTAGAAGTGACAAAAGGACATTATCACTGACCCCACAGAAATACAACTAACCATCAGAGACTACTATGAACACCTCTATGCACAATAACTAGAAAATCTAGAAGAAATAGATAAATTCCTGGATGCATACACCCTCCCAAGACTGAACCAGAAAGAAATTGAGTCCCTGAAGTGAGCAAAAATGAGCTTGTAATTGAATCAGTAATAAATAGCCTACCAACCAAAAAAATCCCAGGTCCAAATGGATTCACAACTGAATTCTATCAGATGTACAAAGAAGAGCTGTTACCATTCCTACTAAAGGTATTCCAAAAAAGTGAAGAGGAAAGGCTGGGTTTGGTCACTCATGCCTGTAATTCCAGCACTTTGGGAGTCCGAGGTGGGTGAATCACCTGAGGTCCGGAGTTCGAGACCAGCCTGGCCAACATGGTAAAACCCCGTCTGTACTAAAAACAGAAAAATTAGGCTGGCATGGTGGCATGCGCCTGTAATCTCAGCTACATGGGAGGCTAGGGCTGGAGAATTGCTTGAACCCGGGAGGTGGGGCTTGCAGTGAGCCGAGATCACATCACTGCACTCCAGCCTGGGCAACAGAGTAAGACTGTGTCTCAAAAAAAAAAAAAAAAAAAAAAAAAAAAAAAATATATATATATATATATATATATATATATATATATATATATATATATATAAAATCAAGGAGGAGGGACTCCTCCCTAACTCATTCTATGAGGCCAGCATCATACCAAAACCTGGCAGAGATGCAACAACAACTTCAAGCCAATATGGTTGATGAATATCGATGCAAAAATCCTCAGCAAAATACTAGCAAATCAAATCCAGCAACATATCAAAGAGCTAATCTACCATGATCAAGAGACTTTATCCACAGGATATAAGTTTGGTTCAACATATGCAAATAAATAAATATAATTCATCACACAAACAGAACTAAACACAGAAATGGCTTGATCATCTCAATAGATGCGGAAAAGACATTTGATAAAATTTAACATCCTTTATGTTAAAAACTCTCAACAAACTAGATATTGAAGGAACATACCTCAAAATAATAAGAGACATTTAGGACGAAGCCATAGCCAGCATCACACTGAGTGGGCAAAAGTTAGAAGCTTTCCCCTTGAAAACTGTAACAAGACAATGATGCCCTCTCTCCACCAATCCTAACAGCATGGTGTTAGAAGTACTGACCAGAGCAATCAGGCAAAAGAAGGAAATAAAAGGCACCCAAACAGGAAGAGAGGAAGTCAAACTATCCTTGCTGCATATGACATGATTTCCTTTTTTTTTTTGAGACAGAATCTTGCTCTGTCACCCAGGCTGGAGTGTCGCAGTATAATCTCTGCTCACTGCAACCTCCACCTCATGGAGTCAAATGATCCTCCATCCTCAGCCTCCTGAGTAGCTGGGATTACAGGTATGCACCACCATGCTCAGCTAACTTCTGTAGTTTTACTAGAGATGGAGTTTCACCACGTTGACCAGGCTGGCCTCAAACTCCTGATCTCAAGTGATCCACCCACCTTGGCCTCCCAAGGTGCTGGGATTACAGGCACTAGCCACTGCGCCTGGCCTCACATGAATATATCTCTAGAGAACCCCATAGTCTCAGCCCAAAAGCTACTTAAGCTGACAAACAACTTCAGCCAAGTTCCAGGATACAAACTCAATGTACAAAAATTACTAATATTTCTGTGCTCCAAGAAGAGCCAAGCTGAGAGCCAAATCAATAATGCAATAACATTCAAAATTGCCACAAAGAGAAAGAAAATACCTAGGAATGCAGCTAGCCCAAGAGGTGAAAGATCTCTATAAAGAGGACTATAAAACATTGCTCAAAGAAATCAGAAATGACACAATTAAATGGAAAAACATTCCATGTTCATAGACAGGAAGAATGAATTTCGTTATAATGACCATATTGCCAAAAGCAATTTATATATTCAATGCTATTATCATTAAAGTACCATTGTGATTATCTACAAACTAGAAAAAAACTGTTTTAAAATTTATATGGAACCAAAAAAGAGCCCAAATAGTCAAAGCAATTGTAAACAAAAAGCACAAAGCTGGAGGCATTACACTGCCTGACTTCAGACTATACTACAAGGCTACAGTAACCAAAACAGCATGGTACTGGTACAAAAACAGATACATAGATCAATGGAACAGAATAGAGAACCTGCAAATAAGACTGCATACCTACAACTATCTGATCTTTGACAAATTTGACAAAAGCAAGCAATGGAGAAAGGATTCCCTATTCAAGAAATTGTGCTGGGATAACTGGGTAGCCATATGCAGAAGATTGAAACTGGACCCCTTCCTTACACCATATACAAAAATTAACTAACGATGGATTACAGACTTAAATGTAAAACCCAAAAACTCTAAAAATCCTGGAAGACAACCTAGGCAATACCATTCAGGACATAGACATGGGCAAATATTTCATCACAAAGACACCAAAAGCTATTGCAACAAAAGCAAAGATTGACAAAAGGGGTTTAATTAAACTAAAGAGCTTCTGCACAGCCAAAGATACTATCAGCAGAATAAACAGACAACCTATAGAAAGGGAGAAAATGTTTGCAAACTCTGCATCTGACAACAGTTTAATATCCAGCATCTATAAAGAACTTAAACAAATTTACAAGAAAAAAATAGCCCCATTAAAAAGTGGGCAGAGGACATGAACAGATACTTTTCAAAAGACTTACAAGTGGCCAACACTTATATGGAAAAAAGTTCAATATCACTGATTGTTAGAGAAATGCAAATCAAAACCACAACGAGATATCATCTCACACCAGTTAGAACTGGTATTACCAAAATGTCAAAAAATAAATGCTGGAGAGGATGTGGAGAAAAACGAATGCTTATATACTCTTGGTGGGAGTATAAATTAGTTCAACCATTGTGGAAGACAGTGTGGCAATTCCTCAAAGAGCTAAAGACAGAACTACCATTAGACCCAGCAATCTCATTACCGTGTATGTACCCAAAGGAATATAAATTGTTCTATTATGAAGACATATGCACGTGAATGTTCATTTCAGCACTATTCGCAGTAGCAGACATGGAGTCAACCTAAACGTCCATCAGTGACAGACTGGATAAAGTAATGTGATTATATATAGGTCAGTTTTGCCTTTAATTTGTTGCTCATTATTGTGAGCCTTAACATACTTCTTTGTGAACTTGCCACTGTTTCAATATAATATTGTAATCTTTATTTCAGAGTTTATTGCAAACATTTATGGTTAAGTATTTGATATATTTTATAGAGTTTACTTCCTTGTTGCTTATTGAAATTTGATTTTATAATTGTATTAAACCAATTTAAATATATTTAAATTCAAACATAGAAATAAAAAATTGAAGTGTTGATATGTCTAACAAAAAGCCAATGCACAAATTACCTTAAAAGATTAATTAAATGTCTGAATCACTAATTTAATAATATTTTCATGTTTAAAATGTGTCAAATATATTTTTGAGTCCTAGATATGTGAAGGTTTTGTGCAATGTACTGTAATATCTGCTAAGACACACTATTCTTTTCTTATCAGGTGAATTCATATTTGAACTGCAAGTTAATTTCTTGAACTGCAAGAAAAGAGGCACCTAGGAACATATTTGAAAATGCGTAATTTTAAAGCAGCTAAAATTATTTATTAATTAATAATTATTTTCTGAGTTTACATATTAGACAAAAAATGCTACTGAGAAGATATCACTGGTTTTTGCTCTGTAACAGAATTAGTTATATCTCGAATATGTTGCCACTCACCTTTCCTAGGCACATAGGAGAAATCAACAAATCATTGTCTTTTTTTACTGAAAGAGGAGGAGCACCAAAATCTGTCTTGACCACAGCTCTAGAAGGTACCTTATTAAACACTGTATCATCCTTGCCCTATTAAGTAAGTGCTTGCTAAATTGCATTCTTTTTGTGCTTTGAATTTTCAATAAATACATTCTGAGAAAATAATACACCGATTGGAATGCTTGACTATTCAAAATTTCAGGTATATACTCCATTATTTTATTGGTCTTTCTCTTATGATCCAGGCAGCACAGGATCAGGTCTTCTCTAGAACTCACTGTTGTATTTTTATGCCAAGAGCTTCAGTAGACAATCAGCAAATGGGCTTGCAGTCGGCAAAAATAGTTACATAGAGCTGATGATTTCTCATAGAGACGAGGGTGTTAATAGGAAAATATTTCTTTACTTATTTTTTCTTGGTGAATCAATAATAAACAGAGAACTTATTTTCGGAAATAAATTCAGAAAGTCAAGTATCTAAATCTGGTAGGGATGCCCATAGAATTTTTATAAGGAACATATATAATTTTATTTCTAAAAGTCCATTTAATGTTATTAGCTAGTACACGATTCAAAGGACAATTTAAAAATCAGGTAAATGTAGTAAAGGCAAATACATATTTTTGAATGAATAAATAAATTTAGAAAAGTCAATAAATATAAAAACCATGTGCAAAAAGATCATACCAGCAACAAACAAATTGGAGATGGAATTGTGAAATATGTGATCCGCCCACCTCCCAAAGTGCTGGGATTACAGACTTTAGCCACTGCGCCCGGCATTTTTTTTTTTTTTTTTTTTTTTAAGACAGTCTCTATCGCCCAGGCTGGAGTGCAATGGCACAATCGCAGCTCACTGCAACCTCCGTCTCTCGGGTTCAAGCTCTTCTCGTGCCTCAGCCTCCTGAGTAGCTGGGATTACAGGTGTACACCACCACGACTGGCTAATTTTTGTATTTTTAGTAGAGGCAGGATTTCACCATGTTGGCCAGGTGGGTCTTAAACTCCTGGCCTCATGTCATTCGCCTGCCTCATCTCAAAGTATGGGGATTATTGGTGCGAGCCACTGCGGCGGGCCTAAGATGTGAAGTCTTGATACTGTACAAAACATTATTAAAATGTTAAAGAAGACCTCTAGATTGTGGTTTTGGTTTACTATCCAAACAATTACACCATCTACAAATAATAACTATTCGTTTTCTTTATTTCCAGTACTCATGTATTTTATTTCTTTTTCTTGCCCTTTATACTAGTAAGAGGTCCAGTACAGTATTATCTAGGAATGATGATACTTTACATCTTTTAAAAATATCTAATTCCAAAATGAAGAAAAACAATTTTTCAGCATTTATTGTGATTGTGTGTGTGTGTGTGTGTGTGTGTGTGTGTGTCTGTCTGTCTCTCTGTCTGCCTGTGTATTCTCTAAGAGGTAAGGAAGGTATTTTTCCATTTCTAATTTTCTAGGACATTTTTACATAAACAGGGTCTAAATTTTGTCCAGTGCTTCTTTCTATACCAATTGAGACGACCATATACCTTTTTTCTTCTTTAACTATGTCAAATGTGGTAATTATACTGATCAAATCTTTTAAATCCTTATTATGTTATTTTCTGCTTTTCTATCACCTCTTGAGCATAAAGTCTCCCACCATAACATGGAGTTGACTTTTTCTTAATTTAATCAATTTTTTATTTATATATTTTTAAGTTATGTTTTGGGTCTATATAGATTTAGTATTTTAATGATTTCCTAATAGATTGACCCACTTATCATTATGAAATGTCCCCTTTTCTCCTTCGCCTTAAAGTATAAGTCAGGTTTCGTCAATTCAGTTTTTGCATGATATGTACTTTTCGTTTTTTAATTTTCAAAGTCATTTTATGATATTATTGCAGTGTGTATTTTATAAGCAGCATAAACCTTTCATTTTAATCTTGTTTAATAATTTAAAAATTTTACTTAGATAAATTTGTCTGTTTATGATGTCTAAATTATTGGTAGTTAGAGATAAATCTACCATCCTTTTTTTTTCAAATTTCCTGCTTTCTTGCTTTCCTTTGGATTAGACATTTTGTTATATTTTTCCTTACATTAACTTGTTAAACATGCAATCATTTATTATACAGCAGCTATCCTCAACTTATTACTTCCTAGTACCAAATATTAATTTACCATTTCCTAAAATAGAGTTAGATTTTTAAATTCCATTTACACTACTTTTTCGTGTTATTTTTCATGCAATTCAGTTATATATGCATTGCAAAATTCACAAACCATGACATCTATAGTCGTGTGCAAATTTTAGTTTGTATTTATTCCTATACATATCCTTTCCAGTGTCTATCTCTTATGTATCTTTATGTTTCTATTTAGTCTTGCATTCCTTCTGTTGCAGAACTGTCTTTAGCATTTCTTTTATAGAGTACTACTGATATATAGCTGCCTAATATTTTGTTGTTTTACAAACAGTATTTATTTGCACATTCATTTTGCCTCATTTTTTTCTTTCCTTTTCAAAGGCCCCAAAGATGTTAAATTACTTACTGATATTTATTTTCCTTGGAAGGATTGAGTTCCTTTTGAGTTGTTTTTCTTACATATAAATATTGCCATACAACTTCATACTCAGCAAAGATAATACATAGATATATTAAGTATACTTGCCATTGGATATATTTTCTTGGAAAAGGCAGCCATCTGCCAGATAGCTTATGTCCTTAATCAAAAGCAGGATCATTTTGATTTAATTCAAACCATCTACTTCTACTATAGCATGATGAAATAATACATATGCCCTTTTATGGATCAAAATAATATTAAAGTATTATTGTAAATGTAGTATATTTAAAGCATATGTGTATGTAATTTCAGCATACATTACTGGAATATTGAATTCAGTGTTCCATGTTTGGTATTCAGTATCAAATATTTTAAACACTGACATGATCATTATCATTTCTGCAGTTGTTTTTCTCCTTCATTTCCATGTGCCATGTGCATTTATTGATCTAGATGTGAATGTTTTGCAATATAATATTCAAACTGACATCCCTACTTTGTAATTTAATAGAACAATTTATTTTCAGTAGTGAAGTAGTAAGGAATAGGCCTTAGAAGATGGACACAAGAATTGCAATAAATTCAGGAGAGCAAAAATGAACTTAAAAAATCATGTTTGTTATAACATCAGAGAGTTGTGGAACAAATAAAGAACAGATAGCCTAAAATTCCACAGAGGAAAGATGCCTTTGTATATTGCCTTGTGTCCTCCTGTCACTTTGTGTCTTAGTGAAATTTGCCAAATACGAGCGTGATTGGAGATTCTGGTTTGGTCCAGGCAGAAGATCTCTACAAGAGTGGGGAATTCATCTCACCTTTGGCAGAGGCATGTACGTGCCTTACAGATTATGGATTATATGGCATGAGTGGAGCCCTTAACACCAGGCTGAATTTCTCTTTGGGACATTTGTTGAGGCCTGGGTTGAGAATGGTAGCTGGGTGGGTTGGCTAGAGACACACAGTGAAACCTCCTGCATTCTCCTGAGTTCTCCCCTACCATGCTGCCTTGATTTTCCTTTATGTGTGTCTGAAATATGGGCTTTGGGCTCCCACCACTACACCTCCTACTCATCTTCCCAGCCCCTGCACTGCTCTGGTCAGCATCATCTTTATTTTAACTATAAGCTTTCTTGAATGATCCTTTCTTTCTCTAATCATTCCCAGGTAAATGATGGGGGCAGAATCTACTTTTCCAAGGTCTTCTACATCCTGCTGGATTGACTAGGAATGTGTGATATGACCTGAGGTACATTTGGACAGGGACTCTCTTTGAGTCACTAAAGACTGTGTGATGCAATACTTCCCTGGGAGTTTGCCATTGCATCAGAGCACAGTCTTGAACTCCACGCAGGATCCCCACAACTCCCCAAGAAATACAGCAGAGCTTCCACTTGGGTTCATATATCAACTCCAACACACCACCACTAACACAGTTAACAGCTGCCCTCACATTCTCATTTACTGCCCTCTGCCCAAAGTCTATAGATTATTATTTTTCAAGGGGCAAAATATAAGCTTATATATTATTTTATATTAATCCAGATTCCATTGAATATGGCATACATTTTTGACTATGGCATACATTTTTAGTCGTTTTTTCTTTTGTCTTTTGAAACTTGGATATTTATTTTTAAAACACAGCTTTGGATTTCATAGAATTTTCTTTTCATTTCAACATACTGTGAATAAGATTGTTCAAAGATTTTTGTCACTAGGTCTTTGTTTTTGCATAAACTTACCAAAATATATCTAGCAGTTACAAAGTCTAGAATGTAAATACACGCAAGCACTCCCTGAAAAAAAAATAGGATAAAATGCTGTGCTTCCTGCTGTCCCAGAGAGAGATATATGTTAAGAAAAGTGTAAAGTGGAAGGTAGAAGATGGGAGAGAAACTGTTTTAGTATCACCAAATCTTGTCAAGGTACATGTACACTAGTAACTGCTAAACCAAATCAAAACCAAGAACGTATTAGTTTTGTATTGCCACTAATCTGTTTCATTTAGGTGGCTGTCAGGCTGAATGAATTTAGTTAGTGAATGAACGTAGGCAAGGCAGAGAGGATTACGATGAGCTTTGATTCAGCTTTCCCTTGCAACATGACTGGTTGTTCAGAGGGCACTTGACCTCCCTCCATTCTCCTGCAAGTTCTGCCAGGCCAAGACTCTTGCAACTGATGGGGACTAAATTGTGGTACCTGAGATGTAACGGAGATATTGATGGTCAAGAGCCCTCAGCTGTAATGTATTCTCCTGAATTCTCCATCATCTTCCTCTTTACTCTCCCAAGATAATAGACAGTGTCTGCTTTCCAGATAAACAACACATTTGGGCAGCTGAACCACAGCAAGAAGGGAGGTTTCTGTTCAGGGTTGTACCACTGTGTTAGGAAACTGTGTAGCTTGCATGCAGTAATAAACCCCAACATCCTCAGCCTCCACCCAGCTGATTTTCAGTGTGAAATCACTACCTGACCCACTGCCACTAAACCTGTCTGGGACCCCAGAAAGATGATTGGAAACCCTATAAATCAGGAGCTGTGGAGACTGCCCTGGCTTCTGCAGGTACCAATGCAAATAGGTATATCCATTACTATGCAGGAGGCTCTGACTAGACCTGCAAGAGATGGAGGCCGGCTCTCCAGGGTTGACGGGCAGGGAGGGTGGAGTCTGGGTCATCACAATATCTCCACTGGATCCTGAAATAGTGAGAGAAGTGCAAAGTTATGTACAAATATTGGGAACCATTGAAATGATATTCTTTCTGTTATCTACTTTATGCTAAGTGATTTTTTTGTGTGACTTTGGTTCATACCCCTAAACATCCAGGCATAAAAAGAACCAACATTCACAAGGCACAAAAGAGACTCAAGAAGTCGCCTACACTATTATCCTCTTCCTGTGTGACACTCTTCATGAGAGCACAAGTCCTTTGTCCTTCTAGGATATGAAGTTTAGAACTATAAGAGTGAGGAATCTTCTCTTTCTGACTCTTGCAGTTCTAAACTTTATACACCTTTTCTTGCAGGTCAAGATGTGCATGTGGACAGGCAGTGGGACCCCCAGAGCTCACCCTCACACTCCATTCTCCTCCCTTATCTCCCTTCTGTCCTTACCAGGAACCCAAAGCATTAGCAGCCCCAGGAGCTGAGCAGGGACCCTTATTGTGAGAAGGTGAGCTGAGGAGTTCTGATCAGTCAAGGCAAGGTTACAGCTGAGCTTTTATCTCAGACTCACAATGGAAGGTCCTCCCTAGGGGACAGTATGCAAATCCCCTGGTGGGTGCAGTGGGGTGGAAAGAGCCAAGGAGAGTATGGGGACATCTAGTGTGAGCACAGTGACATAATGTGTCCTCTGTGTTTAGAGGGAACCTAATAAAGTTTGTGCTGCCTGAGTGGAAAAAGGGACATATTTAATCATGTTCTTCTATTTCCTCTAAGAGATTTCTACATTGTTTTCACTTTCCCAGACACATTTTACACTTGTCTTTAATAGGCTGAGTTTCCATAAATATTTGGTTATTCTTATTTAATTTTATTATATATATACACACACATACATATATATACACATATGTATATATGTATAAATATATATATTTTTGATATATATAAATATATATAAATATATATATTATTTTGTGTATAAATATATATATATATATTTTGAGACAGAGTTTCACTTACTCTGTCACCCAGACTGGAGTACAGTGTCAGGATCTCGGCTCACTGCAACCTCCGCCTCCAAGGTTAAAGCGATTTTCCTGCCTCAGCCTCCCGAGCTAGCTGGGATTACTGGCGTGCACCACCATGCCTGGTTAATTTTTGTATTTTTAGTAGAGATGGGGTTTCATATGTTGGCCAGGCCGGTCTCGAACTCTTGACTTCAAGTGATCCTCCTGCCTCCACCTCCCAAAGTGCTGGGATTACAGGCATGTGCCACCACACCTGGCCAGTTATTCTTATTTATTATTTTCATATTTATTTTAGCATCTAGGTTTTTAAATTAGTTTCATTTTAGTTGACAAAATCCCCAGAGTAAAGGGCACAAATATTAAGAGTGTAACTGAATGAAGTTTGTGTATATTAACTGTCAAGGTGGAACTATGGAATATAGATTTTTGTTTTTCTTTTTTTTTTTGAGATGGAGTCTTGCTCTGTTGCCCAGGCTGGAGTACAGTGGCCCGTGATCCTGGCTCACTGCAAGCTCTGCCTCCCGGGTTCAGGCCATTCTCCTGCCTCAGCCTCCCAAGGAGCTGGGGACCACAGGCGCCCGCCACCATGCCCGGCTAATCTTTTGCATTTTTAGTAGAGACAGTAGAGACCAATATCATATTCCCTCAGTAATGCTCTGAGCTCTACTCCCTACTAGCATGTTCTTGTGAACTCAGGAACTGCTCTCCTAGACCCCGGCTTTCTGGAGAGCAGGTGAGGGGGAGGCACCAGGGAAAGGCCAGGTCATTGAGCTGTTGGGTGTATGTTCCTGCTGTGCACCATCAATGCCACTTTCCTCTTTTACGCTTAAGCAATGAATGGGGACATCATCCTGACCCAGATTCCAGCTTCTCTGTTGGGATTGGTAGGAGGGAGAGTCTTCATCTCCTGGCAAGCCACTGCTTACGTATATGGAAAAGTATTTTAGATTCTAATAAAATTGGACAAAGATTTGAAATCCGATTTTTTACATATCTAACTTGGCCCTGATTGTCTCAGCCTGGTTCAGCAACAGAAGGAGTGGAATAAATTGCATCAGCATCAGTAGACTGGAGCCTGAGGACTCCAGGGAACATTCGCACGCAAGACTAGGGGAGGCCAAGTCACAGCAGTCTAGCCTGTGCACCGTCCTCCTGTGGCCTTTCATGAGCCTGATTTTTTAGAGAAACTTGCTTACATCCAGCTTGCCAGGATCAAATTCTAGAGAGACGCAGATTTAAATGTAAGTTCGCATCTTTTTTTTTTCCTGCGTGGATGTGCTGGAATGATGGAGGAAGGAGTTATGGAGCCAGGAATATGACGGTATCTTGAAGATTAAAATCAAGAAATCCGATGTTCTCCCCTGGAGCCTCCGGAAGAAATACAGCCCTAGTGACTCCTTAATTTTAGCTCAGTAAGACTTCTCAATCCAGAATTGTAGATAATAAATTTGATAGGATTTATTGTAGATAATAAATCATACTGAATGCGGTATAATTGTGGTAATTAGTTGCCCTAGCAATAGGAAACTGTTACAGGCATAAGGCATGTCTTTTATCTTTCTAAAAGTGTGATTGTCCTTCTTCTTCTAAACATTTCCATTGTGTTATCATTTGGTGTCAATTTTGATCAGAGGCAGAGAACATTTTACTGCGAGGACAGCTAGCACCAGAATTCTTAGGTGGAAAATCTCTTGTGAGAATCCCTTTATTAGGTCTCATATGATCTGCATGTCTGAGATCCTAGGGGTCAGCTCTCACAGCACAATGTGGGGGAGCATGTGTGGTTGTTTGTTTCTTATTATATTAGTAGGACTCGTTAGATTTTCAGGACAGGATCTGAGAGGAAAGGAACTAAAAACAAAGACCATATGGTCATCTCAACTGATGCAGAAAAGGCGTTCAATAAAATTCATCATCCCTTGATTTTAAAAGCCCTGAACAAACTAGACATTGAAGGAAGATACCTCACAATTATAAGACCTATATATGACAAACCCACAGCCAACATCATACTGAATGGTGAAAAGCTGGAAGAACTTCCTCTAAGAACCAGAACAAGACAAGGATGCTTATTACTCTCACCACTCCTATTCAACATAGGGCTAGAAGTCCTAGCCAGAGGAGGAGAGGAAGTCAGTCTATCTCTCTTTGCATCTGATATAATTTATACCTAGAAAACCCTGTCTTCACTGCCCAAATGTTCCTGGATCTAATAAACCACTTCAGCAAAGTTTCAAGATACAAAATCAATGTAAAAAACCAGTAGCATTTCTATATACCAACAATGTCTATGCTGAGAGCCAAATCAAGAATGCAATCCCATTCACAATAGCCACAGAAAATAAAGTACTTAGGAATACAGTTAACCAGGGTGCTGAAAGATATCTACAACTAGAATTATAATAAACTGCTGAAAGAAATCAGAGATGACAAAAACAAATGGAAAAATATTTCATGCTCATGGATGGAAAGAATCAATATTCTTAAAATGATCACATAGCCCAAAGCAATTTACAGATTCAATGCTATTTATATCAAACTATCAACAAAATTTTTCACAGAAGTAGAAAAACTATTCTAAAATTCATATGGAACCACAAAAGAGCCCGAATAGACAAAGCCGTCCTAAGCAAATATGAACAAAACCAGAGGCATTGCACTACCCGACTTCAAACTATATACTACAAGGCTACGGTAACCAAAATTGCATGGTTCTGGTACAAAAATAGGCACATAAATCAATGTAACAGGTTAGAGAACCCAGACTTAAAGCTGTACATTATAACCATCTGATCTTGACAATGTTGACAAAAGGTAGCAATAGAGAAAAGGCTCCCTATTTGATAAATGGTGCTAGCATAACTGGCCAGCCATATATAGAAGATTGAAACTGGACCCCTTCCTTTCACCATATACAAAAATCTACTCAACATGGATTAAAGACTTAAATGTAAAACCTAAAACTTCAAAAACTCTAGAAGAAAATCTAAGAAATACCATTCTAGACAAAGGCCGTAGTAAAAATTTCATGACAAAAACTCCAAAAGCAACTGCAACAAAAACAAAAATTGATAAATGGGACCTAATTAAAGTAAAGAGCTTCTGCACAAGTTAAAGAAACTATAAACAGCGTCAACAGACAGCCTACAGATTGAGGGAAAATATTTGTAAACTATGCATCCGACAAAGACCCAATAACCAGAATCTGTAATGAACGTAAATTAACAAGCAACAAACAAAAACAACCCCATTAAAAAGTGGCCAAATGACATGAACAGACTCTTCTTAAAACAAAACATGCACATAGTCAACAAGCATATGAAAAATTCTCAACACCACTAATCATTAGAAAAACGCAAATTAAAACCACAATTAAGTATCATCTCACACCAGTCAGAATGGCTATTATTAAAAACTCAAAAAATAACAAATGTTGATGAGGTTGCAGAGAAAAGAGAATGCTTATACACTGCTGGCGGGAGTGTAAATTAGTTCAGCCACGGTGCAAAGCAGTTTGGAGATTCCTCAAAGAACTTTAAACAGAACTACCTTTTGATTCAGCAATCCTATTACAGAGCGTATACCCAAAGGAATATAAATTGTTCTACCATAAAGACACATGCACACATATGTTCACTGCAGCAAAGACATGGAATTAACTAAATGCCCATCAGTGGTAGACAGAATAAAGAAAATGTGGTACATATACATCACAGAATACCACCCACAACTGCAACAAATACAAGACAAAGTTCAGATTATGGACCGTAGTTGGCCTCTACTATATTCTCTTCTTTGTTCTCATTCCTGGAGTCTGCCCACAGTTTTAAAATTCTCACCCTTTGGTAAAGAAAAAAAAAACCTCACATTATTCTGTGTTATTCTAGTGGCATATAACATAAATTCTATAATCTGCTTGTTCCAGTTTAAGTTTTTGTTTTTAAAATCCAACTTTTGGAATTTCAAATATTATCCTTTTTTATTAGCAAGAAGTAATTGAAATGAATGAAAGAGTTTTAACATCAGGATCTTCTGTCTTCCATGACGTCACAAAAGTCTATTTGGAGGTGCAAATTCAAGCTTTTTCATGATTGTCCTCAGCCAGCTCTCCCTGAGGACAGCTTGTGTAGAATGCTCTTTTCACTATTTGTTATGTGGTGCAATGGGAAGAGAACTAGTAAAAAGGAGAAGAAGGAAATTGGAAAAGTTGAAAAATACCAGTTTCTAAATACTACCAAATACTACCCTCTTAAAAATATACACAAAAGACCTAAACTTCAAGAGATATTCAACACGTGTTGACACGAATCTGTGTTACTTGTCTGGCTATTAAGCTATTTGAAGTCTCATTGTCGAATGTAGGCAAGGCAGGGAAGATTAGTGTGAGATTTCCCTCCGCTCTCCCTCAGTCCTGTCTGCTTACTCTGAAGGCACTTGAATTATCTCTGTTTTCCTTTGGCTTATGCCATGCCAAGGCTGTGGGAGCTGACAGGACCATGAATGGGTTTTACCTGATGTACTGCTGAGTCCCCCATGGGACAGGTCATTCAGCTGCAACCTTTTACCCTGAGCTCACCAACATCTTCATTTTTTTTTTTTTTTTTTTTTTTTTTGAGATGGAGTCTCCTTCTGTCATCCAGGCTGGAGTGCAGTGGTGTGATCTTGGCTCACTGCAGGCTCCATCTCCCGGGTTCAAGCTATTCTCCTGCCTCAGCCTCCTGAGTAACTAGGATTACAGGCGTGCACCACCACATCCAGCTAATTTTTGTATTTTTAGTAGAGATGGGGTTTCACCATGTTGGTCGGGCTGGTCTCAAACTTTTGACCTCATGATCTGCCCGCCTCGGCCCAACATCTTCATCTTATACAGCAGAGATTCTGTTGTGCCACTCCCCAGATAAACAACATATTTGAGCAGCTGGGCCACTCCAAGCAGGGAGGTTTGTATTCAGGGTTGTACCACTGTGGGAGGCACTTGTGTACCTTGCAGGCAGTAATAAACCCCAACGTCCTCAGCCTCTACCCTGCTGATTTTCAATATGAAATCTGTCCCTGAACCACTGCTGCTGAACCTGCCCGAGACCCCAGACTTCCTGTTAGAAACTTCATAAATCAGGCACCTTAGAGGTTGGTCTGGCTTCTGCAGAAACCAATTCAAGTAAGTGTTTCCATTTCTATGAAAGGGGCTCTGACCAGACCTGCAGGAAATGGAGGATGGCTCTCCAAGGAAGAGTGGAGTCTGAAGTCTCAGGATGTGAACTTGGAGGGATTTTTTTTCCCACAAGAATCCAGCAAATGAGAGGATAACCTTACAGCATCCATAAGGTAGAAGCCTATCAAACGTAAGGACAACCTGAGACTAAGGGTAGCCAGGGAGAGAAGATCTGAGCTGGAAAGGGTGAAACAAATGGACCAAAAGAAGCTGACCGCAAGACAGAAAGTTCAGAATCAGGGAAGCTGAATATGAATCTGACTAGAAGATGCTCTTGAGAGATTTAAACTTTTCCCATGTTTTATGTTTCCCATATTGCAAATAGTTTCCATTGTTAAGAGAGTATGTTTGTACAGAAATTCAGCTTATGACGAACTTTGAAATTCCACCAAAGAGATCGAGGGAACGATGGGTTGTTGCTTTTCAGGACTACAAATCAGCCTGTCTTTGAGATCTCACACTGTCTATTTTGCAGTGGAATCTGCGATGAGGCTGTGAATTGGGCAGTGAAGTCAGGGCAGGGCTGACTGTGCTCTGGGTGCCACGGATAACAGGGACATTCCTTCAGGGCTGGTGATGCTGGGAGGCTGAGGGGAGAGACTCAGTATGAAGCCATCTGTGAGCCTCCTTGGCAATGCTATCTGGACCCTGGTCATCTAATGAGCCACTCCAAGCAGGGAGTTTTGCCTTCAAAGTTGTATACATGGATGCCCGTGGATGGCCAAACATAGGCTCAGGTTGAGCAGGGACCAAGATTTAGGAAGGAGCAATATGAGGCTGACCTGATGCTCTGAGGTTTCAGCACAATCTTAAGGGATCATACAGGGAGAGAAAGGGGTCACAAGGTGTAATTTTTTCATTTGATGCTGAATATACCTCTTCAGACCATTTTTCTACCCTGTATGTAACTACTGGTATACATTTAACCAAAGCCACTGCTACTAATGATCATTTCAGTCATTGATAGTGAGAGGTGAGGCCAGCTAGACTTCCTGGGTGGAGTGGGGACTTCTTACAAGAGGATTGTAAAATGCACCAATCAGCACTCTGTAAAACGCACCAGTCAGTGCTCTGTAAAATGCACCAATCAGCAGGATTCTAAAAGTAGCCAATCGTGGGGAGGATTGAAAAAAGGGCACTCTGATAGGACAGAAGCGGAACATGGGTGGGGACAATAAGGGAATAAAAGCTGGCCACCCCAGCCAGCAGTGGCAACCCGCAAGGGTCCCTTTCCATGCTATGGAAGTTTTGTCCTTTAGCTCTTCACAGTAATCCTTGCTGCCGCTCCGTGCCATCTTTAAGAGCTGTAACACTCTCCACAAAGGTCCGTGGCTTCATTCTTGAAGTCAGCCAGACTCACCAGCAGGAACCAACTCCGGACACAATAGCCTGTGTGCACAGATCCCGAGAAGCTGGAAATCTGGACCACCATTCAATGTATGAGGAGACATACACATAAAGTTCACGTTTTCGCCATCCACAGGAGGTGACTGTGGATGTGAGTTTGAGTCTGACTACAAGACGGTCTTGTGAGATTTAAACTACAATTTTTCCTATTGAAAAGAAGAAACACCTTTTTTTACCCTTTTTGCAACAAATATGTATTGAGCCCCAACAGTCATGCATTGTGCTAAATGAAAAATTTAAAGATGGCACAAAAGAACAAAAAAGGAAGAGAAAGAGAGGGGGGGCTTCAAAATCTTGTATAATTCGTTGCAAATACTATGAACACTTCCAGGTATGTTTATTCATAAGGACAGTGGATGCAACTGGCAGAGGCTGCAGTTTTGCAGTGGAGGGAAACTCTGTATACAGAGGCAAACTTCTTCTGCCATGGCCACAGCAATCCCTTGTTCTAAGCTTAGGAAGAAAAATCTAAAAAAATGAAAGTCACAGAAATAGCAAGTAGAATGCTGGTTACCAGAGACTGCATTGTTAAAGGGTACAAAATATCAGTCTGATAGGGGGACTAAGTTTTGGTGATCTGTTGCATAGCATGGCGACATTATTATATAGATGTATTTCTGGCAGGCTTGATTGCCTATTACATGGTAAGTCAACATACACTAAGACACTGGGGGCTGCTGCAGAGAAAGAGATTTAATCCCAAGGCAATTAAATGAGAAGACAGGAGGAAGCCTCATATCTACCTCCCCAAGCACTTTGGGGTTAAAGACTTTAAGTGGTTTTGGATGGAGAGGCAGATTGGTTGAAGAGTGAAGGATGAAGTCATGGGACTGGGAGGTGAAGAAACTGCTTTCTTATGTTGACTCGGTTCTTTGGGAGGGGGGTGGTCTTTAGACAAGTTGGTGTCAGCTATTCTACTGGAATTCAGGATCTGGTAAATATCTCAAAGATTAGGTTTTATGCTCATAATGGTGAAGGTGTTATATTTGGGAACAATGGGGACGTTAATGGTCTGTATTTATTGCAACTTGACTTTTATTAGTGAGAAGCTAAGGGAAGTGGCTCAGAATGTTGTCTGATTAATGCTTAACTATATTTCAGTCTGGAACCTGGAATACTGTTCTTGTTAACCTTATGACAGTGGTTTTGTAGTTAATAATACTATATTCTGTATTTCAAAATAACAAAGTATATTCAATGTTCTCAGTACAAAAAATGATAAATATTGGAGGTGAGGACTATGTTAATTAACCTGATTTGATTATTCGACAATGTATACATGTATGCATCTCATTGTACCCCATATGTATATACATTACTATTTGTCAATTAAAATCAAAATAAAACTTTTAAAAATTCATGTAGCCATTGCCTGGAATAAATAAAGAAAAATATGTGTGCACATGCTTAACTATACCCCTGTAAAAATTGAAGCTACTAAGTCCAGTAAAATACTGAATCACACATATTTCTGTCTTTAGCTTTAGTGGAAATAGTCAAAATACTGGGTCCCAACAATACTTATATTAGTCTTTTCTTCCCATATCCACCACCTTGTTATTTTTTAATTCATTTGTAATACATTTAGTTTCATTTACTCTTGTTTGTAACCCATTTGGATCCTCTCATCTTTCTTGATTTCAATTATTTTCAAATATTTGTAGTATAAATAGAGTCTCCAAAGACATAAATTCACAAAAACAAAAAGGTAAGCTCAGAGACGTGTCGCCTTCCACCCCTTCTGTACCACTCTCATCTCATCCCTTCACCCCGTTACCAGCCCCTTCCTCTTATCACTCCCTGCCAGCCTCACTCTGTCTATCCTCTCAAATTTGTTGTTTTCGTTTACGGTTCTGTTTGTTTTTAAATCTCCTCTGCTTTCTTACTTGGAAGGTAACACGGTATAGATATTTGTTTGCACTTTGCTTTTTTTCATTCAACTGTATATCTGAGAAATAACTTCCTGTCAATTCATAGATAACTTCTTCCTTTTGACAGTTGATACATACTCCATTGCATGAATGTTCCATAGCTATTTCAACAAAATATTTATTTATGAATATTCTGGGTGGTGTCAACATTTTACAAATCATTACAATTAATGTTCCAATGAATAACCTTGTGTATATGTAATTTTGTAGTGTTGAAGATGTATCTTCAGAGATTCCTAGGAATGGGATTATGGGTCAAAGTTACACATTAAGATAGTTTTGTAGATGTTGTCATATTCTCCTTCTTAAAAAGGTAGTATTAGTTTCCATCCTCACAGCTGTTAATGAGAAATCCTGTTTCCCTATAACCTTGCCTAAAAATACGGTTAATATTTTTTGGATTTTCTTAAACCAGATAATACTACCTCAAAGTAGTTTCAATTTGCATTTCCCTCATTACTGAGATTACACACTTTACTTGTGTTTAAATGCTATATGTATATATCTTTTATAATGCATTGTCTGTTCTCTTTTCTTCTTTTTTCTATTGGATTTTTGACCCATTATCTTAACTTTTAATAGAGTTGTTTCATATTAGAACAGTAACAGTTTATTTGTTTAATATATTAAGAATAGTTTCTCCTTGTTTTTAGTTGTCTTTTGATTTTATTTTTGTGTATGCAATTTCATTTATTTATTTACAATCTTTTATCTAAAAATTCAATCATATTTGGCACAACATATTTTGTTTACAGTGTTGATTTATTTTATCCTAATTTGTTTTTTAGTTCTGTATTATTTTATTATAATTGAGTACCCCAGAGAACTACAACCTGCATCCTTGGCTTATTGTGTTTTACATAATTTAGCATTTGACGAGCTTCCAGACCTGGATCTTAAGCCTCATGATCCCCCCCGCCTCGGCTTCCCAAAGTGCTGGGATTACAGGCGTGAGCCACCGCGCCCGGCCGAAGGGACATATTTTTTAATATCCTTCTGTTTTCTCTAAGAGGTTTCTAATTATTTTTCCCTTTCCCAGGCATATTTTACATTGGTCTTTAATAGGCTGAGTTTTCATAAATATTTTCTATTCTATATGGTATTTTTACGTATTATTTTAAGTGATAAAACACCCAGAGGGCACAAAGGGCACACATCTTCAAATTGTAACTGAATAGTTTTTGTGTATTCATTGGCCAGATGGAACTACAGAATATTTACCTTCTGCTGATGCTTCCTCCATGCACCTTCCTCTTCAGTAACTGCTTCCCCATCTCAACCAAGGTAATTGTCATTCTGACATCGAACACAGTAATTTGGGTTTTTATGTCTTTAATGTCATATAAATTGAATTGTGTGCTTTTTTCTAGCTTTATTCTTATTGTTTACTACTTTTGAGTCCTTCATTATAGGCTGTGGGCTCAAAATCCTGCCTGCTGTAATCTTCTGTGATTCTGAAAGATTTCATCTTGAATTTCTTATAAGGCAGAGCTGCTATTAATGAATTTATTCTGTTTATCAAGGAATATTTTTAGTTCTGAAGAATATTTTCACCAGAAACAAAATTGCTGGTTGTCCTCTTTCATTTCCTTTTAGTATTTAAAGATCTCATTCCAATCTCTTCCAGCCTCCCTCGGTCCTAATGAAAACTTAGCCAATGGCATTATTATTGTGTCTCCATATGTAGAGTCAGCTTTTAGTCCTGACACATTCACGAATTTCTCTTTGTCTTTCAACATTTTAAAGTATAATGTATTTTGTTATTAATCTTGTATTATATCCTGAAAGCGTTTCATTGAGTTTCTTTCATCTATAGATTAAATTACCTTTGTGGTTCATTATTTTTGAAAAGCTGTTGTCATTACTTTTCCAAGTATTTTTTGATCACTTTCTCTCTCTCTCTGCTTTTTTTGTGACTCGTTTTACACACTTGTTGGTATCTTTCAACCTGAGCTGTAATTCTGTCAAGTCTTGCGCATTTTTTCTTAAACTCCTTTCTTTATTTAGATTCAATAATTTCTGTACATCTATTTTTAAGTTCACTGAATCTTTTGCCATCTTAAACTGATGTTGGACTTATGTAATATATTTTTCAGTTGAGTTATTGTACTTTTTGTTTCTAGAATTCTCACTTGATTCTTTTCCATAGTTTCTATTTTTTAAGAGTTTCCATTTGCTGAGTCATTGTCTTTATATTTTCCTCTTTATATCTTTAAAACTATATGATCGTAGTTTTAAGAATAATTATTTAAACATCTATATAATAATTGCTTTGTAGTCTTTGCTAAAGCTGATATTCAGGACAAGTCAGAATCAGCTTTCATTGACTGTGCTTTCTTGCTGCAGTTGTTTTGTTTTGTTCCCTCAATATTGATCATACTTTTCTGTTTCTTTGCAGGATTTTTTAATGGAAAACTGTATATTTTAGATAATATATTCCTGTACCTCTATCAGGAATATATTCTATTTTTCTTAAAATTTGTGAGTTTCTTTATAGTTACTTCCCTGAACTTACAGTAAGTCCCTAATTCATGGTGGTTGCACTTAAGATGTTTTGACTTTACAATAGTGTGAAAATTATTTGTATTCAGTAGAAACAGTGCTTCCAGTACTGGTACAACTACTCTGTTTTTCACTTTCATATAATATTCAATAAACCACATTACAATAAGTTATAATAAATTATTGGTGGTGATAAATGAAAGTGACCAGTGAAATTCCTTTTGGAAGGAAGCCTTTGACAAAGCTAAGACAGCTGTTCCTATCACTCTTCCTACTTGGTCATTCACTAACTTTCTTAGTTTTGTTATTTATTAAAACAGAGTACCTCTCTGCAAATGAACAGCTGTTACTGAGTCAATTAGTTGGATAAATATAATTTTCTACCTTTTAAAATATTTGTAGAAGTCAAATGGATAGCTGCACCATGCACTGAGCTGCGTTTACTGGGGAGACTGAGAATTATTGATGTCATGTTAAGAATCACACTGTGAGAAACTAATTCTGGAAATCTGAGATTCTGGTGGCACAGTTGAAGAGGGTTTGGCTACATCTGCGTAGTGATTATTTCCAAAAATAAGCACGTTTGCAAATTTTTAAACTTCTGATCTCACCATCACCATACTGCCACCCACACTATATTCCAGGTATTCAGGCACTGGAAGTTCTCATTTTGGTGTTTCTTCAGGTTCACTGTGGCTATTCTACATCCTTGACATTCCCATATAATATTTAGATTAGCTTCTTAATTTAAATTGGAGTATACTTTAGGATTTTGATTTTTCTTATATGTAATCAATATTTTAATCTTTGAAGAATTGACATTTTTATAGTACTGAGACATTCAGTCTTTGAACTGAATTTCTATTTACTTAGGTTTTCTTTTATTTTTCAAAATAATATTCTGGAGACGTCAGTGTATTTAGTCTATTTTTTTTAAATAATTGATACTTTGATGTTTTTGTAAATGGTGTGTTTGTTTTATAATGTTAATTTTTAGCATTTTTTATTATGCAGAAATGAAATTGATTTTTGAATCTATGAATTAATAAATTGATCTTGAATCTAATGATTTTCTATTTCTCATGTCAATTTTAGTAGTTTCTCTGTAGACAAATTTGAATTTTATCTGCACACAATCCTTCATCAGTGAATTATGACAGCTTTAATTCTTCTTTTCCAATTTTGATTATTTGTTGCTATTGTTGTTGCCTTATGGCTCTGGTTGGGACCTTTACTGACATCCACTGATGTAAATCTGATCCAGTGGCCATTACTGTGAAACTGTGCTTAAACCTGGCTGTCCATCTTGGTCTGAGGAAAAATGCAGGAATCAGAGTCAAAAATATATCAAGGGATTACTTTTTTAAGATCCCCAAAATGCCCAAGCAGAGAAGAGATGCTAAAATTGAGTTGTCATTGCAGCAGCTATCTGTAAAGGAAGCAGCTGGTATAATCTAGTAAACAATGAAGGTCTTGCAGAGGTTTTTGTTTCAAGCTGAATCACTGTGGGAGGTGAGCTACCATACTGCTGACAGTAATACACTGCAAAATCTTCAGGCTCCAGTCTGCTGATGGTGAGAGTGAAGTCTGTCCCAGACCCACTGCCACTGAACCTGTCTGGGATGCCAGTGGCCCTGCTGGATGCACCATAGATGAGGAGCCTGGGAGCCTGGCCAGGTTTCTGCTGGTACCAGGCTAAGTAGCTGCTGCTAACACTCTGACTGGCCCTGCAGGAGAGGGTGGCTCTTTCCCCTGGAGACAAAGACAGGGTGCCTGGAGACTGCGTCAACACAATTTCTCCGGTGGTATCTGAGATTGGAAATAAAACAGAAAAGTCACCCATGTAATCTAAATCAAACCCATTGTCTTCCCAGAAGAGCCAGAATTATTGCTTTATATTGAGCTTTAATTATTGTATTGACTGAGCAGAGTTGCCAGGTAACAGGACTTGAGAGGGTTTTCACTGACATGCAAAACCATCCCATGTTCCCCTCACCTGGGAGCCAGAGTAGCAGGAGGAAGAGAAGCTGCGCTGGGGTTTCCATGGTTCCCTCTGGGTCCTAACTGAGCAGCTCTTCTCCAGAGCTCTGACCCAGGCATTGATATGGGCTCTGGACTGCAGGGCGGCTGGGAGGGACATGCAAAGCAGCTGGGGCGGGTGCTGGGCTTGCAGCTGCAGAGACAATCTGCCTCCCCTTTCTGCTCTCAGCAGCCCATGCCCAGGTGATCAGGCCAGAAAAGGCCGTTGGCTCAGTCTGAGGGTAGAACTTCTCCCCTGCGGCCACAGAATTTAACCCCTGTGTCCTCTTGTCTCACCATCACCTAGATTGAGCCACAGAATGTTTGGTACAAGTCTGTTAGAAACAAAATAGAAGGCTGTGGTTTCATTTTTCTCTTTCTGCTCCAACTTGTGCCCAGTCAGCTCCCTAAATGCATGATGGATCAGGTTGAAAGGAAGAGTCTATTACAACTTTATCTTCCGGATATACTTGTATTTACTTGTTAGTGATCTTTCCTGAGGGTCCAGAAGCTGTCTCATTCTTTGCAGAAATTAAAAGAGTAACATTCAATTAACCTCAGCACTGTGGGTGTGAGGACTTTCACAACTGCACAGATAAGTGAGACCTGGGCTCCAAATCCTCAGGGTAGTGATACCATTTCCCTAAAGACAGAAGATGGTTTTGTCCATGCAGGCAAAGAACTATTTCTTGGGTGATCCTCTAAACTATCCAGTCTTTTTATTCTGTATAGCTGGTATAGTTTACCCTTAGTAGGATGAAACAACCACTTCAGTCTGTGACAGGGTGAGGTCTGGGATGCAGATACAGTGTTTTGTCAAATTATCTGTGTTGGCTTGGAAGAGCCTTACAAAGACATGAAGCTTCTGGGTCTCTGCTGCCTGATCCTTGAAGAAAAAGCAGATTGACAGATCAGTGCCCCACCTCCCATCCACCCCAGGATCTCAGGCATCCCCTACTCATCCACAGGTGTTGGGCTGAGTTAGTGGAGGGACTCAGTCTGTCTCTCCCTGTTCTGAGACTACTACCTCTTTGGGCACCCATTGCCATTGTTGCTTGATCCAGTCCTTTCACCCTCGGTTGTCCAGTTCTAGAAGGCAGGTCAAGTACTGTAGAAAATTGACATGTCTGATAACGTCATCCACCCTAATGGAGGAATCAGATGACCCTCCTACCAGCAGAAGGAAATTAACACCCTGATATTTCTTGATCCTGTGGAACCCATAGAAGGCACCCAGGGGAATCATTCCATCCAATTAGAGTTAGGAGGCCTGTCTGGGTTATCATGGTGGCCTAAACTGCAACACCCCCAAGAACATCACTATAAAAGGAAAAAAATGATTGGAAACACTGAGTTTGGGATTTCACAGTGGCAGCTCTATCAGGAAACTGGCCTTGCCCAACTTCTTCCTCACTCAACTCAGTGTTTTTCAACCTGCACCTCCGTGCCGTCTTTCCCTTGCTCTGCAGTGCAGTGTTTAATGTCCAATTGCTGTAGTCAGATGGGGTACCACTCTACTAGCAGGTTGCCCTGATGTACACTCTTCAGTTGCCGTGTGAGTCAGCTGTTCTAGCATTAAATAGATCCATTGGCCTTTGGATAACAAGGTGTATGGAAAATCCATCATGTCCCATGAGAGTGTGTCCATTGACGTCATTTGGGCAGTAAAGAACTTTCCTTGGTCAAAGCAAAGTCTCAGTGGGCATCCAAAAACATGGCATAAGTTCATCTCAAGGGTGGTCATGGTAGACCCAGCATCCAGCTGAGTGACATATTTGTCTCTTATAGGTGGCAAGCTGTTGCCATAGTCCTTTTCTCCACAGAGGGGATGCTTTAATAGTCCAGTCACTCGGTTGCTATTTTCCTGATCAGATAGCTAGACTGTTGGCAGTGGCCCATGAGTTGGTAAAAATATAGCAAGAGGTGGCAGAAAGGCCTGCATGACCATTACCACTGCATGTAGTTTGGACCATTGGGTGGAATGACCATTATCAGTCTCAGGAAAGAAAATAGTCATCCACTGGCTAGATGGTAGCCACCCCCAGTCTACATGTTTTGCAGAGCCCTAAGTGAACCATGCCATACCGATGTCGGCATGTCTCTGAATCTTGGACTTCGGGTAGCCAAAAGCAGAGCCAAACCATCCCCCATGGGTCATTTAGTCCCTTCTAGCAAGCTCGCCATTTGTTTATGGAGCCTTTGGATCCCACGGGTTGCTGGCTGGGCCTGATTCTGAATACACCATTTCCATTTGATAATGCAGCTCTATTGAGCCTGTCCAGTTTCACTGGTTGGATTTTAGGCACCCAAGTGAAAAGGAGCAGTTCACCCAGCAGCGCCACACTTGGTGCTCAGCCCCAAGATGTCCAGTCCCTGTCAGTTTCCCATAGCAAGCAAGGAGTTGCTATGCCAAAGAGGGACATCTGGTGGCTGCTTCAGCTGGTTTGTGTTCAGTATCTGAGAGGCTGGCTCACTCAGTGACAATTTTCTGTTGCCACATACTACAGTCAGCATACATAGAGACTGTGGACACCTGAACTTCCATCAGGCTAACAGGCTCTAAAGGTCTAAAAGAAGTGTTTGGACCATGTCCTGTTGAACTTCTTCCAAGGCTGCTGTTGCAAAGGGCTCTGTTCAAGGTTGGTGGTTTTGTTTGTGATTTTGATTTTGACTAAGGGGACTGAAAGCCCACCCCAGAGAGGTTTATGCTGTTACCAATACTCAAAGAAGCCTACCAGCTGTTGTCCTTTATTAATGGTTGCTGCTAGTACCAACAATGTTTAACTATATCTGCTATCCTTCCTTGGTTTCCTGTCCAAGTGGCCTTAGCATTCAACGTGAAATAGTCCATCGTTAGTCTCTGTTCCCCTAAAGTCTTTTTGCCCCGCCAAACTGAGTTGCTCCATGGTGACAGGGGACTATGTAACATTTTAATCTATTTGTAGCAAGTCTTGAAAAAAACAGGTAATGTCTTATTCTTCACTTAGTACACAGTACTGTTTTTGTCAAATAACCCACGGAGTCATGCGTAGCTTAGGTCGTAGGCTTCAGTGGATATTCCCTTTTGTTAAGGCTTGAATTCTTAGCTGCGAGGGAATATACCTTTTATGCAGCAGTGATGTTCTGTGGTGCAAATATCAATGCCTGTACTGCACTCTGAGGTGGGAACTACAGTCACCAGCCCCAACATGGCCCACAGGGCACCATCCACAAGCAGAGAAGCACCATGGCCACTGCATTTGTCCCTGAACCTCTCAATGTCATTGGTTAAATTTTCCCCAATGGAGACCTATGGGCTCTGGCACCCAAAAACCCAGAAAAGTATTTCCTTATTTTCTCCTTTTATTTTTACATGGTCTAGGGCCACTGGTTTCTGGTGAGCACCCAAAGGCATTGGCTGTATCCCTAACAGTGACATTTAGATCAAGAAATTTGGAACTGCAAATATTGCTTTATCAAACAAATATACCAAACAGTCTGCATAAGACTTCCCTGAACTTTTTCTGTATCTCTTATTTAGAGAGTGAGTCTCCCTTTGTGTGAAAGCCCAAATAGCATATGTTGGTTCCCTCTCAGGGATCTTAGGGTCCATTTGAGTACCCGTTTCCCTAGCTCTCTGGCTCCAGGAATGAGCAATTATGCAAGTGTCTATGAACCAGAGGATTTTGTGCCTCATTCTCATTTCTACACTCCTTTCTCTCTGCCTTAATTCAGGCAGCCAGCTCATCTAAACTCATGCAGAGAGTGATCTATAACCCACTGATCCTCCCTCATTCCCCATAAAGCACCCAGATGCATGTCCAGGCCTTGCACCTTCCAGTCTAATGGTCCTCCCCTGGCCAAGTAATGGGAGGTATCATTCTTCCCACTTCACCAATAAGCCATGGTTCTGTCATACTAGAATCTTCTCAATGGGGCAATTTTGTTAAGCAGGTTAACTGTGCAGTGATTACCAACTTATTTGAGTCCAGGGAGATTAAACACCCTTACACAACTAGTTATGTGAAGCAATTTACAATTTACAGACAGGCAGCAAGGGATAGCAAAATCCAAGAATTTATTGTAGGTCTGTTCCCCCAAGGCTCAGGAAAGCTGCCTGGGGCTGATGGGGTCTAGACTGCTTCATATATACTGCAGCTGAGGCACTCTGGATTGGACCCACCCTGGGTTTTATATCTTGGAGTCACATATCATGCTGAGCTAAAGTGTTGAAGGAAATCTTGTTTCAAGAGGGTATGGCAGGACAATACTCCCTGTCAATTGGACAGACAGGTCTGCATGACAGTCACACAGACAGGCCTGTGTAGCAGTCCAGTTACACCAACAAATTTCCACAGCGCTGCCTTAACACTGAGCAAATAATTAAACCTAGGGGAATCGGTTCCCAGGCATCAAAGCTAGAAGTAAAACATAGGTCAGTGGGAGGCTTGCACAGGCTTCTCCCTAACCTCGAGCAAGTCAAAATAATGGAGACAGCCTTACATTCCTAGTGCCAGGACCCGTCTTGGGTCAATAAAATGAGATGAGTCAAGGTAACAGAGGCAGCTGTTTGAATAGATTCACTGGAGAGTCTAAGGCAGCTCTCTGGACCAAGCTGTAAATGAGATAAGATAGAAATAATCACTCCGGTACCACAGTCCTCACTGATTAGAATTTAGGAGACAGGGCTTGAAGGTACTGGGGCCCTCACAGCTTAATCGGAATTAGCATTTCTTTGGCCTCTGACCTAGTTGAAACAAAATTAGTTGCCTATAGACTTAGGCAAATGTTTTACTGCACGTAGGCACATAAAGCCAACCTATATAAGCACTAAGAAAATTGTAACACTTTCAGCCTGGCCAACATGCTGAAACCCCGCCTCTACTAAAACTACAAAAATTAGCCAGGTGTGATGGTGGGCGCCTGTAGCCCCAGCTACTCAGGAGACTGAGGTAGGAGAATCGCTTGAACCTGGGAGGCAGAGGTTGCAGTGAGCTGAGATCATGCTACTGCACTCCAACCTGGGTAACAGAGTGAGACTTCATCAAAGAAAGAAAGAAAGAGAGAGAGAGAGAGAGAGAAGGAAAGAAAGAAAAGAAAGAAGGAAGGAAGGAAGGAAAGAAGGAAGAAAGGAAGGAAGGAAGGAGGGAAGGAAAATTATAACACTTGCAGTTGGTCTGGTGATATTATCTCTGACCTTCTTCCTGTATCCAGTTACAATAATAAATTCCCTTCTTTCCTAGTTTCTCTGCTTCTAGTTATTGGGCCGTGAGAACATGCAGCCAGAACTCGGCACAAGGGGATTGGAACAGAGCCTGTGCTGTGGTGGCCAATACTGCCCTATCTCAGGATGTTACATTCCCAGGATATTCTACAGTGATTCTTGAAAACTAAGAGTGAGAAAGGGGAGGAGACTGGGTTGGTCCAAAGCCAACTGGAGACTGTGCTGCAAATACTGCAGTGGGATCACACTTCATTAGTCCTGTGGCTTGCTGATTTTGCTGAGCATAGTGCCTTCACTGTTCATCTATGTGGGAGCCTGTGTCAGAATTTCCTTCCTTTGGAAAGTTGAATAACATTCCATTGCATATATATTTATATGCCACATTTTGTTTATCCACCCTTCCCTGCATGAACATTTGAGTTGATTCCACCTTTTGGCTATTATGAACAATAATTCTCTGAATGTGGGTATATAAATATTTCTTCAAGTTAATGTTGTCAGTTATTTGGATATATGTCCAATGGTGGAATTGCTGAATTATATAGTATTTCTATTTTTAATTTATTGAGGAATTGCAATGTAGTTTCTTATACTAGGTGACCATTTTACATCCCCAAAACAGTGTCCACAAGATTTCCAATTTCTCCAAATTCTCATGAACAGTTTTCATTTTCTGTTGAGGGAAACCATCCTAATAGGTATAAGGTAGATTTTGTTTTCATTGCCCTAAGAATTAGTGATGTGGAGCATCTTTTTCTGTGTTTATTGGCTCTTCATCAGTCTTTACTGGAGACGGTTAATATTGAGTGTCAAGTTGATTGGATTGAAAGAGGCAAAGTATTGTTCCTGGGTGTGTCTGTGAAGGTGTTGCCAAAGGAGATTAACATTTGAGTCAGTGGGCTGGGAAAGGCAGACCCACCCTCAATCTGGGTGGGCACCATCTAATCAGCTGCCAGTGCAGCTAGGATAAAAGCAGAAAGCAGGCAGAGGAATGTGGAAGGACTAGGCTGGCTAAGTCTTCTGACCTTCATCTTTCTCCCGTGCTGGATGCTTCCTGCCCTCAAACATCAGACTCCAAGTTCTTCAGCTTTTGGACTCTTGGACTTACGCTGGTGGTTTGCCAGGGTATTGTCAGCCTTCAGCCACAAACTAAAGGCTGCACTGTCGGCTTCCTTACTTTTGAGGTTTTGAGACCCGAACTGGTTTCCTTTCTCCTCAGCTTGCAGACAACCTATTGTGGGACTTCACCTTGTGACTGTGTGAGTCAACATTCCTTAATAAACTCCCTTTCATTTATACATCTATCCTATTAGTCCTTTCCCTCTAGAGAACCCTAATACAGGAATGGTCAGGAAGCAATTAATTTCCCTTTACTAATCTATTTTAGATTGTCTTTGTGCAATGAATTTTTTCTGGGTTAGTAAATTAAAGGAGCCTCTAAAACTAGCTACACATTGTGAAGTCCACATTAGAGGCAGTGGAATAAGTGTCCCCCAGCATTTAAAACCCAAAGATTTGAGGGCCCTGAATCTAAGATTTTTTCTAGCTCTCTTGCTTCATAAATATGCCCTCTGATTTTTAATTCTACCTTAGAGAAGGACAATTGTGGGGAAGATATTAATTGTGGGTGAAATGAAGAATGCCCACATCCTGTCCATGTCCTAGTACCTAGAACCTATGAATTCTAACTTACGTAGCAAAAAAAAAAAAAAAAAAAAAAAAAAAATCCCAAAACTTAGTGGATGCAACTTACTTAAGGATTAAGGATTTTGAGTTTGGGAGAACCTCCTAGATCATCCAGATGAGATCAATATAATCACAAAGGTCCTTATAATTGGGAGGGAGGAGGGTGGCAGTTAGATAGGAGCTGGGACAATGGAGAGGGATGCTGGAGTGATGGAAGAACGGGTCATGGAGCCAGGAATGTTCGGGCATCTTTTTTTTGTTTTTTTTGTTTTTTTTTTTGAGACAGAGTCTCACTCTGTCGCCCAGGCTGGAGTGCAGTGGTGCAATCTGGGCTCACTGCAAGCTCCGCCTCCCGGGTTCACGCCATTCTCCTGCCTCAGCCTCCCAAGTAGCTGGGACTACAGGTGCCCACCACAACGCCTGGCTAATTTTTTATATTTTTAGTAGAGATGGGGTTTCACTGCGTTAGCCAGGATGGTCTCGATCTCCTGACCTCATGATCCGCCCGCCTCGGCCTCCTAAAGTGCTGGGGTTACAGGCGTGAGCCACCGCGCCCGGCCTAGGCATCTTGAAGATTAAAAAGGAAAGAATCAGATTCTCTCTCCTAGAGCCTCTAGAAGGAATAGAGCCCTATGTCTCCTTGATATTAGCTCAGTTAGACTTCTCATCTCCAGAACCATAAGATAATAAATTTGTTAGAAGCCAGAAATATTGTGGCAATTTAACCAGTAGCAATTGGAAACTAATGCAAGGGGAAAAATGTCTTTTACGTCTCTGAGTGTGTGGTGTCCTCTGTTCTCCCAAACATTCCATGTTGTTATAATCTGGTGCCAGTTTTGACAAGAGATGTAAACCATTTTCTATGAGAACTTGCACCGGGATTCTTCTTAGGTAGAAAATGTCTAGAGTAAACCCTTTGATTAGCTCTTTTCCAATGTGTGTTGGAGAGTTAAGGGATCAGGTCTCATAGCACCTGATAGAAAGAGGAGGGTTTGTTTGTTTGTGTGTTTGTTTTCATGTTTGGCAGGAAAGTTAGAACACAACCTGACAAGGAAAGACTTAGAGAGATTGGAACCTGAGAAGGAAGACTTAGAGAAACTGGAAGGGAAAGAGAAGATGTGAACAGGGTCAGGGGAAAGCAAGATGTGTTCCTACTCCAAAATATAAAGCAAAGTCATTTACAATTTTTAAAGACTTCGAGAGAGTTATATTTTGAAGAGAAAACCACAGAAGAGGCTAGTTTAAGATTAGGGCCAGCCTGGCATGAGACAGAGGCAGCAGGGAGCTGTGGATTCCACACTGTTTTTATGGTCCCTTCTTCCTATTTATAGGCTTTGGGCTCAACCATGGGATGAAAGTGGCCACGTAGAAGGAACATACTAAAGCCAGACAGACCTGGGCTTCAATCCCAAGTCTGACCATGTGACTTTGGGCATTTGCTGACCATGTGACTTTCGGCAAACCAGTCATGAGCTCTCATAGCTGGTTCTCTCATATGTGAAATGGAGCACTTTGGAAGTCATGGGGTATTGTGAGAGTTTAACCAAATGATGCACCCTGAAGAGTGTATATGTGTGCCCATAAACACACACACACACACATTATACGCACATTTTATATACCCAGTTTTCTTTAAATGCACCCTTGAGTATCTTAGAAAAAGAGGCTATGGAAGATATTATTAACCATATGTCATTTACAAATCAAATTCTTTAATAGTTATTCTACAACTAACCTGTGACTCACTATAGGCAATGGGGTTTCATGTGCATTATTTCCACAATAAAAACTTCCACAAATCCATTCCTGTGTAGCACTAGAAACATAAACAAGATGACAAATGACTATAACACCTTTAAACCAGATTTCCCCTGAGCTCCATCTGTTTAGTGTACACTATTGGGTTCCAAAGGCCGTGGCTACAGGTCTGAGTTCTAAGTCCATTCTTCCCACACCCACAGCCTTCCCCCAGGTCTCATTCTGGCCTCCTGCATGCTGGGAATACAGACCCACCATCCTGCTACTCTCCTGGGAATCCAGCACTAACTACCTGGAAGCTTTGCTTAGTAAACCCTCCAAATGCAACCTCTGACAGAGACCTGGCTGAGGCAGCCAGCAACTTCCCATAAGAAAACCACTGAGAAGGGAGGAAACTTGCAGAACCATGTTGGTGTTGAGGAGATGCACAGTATCACCAGGTTTTATCTTTTCAAACGGTTCCTGTCTCTTTCTTGACAACAATTCATGACCTTGGAAAAGGGAGGAATTAAGGAGAACAAAGGGATGTTTCATGCTTAGGATATAAAAGGAGAAATGGAGATAATGAAAGAGCAGAATTGAGGAACTCTTTGGCATTGTTTGGGTTTCTCTTGCCATGGGCATAGCAGGACAAAGGTGCCAGGGAGAACATCACTTATCATGTTTCCTGCCCTTCATGCCTCAGACTCGTACAAGCACACACACTTCTGATAATATGTTTCTTCTTCTGAAGCACAGTCTGTGGCCCAGCCAGGATCTTTCTCTTAAGTGTCTTTTATAGATAAGTTGGAATAATTTTAGAAACAAGTCAAAGAAATAATAGTAATGGTTTAAGTAATGACAAGAAGTCTGAAGGTTGAAGCACTTAAGGTTGGTACAACAGCTTGGTGACAGCTGAAAGGCCCCAGATTGTTACTACATTTTTGCTTTGCACCTGCATCATCACTGGCTTTTCATTCTTGTTGTAAATGCCCCATGGTCTCAAGAGGATTGCAGCAGCTCTAAGCATCATATCCTCTCTTAACTGTTACAGGAAGAAATGCAAAGCAAAGCTCTTCACTTTCTGTCCTTTTCTGAGGTATAACCATTTTCCCATGATCCCTGCCCACTCCTCTGACATTATCATTTTGGAGCTGATCACATGTGCCCTTAATCCCTGCTCCCATCCTGGGCTGGGAGAAACTCACCACCCTCACCATGTACGGCAAGACACAGTTGGTGCCCTATACACCAAAGGAAGAAGGGGATGACTGTTGCATAGTTGCCAAGAGCTTTGTCACATTTTAAATTTTGCTGTGCTTCTAAGTTAAGTTGTATAGGGAGGAGAATGTATGAACACTTTGATTTGATACAGCTAGAAGAAGCCAGGCTCTGAGGATGAAAACGAAATCAAATTTCTGATTTCTCATATGACATCTTTAGCTTTAAGAATTGTGTAAATGTGGCCTGTGCATTTAAGACCAGGACAGGCTTTCAGTTATGGGAATAAATGAGGAGAGATTTGGAATAGGGTCCTCAACCCAGGACTAAGGTGAAGCTTGCACTACTTTAGACTGCTGGGCTCTGACCCTGGGCTGTGGAGGAAGTAGCTGCTCTCTTGAGCCATGGGGCTGAGGACTTGGGAGGAACCAAATGTCCTGCCCACAGAGCTGCCTGGCAGGGTTTCAGGGAAGGAAACTGCTCATACTTCTATGGGCGCTGCACCAAGCATAGAGTCCACTGCCAGTGTGAAAGTCTCAGACACACGACCCTTAGGGCTGGGCCTGAGCTCCTGGAGCTGGCTGCTCTCAGCTCTGTCCTCACTGATTCTGCATGGCTGGGGCCCTGCTGGAGTCAAAGAGGGAGGAACAGCAAATGTCCCCAGAGTCTTTACTCAGCCAGGCTCTGTTCTGGTTAGAAAGAAAAAGAGCACATGCTAAATAAACAAACTTAAAATTACGTGCATAGGTATACATTTGCAATGTAACCCTTACAAATTAAATATACATATAATATTTTAGATATAAGTAATAAACAAACATAAAATTACATGCATAGGTATATATTTGTAATGTAACCCTTACATATTAAATATACATATAATATTTTAGATATAAATTATATTTATACATTTGGATATACTGTGCATCTATATTAGGAATAAGTATAATATGCACACTTATATGTTAATAGATATAACTTTAATTGTCAGTGTAAGATATGATTTTTAAACTTTGATAAATTGAGCACAAACATTTAAAACCAGCAATGGTTGCACCACCCCATGGCCCCTTCATCACTACACAGCCTGAGGGTCAGGAAGCTCAGGACCAAACCTACATCCATTCTGGGCTGAGCAGTACCTCCCTGCCCATTGCTAAGGACACTGACTGTCCTGACGGGGGTCTGGGGAATCACAGAGCAGCAGGTGCTGGGGAGATGGGCAGTGGGTCTAGACCCCAACTGGAGGGACTTTTGTCCCCAGAGCTCAGGGTGGGCAGGTCCTCCCCTGGTGGCCTTTGTGAGACAGAGTAGCACACATGGCCCAGTGGCTGTGTGGTAACAGGGAGAAACCACTCCAGGGACCATTGGCAGCCTCCCCTCTGCCTGGATTCAGCCCACATCAGGTAGGGTTTGGGGATACAGCCAATGCGGTGGGGAGGAAAAGGCTGGGCTTCCAATCTCAGAGCACAGAGCACAGAGGGAGTTTCCCACAACTCAGTGCACTGGCAGCTCCTCCCATGTAATCTAGGTCATAAATGAGACCTCATTTTAGCCCTAAAATATCCCTGTTGATTTTCCTAGTATTTCTAAGATCAGGCTTATTTCTGGTGTTTACTGTGGGGTTTGTCTGCCATCTAATGGCTGGTTGGTGACATAGCATCTTATAGGATTTTAGATGCTGAGTCCCAGTCAATCTTGACGGTGAGTCTTTTCATGGGTAATGATGAAACAGATCCTATTACTTCCATCAGTAGGCCAGATCCTATAAGGAACACAGAATGACACCTCTCCTTGATAAACCAGTCCCAAAGTTGAGGACAAAGGATATCCAGAAAAGATGTTGCTCACAAAACGATTAGGAATTAGGTTCTGAAATCCATGTGAAATGCTGAAAATGTAGTTTTGGAAGAGAGAAAAAGGGGTGTGAGAGACCCTGCCGGGCATAATGGGCAGGGGCTGGAGAGGAAATCCAAGGTCCTCTTTTCTGGATCTGTCAGCCCAGGCTCATTCCCGTTATTCTGGAAACTCTTCCAGAGCAGATCTGAGGACCACAGTGGTTGTACCAGCTGGAGAGCTTCTGAGGACTCCCAGTTTTCCAGACTAACAGCTGGTGAGATTTATGCTCTGAGCTATAACACAATGAGGGAACACTTGTCAACATTTAGAGCGGTTTTAAGCAAAATAATTTTCTAAGACAATAAAAATGTCTACATTTATGCTGTACAATAGGGTAGCCATTAGTAATATGTGGCTACTGAACACTTGAAATGTAGCTAGTGTAACTGAGAAAACATGTTTTTAATTTTTAATTCTAATTCACATTATTTGTGGCTGGGCACTGCAAGTGTTTACCCTGTGAGAGGATACAGTTTTAGACAATAATAATCAGCAATGTCATCAGGGTACCCAAGCTGCTGAAAGTTAAGGAAGTGTCTGCCCCAAGACCACCGTGCCAAGCTGGGGTGGACCATGGCCAATGTAGACAAAGCACATGGGTGGATCTTTGAAACATTCCCTGGATTCATCTGCTTCTAGGCTGGTGATGGAAACTCTCTCTCTGTCTTGGAGATACTGAGGGAGAAGCTGGAATCTGGGGCCCACAATGTTGCCACTGGAATCTGAGGTGGAAACAAAACACAAATCTTCCCCAGCGTTAATGATGTCTCACTCTACAGGCCTCCCAGAGACTCGTGTTGGCTGATCAAGTGGGAGATGAATGCTGGGCTTGCTGAGCGATGGTCTGTATCTCAGCACGGGACATAAGAACCCTGTCACATGGAGCTCCCATAGCTGAAGCCAGGACCCAAGGGCCAGAGCCTCAGGTCCAGTGCTTCCTCTGCCTCAGGTGATCCCACCCTAAAGGCAGCAACCAACCCACTGATAAGGGCTTGAGTGGCAGGGAGGGGCTTTGTGGAGCCTGCAGACTTACAACAGGGATGCAAAACTGAACTTCCAGCTTCTGAGCCAGGGAACATTTCATGTTATGGGTGTGACCCAGGTCAAGGTGTTTGATGAAAGATATTAGTATAAATTTTCTCCTGAAAGGAATAAAATCACAGAAGACATCTTATTATTATGGTACTGGTTGGCGTTTTCAATGCACAATGGTTTATCTGAAATCTCCCAGTCCCTGCCCTTCTCGTGATGATCCTATGGTCTTTGCTGTTCCTATGGTCACTTGGCTGCCTCCTCACCGTTCAGAAGCATCTCCAGTATGACCCCGAGACCTTCCCTGGTCCGCACAAATAAATGGTCTCGACCTCCAGATACCACATGCCACTGCCTGAATTTTATACAATTTATCAGCTATTGAAATGATTCTTTTCACTTTCACTGTGTAGGTATTGTTCTCTGAATGGCTCATTTCCCTACTGAATATCAGTACTTGGGATCAAAATTGTCTTATTTACTCAAATGCTCCTAACCCTCACATGATGGCTTTGAATTGTTCCTGAAAACTCTGATATTATGTTAAAATCCATTAAATGCAAAAATATGTTTATTTTGTATTGAAGAAGATATCATGGCTTCCCCTCAGCTAAAGACAATTAACTACTTTTATAGTTGAAAAAGATCCACTGGACATGAAAAAAACACATATATAGGAGTAACAAGCATCATCTTGAAATTAGATAAACTCGATTTGCATGTAAGATGTACAGTAGGCAGAAGAAAGGCCCTCACAGTGGGAGGGGCTTGATGGAGAGGGTCAGGGTGTCTGTCCCTGGAAGGTGGGGGAGGGTGTGATGAGTGACCTCAGGCAAGCATCCAATATCAGGACCAGACATGACTATGAGTAATTCCTTTTTCCATGGGTTTTGATACAAGAGGAAAGTCCTGGTGGGGAAGCTTTGGGAATAGTCATAGCATGAGTGGAATACGGGTTGGAAACAGCATGTTTCTAAACACATACAAACAGCTCACAGACATTCAAACAAAAGTATCTCACAAAATGTTACCTCTTCCTCACCTTTTCTTGCCATTTGGGTTTAACCAATCATGGCACACAATTTGAGTTTCTCTACATGAGGGTCTGCAACTTGAAACTACCCTGTGAAAGAACTGGTGACTGTCTGCCTGATACCATAATGTAGAAATACAATTTCTTGTAGTAGATCATTGCACTTTGGTGTAAAATATATGTGATAAAAAATGTATTGAAAACCGATATAACTTTTTGTGACCAAATACGGTGAAAGTCACTCACAAAAATATCACCAAATCTGATATGTCTGTTTTCTCAATGACTACATTGTATGCCAAAAATTATTTTTGAATGAGTGACTTAATGTGCACAGGAAACAAAGTAAAACAAATAAGCTGAGTTGCTCTTGGTATTAAAAAATTCTAGGAGCAGGATACTGGTCCTATAATCAAGAATGGTGAAATTTTTTTTTAAAATAAGAAAATTCAAACTGCAGTTTGGATTTTGGAGGTGGATGAAAGAGGACATAAACAATACCTCTGATACACAGAAAAGAATATTTACTCTCAGGGTGGAGGGTTGCCCCCCTGTATTTCATATGTCAGGGCAAGATATAACATAAAATGCCCATTGAGTTTTCCACCTCATCTGAGCTCCCAGACTATTTTCTCTGACATGTTAGTGCCTTGGTACACTCAACTTTTGGTGAAGTTATTCTTATTAGGGAATCGAGGATTCTTAATTTCAACTTCCTTGGGCCTGGAATCTTGTCCTGCTCCCTAGACTGGCAACAAAGGGCTCTGGATCCTTCTGGTTTTTTATTCCAGGTAAATGTTCTTTTTGGAAAAGTCTCCTTTTCAAAATTCCAAGAGAAATGTCTATAGTTACATTTTCCGTGGACCAGTTTTCAGAAATCGCAACCCAAATATTCAGCATTTCCTGAATTCTCAGTTGAATGCCGCACTGGTGAAAGTGAACCTTAACGTTAATCTGACTTAACAAACATCATGCTTCAGGGGGCTGCTTTGGAAATAGAATTAATTTGTCACACCCGTGAACCCACAATAACTGAAACCTCAATCCATGGGATCTTCTGTCACTATAGCTCTAGGCCATCACCTGCTTGTTTCCTAATCTTTACCCTTTTAAACTCTTTTGCCATAAATGAGAAACTGTAGCTCTGAAGAGAAATCTAAAGTTTTTACCAACTTGTAAAAGATAGTTTATGGAAAGAAAAGGGAGAGGTGACCTTCAACAACTGTCCATGTATTTTGAAAGTAAATATGGATAAAGACGAAAGTATGTCATTATGGTCTTAATTTGCATTTTCCTGATAATTAGTGATGTGGAGCATTTTTCTATGTATTTGTTGGCTGTTTGTATATCTTCTTTTGAGAATTGTCTGTTCATATTCTTTGCCCACTTTTTGGTGGGATTATTTGTTTTTTTCTTACTGATTTGTTTGAGTTCCTCATAGATTATGGTTATTCCTTCAACAGATGCACAGTTTGTGAATATTTTCTCCCACTTTGTGGGTTGTCTGTTTGCTATGTAGAAGCTTTTTAGCTTAGTTAGGTTCCATTTATTTATTTTTTGTTTTTGTGGCATTTCCTTTTGGGGTCTTAGTCATGAATTCTTTCACTAAGCCAAGGTCTAGAGGAGTTTTTCCAATGTTATCTTCTAGAATTTATATGGTTTCAGTTCTTAGATTTAAGCCTTTGATTCATCTTGAGCTGATTTTCGTATAAGGTGAGATATGAAGATCCAGTTTTATTCTTCTACCTGTGGCTTGCCAGTTTTTCCAGTACCAATTATTGAATAGGGTGTCCTTTCCCCACTGTTTGTTATTGTATGCTTTGTTGAAGATCAGTTGGTTATAAGCATTTGGGTTTATTTCTGTGTTCTCTATTGTGTTCCATTGATCTATGTGCCTATTTTTATACTAGAACCATGCTGTTTTGGTAACCATAGCCTTGAAATACCACCTTACTCATGCAAGAATGGCCATAATTAAAATGTCAAAAAATAATAGATATTGGCGTGGATGTGGTGAAGAGGGAACACTTTTACACAGCTGGTGGGAATGTAAACTAGTACAACCACTATGAAAAACAGTATGGAGATTCCTTAAAGAACTAAAAGTAGAAATACCATTCAGTCCAGCAATCCCAGTACTTATTTTTCTTATCTACCCAAAGAAAAAAAAAGTTATTATAGGAAAAAGAAACATGCACATGCATGTTTATTCCAGCACATTTCTCCATTTCAAAAATATGGAACCACCATAAGTGCCAATCAAGCAACGAGTGGATAAAGAAAACGTGGTGTATATACACCACGAAATACTTCTCAGCCATAAAACAGAACAGAACAAAATAATGAACTTTGCAGCAACATGGATGAAGCTGGAGGCTATTATTCTAAATGAAGTAACTCAGGAATGGAAAACCTATATGTTTTCATCTATAAGTGGGAGCTAAGCTATGAGGATGCAAAGGCGTAAGAATGATATAATGGACTTTGGGGACTGGGGAGGAAGGATAGAAGGGGAGGTGAAGGCTAGAAGACAACATATTGGGCACAGTATGCACTGCTCAGGTAACAGGTCCACCAAAATCTCAGACATCACCACTAAAGAACTTATCCATGTAACTAAAAACCACCTATACCCCCAAAAACTATTGAAATAAATAAAATAATTCATTTTTAAAAAGATGAAAGTATGCAGCAGTGACTCTAGTTTCCTCTCTGCTGGGTGAGCCAGACTTCATTGTATTGGTTAACTCATTGCCTCCAAAGCACCTGTAACAATCAGAAGTATTCTAGGGTATCACCCAGTTTCTCTGTTCAGCCAGGCTGAACTAGTTTTTGTTCTGGGTTGTAACACAGTGTGAGGTAAACTACTACTCTGATGACAGTAATACGTTGCAGCATCTTCAGCTTCCAGGCTATTGATGGTGAGGGTGAAATCTGTCCCAGATCCACTGCCACTGAACCTCGAGGGGACCCCTGAGAAGGACTGGGAAGCATACTTGATGAGGAGCTTTGGAGACTGATCTGGTTTCTGCTGGTACCAGTGTAAGCTACTACCAATGCTCTGACTGGCCCGGCAGGTGATGGTGACTTTCTCCTTTGGAGTCACAGACTGAAAGTCTGGAGACTGAGTCAGCACAATTTCACCCCTGGAGGCTGAAAATATACAGCAAACATCAGTACAACATAAATATCTGTGTATGAAAATCACCTTTAATCTTGCTAGACATGAAGAAAGAATATGCATTACATTTTTAAAATTAGGATTTTAAAATCAAGCCAAAAATCACCTATTGCAGAGTCCCCAATGAAAGAAATTACAGATTGAAAGAATATCTCCGCCTAGGTTTGTGGAAATATTCTCACCTGGAACCCAGAGCAGCAGAAACCCAATGAGTTGTGATGGCAACATCTTCCTGCCTTGACTTGTCAGTTTTGCTCATGCCACATCCCAGAGAAAGAACCTCTTTTAAGATACCGAGAGGCAGGGCCTCTTCACATATAGGAGGAACGATACATGCAAATTATGGGGATGTCCTGCTGGTTTAAATAAACAGAAATCACTGTTGCCAGGAGAGCGCCCTCCCGGCCCCTTCCATGAGGGGTGTGAAGCGCCCTCTGCTGGCACCTGCAGACGAGCTCCGCTGAGGCTCTGGCAGGGCTTGACCAAGACCCCAGGGCACAGCTGCAGAGTGAAGGCAGAGTCCATCGCCATCTCTGGGAGAGTCTGCAGTTATCTGGGGTGAATAACAGCTCACATCCTCAGTCTCGTCCCAGGGCTATGTTAACTCTCCTGCTCTCTGTCACAATGTAGGCTGAAAAAGCTTTGTGAACGTTCCACAAAGCATCAACACTATATTGATGACATCATGGTAATTAGACGTGATGAGCTGGACATTGTAAGAACTCTGAATTTCTTGTGAAAACACATGTGCTCTAGAGGGTGGGATGCACGCCCCAAAACATCAAGGGCTTGTCACATTAGAGAAGATGTCAAGTGTTTATAAAAGGAGTATGAGTCATGCTGGCTTATCCCCTCCAAAGTAAGGAAAAATAATTGCACCTTGTACTTCCAACCACTAGCAATGAAGCACATTACTGGTTAAGCCATCCTAGAGTGTTGACAATGCATTTTGCACTTGGGTTTACTATACCAACCCATTTATCAGCTAACTTGGAAGGCTGTCTTTTATGAATAAACTCTGAGAAAGAAAATATTCTGTAGTAAGTTTGAGTTTTAATGCAAATGCCTCTGTCACTTCAGCCATGAGATCCAGCACATTGCCTGGTGCTAGATAATCTATATTAGATGAGGAAACTCTGTAAACCTCCATGCAAGCACCAAAAAAGAGTCACAGAAAAAAATCTCTACAGTTCTTGAGCAAGATCCTGAAATGCCCCCAAAATAAACAAACAAACAACACACAAACAACTCACTACTCAAAATGCAGCTCTCAAAATATCACAGGGTCCATGTAGGCATGTCCATGAGTAATTGACTGTTTGACTAAATAATTAAGTGACTAAGCTGCCCCTCATAAACTGAGAATGTCACTCTCACCAATTTTAAGATCAGGTGAAGCTCAGCACCATTCAATATTGGGATGCAGATGGTAGTTTAGTGACTGGGTTCAAGCAGATTCAGAAGGCATGCTTCATTTCCATAGACAGATGTTCCAGTTCCTTATATCACTTTTCTCTCTCAACTTAACACCTCTGCATCAGCTCTCTCTATGATATCATGGGTTTTCCTGATCAGCTAATGCCAGAGAGAGAATACAAAAAAAGAAAAAGAAAAAAAAAAGAAAATAAGCAAAAACAAAGAAAATCAAAGCAAAAATGAGAACAAGCTGGGCTTCCTCTTGAATGGCTTGGCATCATATGTTTGTGTAAGTAAGTGTGGACTGTGTCCACACTATGGCAACGGTCATGCATGGCTGTCAAATACTACCTTGAGTTATCTTACATCTGAGCAGAGCACATGTTCATCAAATTAGTAGATAGAGAAGTGTCTGGAGTCAAGTATACATATAGATTTCTGAATAGCTGGCTGGCTAAGGTCCTGGAAAAGAAGATCATAGCAATGAGCTGGGCAAACGTTTTTCCCAAATGTGTGAAACTCATAAACCTATTCATCTGTGTGTGTTCTGAAAAGTGTATACAAAATGTAGCCAGTTCTTATCTCCCTCTGTTTTACTTTTCACTGCACCACCTTTGATCCCTGTTATTCATAACGGCAGCTTTTAAGTCACCAGAAATCTGTGCAGACATTATTTTAGCAATTCTATCATTCCATCACTTCCAGGAGTCCACTAGTAACTTTCAGCTGGTGTACCACTTGCCCCAGCTAGAGACCTCAGTTTGAACTAACTTGCTCTGTTCATTTCCTGCAGAATTCATCACATTTAGCTGGAAACACTGAAGGATCTTGCTTGACTCTCCACCTCAACTCAAGTCCACTCCCTTCGACTGCAAGCTGCAAGCTGACATCCTCATTAAAACCCCAGATCTGCAATTCATGCTGACAGAGCGGAGATGGAAGGGAGAAATCCCAGGCAAAAGGCTACAGACATAATTTCCTTCCTTACTCAAAACATATTCTTTCATGTTATGAATAGTATACAGTATTAAATGTTTTATACTTTGCCAATTGTCAGAGCGCTGAAACCGATTTGATATTTTTTAGCTTTATGCTTAATTTGTCTTTCTCATATATTTTTGCTGAGAGGATTTAACAATCTCTCTGTGACACAATAAAGAGAGATGCCTTCTAAAATGAATTTTAATGAATATGACAGCAACACTGAAAGGACATAGATATATGTTAAAACATAAGTAATTCTGAAGTAAAGAATTTGAACTCAATACCCACGGTTTGAAGAGAAATCGTGCACTTAACAAATATTAACTCTTGGCTGGCACGGTGGCTCATGACTGTAATGCCAGCACTTTGGGAGGTGGAGGTGGGCAGATCACCTGAGGTCAGGAGTTTGAGACCAGCCTGGCCAACATGGTGAAACCCCGTCTCTACTAAAAATACAAAAAATTAGCCAGGCTTGGTGACGCACACCTGTAGTCCCAGCTACTCAGGGGGCTGAGATAGGAAAATCGCCTGAACCTGGGAGGCGGAGGCTGCAGTGAGCCGAGATCGCGCCACTGCACTCCAGCCTGGGCAACAGAGTGAGACTCTGTCAAAATAAAATAAAATAAAATAAGATAAAATAAAATAAAATAAAATAAAATAAAATAAAATAAAATAAAATAAAAAATAAAATAAAAAAAATATATATGTAACTCTAATCACTAGATTTCACATTTTCAGGGAATGCACTACAAATCTGTAAAATATGCCTTATGCATATTCTAGAATTGACCAAGTAAGTGAATATTCTCTACATAATGGGAGCCAGGATTGTCTTTAACAGATGATTGAAACACAAATATGAAAACATGATGAATCTTGTGAAATTGTTTCATAAGAATCCATGTCCTTTGTTATGTTTTAATTATTTTTATTTATATATTTTAATAACATTGAAATGTTTTTAGACTTAAAATTTGCATAATATAATAAGATTGTTCTCATGTACTCTTCCACTAGCTTCTTCTGTAATGTCAACATCAAGCGTAACTATAGGGTAAGTATCAATACCAAAGCATTAACATAAATGCAATGCTATTAATTAAGTAATTTGAAATCCCCTCTGTATTTCACTGATTTTTTCAGTAATCTCCTTCTTTATGTTCCAGAAAAAAATCCAAAATCCCACACTGCATTTAATTATTGTGTCCTTAATATTTCCCAAATTGTGACAGTTTTTTAGTTTTGTCTTTCATGATTTTGAAACCTTTGAAGTGTACTGGCAAGTTATTTTGGAGAATCCCTTAAGTTGCATTTGTTTGAAGTCTTCTACTGATTAGATTCATATCTTTTATTTTTAGCAAAAAAACAAAAACAAAAAAATGGGGTGCAACCTCAGTGCACAGCAAGAATTACAAAATGTCAACATATCCTATTAATGGTGATCAATTAATATGAACAATAAAACCCTTTTTTAAAAAAAAGTTTTATTATACTTTAAGTTCTGGGATACATGGGCAGAACGTGCAGGTTTGTTACATAGGTGTACACATGCCATGGTGGTTTGCTACACACATCAACTTGTCATCTACATTAGGTATTTCTCCCAATGCTACTGTTCCCCTAGCCCCCCACCCCCCAACAGGCCCTGGGGTATAACATTCTCCTCCCTGTGTCCATTTGTTCTCACTGATCAACTCCCACTTATGAATGAGAACACGCGGTGTTTGGTTCTGCGTTCTTGTGTTAGTTTGCTGAGAATGATGGCTTCCAGCTTCATCCATGTCCCTGCAAAAGACATAAACTCATCCTTTTTTATGGCTGCATAGTATTCCATGGTGTATATGTGCCACATTTTCTTTATCCAGTCTCTCATTGATGGGCATTTGGGTCGGTTCCAAGTCATTGCTATTGTAAACAGTGCCGCAATAAACATATGTGTGCATGCATCTTTATAGTAGAATGATTTATAATCCTTTGGCTATATACCTAGTAATGGGATTGCTGGGTCAAATGGTATTTCCGGTTCTAGATCCTTGAGGAATCGCCACACTGTCTTCCACAATGGTTGGACTAATTTACACTCCCACCAACAGTGTAAAAGCATTCCTATTTCTCCACATCCTCTCCAGCATCTGTCTGAGGCCTCTGTTCTGTTCCATTTGTCTATATATCTGTTTTGGTACCAGTACCATGCTGTTTTGGTTACTGTAGCCTTGTAATATAGTTTGAAGTCAGGTAGCGTGATGCCTCCAGCTTTGTTCTTTCTGTCTAGATTGTCTTGGCTATGTGGGCTCTTTTTTAGTTCCATATGAAATTTAAAGTATTTTTTTCTTATTCTGTGAAGAAAGTCAATGGTAGCTTGATGGGGGTGGCATTGAATCTATAAATTACCTTGTGCAGTATGGCCATTTTCACGATATTGATTCTTCTTATCCATGAGCATGGAATGTTTTTCCATTTGTTTCTGTCCTCTCTTATTTCCTTGAGCAGTGGTTTGTAGTTCTCCTTGAAGAGATCCTTCACATCCCTTGTAAGCTGTATTCCTAAGTTTTTTATTCTCTTTGTAGCAATTGTGAATGGGAGTTCATGCATGATTTGGCTCTCTGTTTGTCTATTATTGATATATAGGAATGCTTGTGATTTTTGCACATTGATCTTGTATCCTGAGACTTTGCTGAAGTTGCTTATCAGCTTAAGGAGATTTGGGGCTGAGACCATGGGGTTTTCTAAGTATACAATCATGTAATCTGCAAAAAGAGACAATTTGAATTCCTCTCTTCCTATTTGAATATGCTTTATTTCCTTCTCTTGCCTGATTGCCCTTCCCAGAACTTCCAATACTATATTGAATAGGAGTGGTGAGAGAGGGCATCCTTGTCTTGCGCCAGTATTTGACAAGAATGTGTCCAGTTTTGCCCATTCAGTATGATCTTGGCCGTGGGTTTGTCATGAATAGCTCTTATTATTTTGAGATACATTCCATCAATACCTAGATTATTGAGAGTTTTTAGCATGAAGAGGTATTGAATTTTATCAAAGACTCTTTCTGCATCTATTGAGATAATCATGTGGTTTTTGTCATTGGTTCTGTTTGTGTGATAGATTACATTTATTGATTTGCATATGTTAAGCCAGCCTTGCATCCCAGGGATGAAGCCACCTTGATCATGGTGGATAAGCTTTTTGATGTGCTGCTGGATTCGGTTTGCCAGTATTTTACAGAGGATTTTCGCATCAATGTTTATCATGAATATTGGCCTGAAATTTTCTTTTTTGTGTGTGTCTTTGCCAGGTTTTGGTATCAGGGTGATGCTGGCCTCATAAAACAAGTTAGGGAGTATTCTTTCTTTCTCTATTGTGTGGAATATTTTCAGAAGGAATGGTACCAGCTTCTTTTTCTACCGGTAGAATTCGGCTGTGAATCCATCTGGCCCTGGACTTTTTTTTGGTTGGTAGGCTATTAATTACTGCCTCAATTTCAGACTTTGTTGTTGGTCTACTCAGGGATTCAAATTTTTCCTGGTTTAGACTTGGGAGGGTGTATATGTCGAGGAATTTATCCATTTATTCTAGATTTTCTAGTTTATTTGTTTAGAGGTGTTTATAGTATTCTCTGATGGTAGTTTGTATTTCTGTGGGATCAGTGGTGATACCTCCTTTATCATTTTTTATGTGTTTATTTCATTCTTCTCTCTTTTCTTCTTTATTAGTCTGGCTAGTGGTTTATCTATTTTGTTGCTCTTTTCAAAAAAACCAGCTCCTGGATTCATTGATTTTTTTTGAAGAGTTTTTCGTGTCTCTATCTCCTTCAGTTCTGCTCTGATCTTAGTTATTTCTTGTCTTCTGCTAGCTTTTGAATTTGTTTGCTCTTGCTTCTCCAGTTATTTTAATTGTGATGTAAGGGTGTCGATTTTAGATGTTTCCTGCTTTCTCCCGTGAGCATTTAGTGCTATAAATTTCCCTTTAAACACTGCTTTTGCTGTGTCCCAAAGATTCTGGTTTCTGAAAGGAGGTCTTGGACAAAGCTAATTAAGCCAGCTGCTTCTATCACTCTTTGTATTTGGTTATTTGCTGACTTTCTGAGAAATAACCTATTCCTGTCTGAAACTATTTTTTTTTATGTTGCTTAGGCTTTAACCCTCTTCACACTTACTGTACAATAGAGAATATTGAACAAATAAATGAGCTGGCTTTTAAATGGCAAATGTTACTATGATGGCCATTTACCATTTAAATGTTAATAGCCTGAAAAAAAACCCAGAGGAATGAGATTTATTAAAATGTAGTGGTATCAACAAATGAACAGCAGTTACTGAATCAACTGTTTGGAAAAACATAATTTTCTAGCACTTGGAATACTGCAAGAATCAAATGGATAGGAACAGCTTGCCCTGAGCTACTTCTGCTGAGGAGACTGAGATACCATTTGTACCATTTTAGTATGCACACAGTTCAGACACTCTTTCTGGAAATACGAGGTTCTGGTCCCTCAGTTAAAGAACATGTGGCTACATATGCATGACAGTTATTTCTAGAAATATGTACTTCTCCAAATTTTTAAGTTATTATCTGAAAATTTAATAGAATTTTGTCTTTGGATGGTAATGAAACAAAAATGTTAGAAGAGAATGGAAACTTTTGGGTATATATAGAGAGGATATCAGAGAAGGGCCAACCATACTTTACTGGATACAGTTAATCTGACTGGGGCTTTTGGAGGAAAAGACTTAGAGAAGAAAAGTGTTTGAAGAAGTCATACGTGTTTAAAAATATAGGCACAACTTGAAAACCCTTGCAAGAAAGAATAGATGACTTCACAAAAAGGTGAAGTGACTTTTCAATTTGTCAAATCACACTCGTACATATGCTTTTTCTTTCTCTTTTATGCCCTATACCTCTGAGGTATTAGAAAGGCCTGAGTTTGAAATAATTTGTCCCGTAGAAATCCAGAAAGTAAGAGAATGAACAACATCTTTAGCACAGAAGCATGCCAATCCTGGGAAAAAACTGAGATTTGGTTTTTGAGTTATGGCAGATGTAGTAGAAAAAATGAGAAAAGGTTAAAAAGACAGAATAAAGATTATGTAAGAAAGGACAGCAATATGACATTCTAACCTTTCATAGGATAAAGTTATGATAATGAATGATGAGAAGAAATGCAATGGACCCATCTGGGTGGGCATGATTGAAGGTCTGAGCAAGTTAGTATAGATCAAGAACAAATCATTAGCATTTTAAGAATTGTGAGTCAGTTAGTGAAAATCCCATCTCAGAAACTAATGTGGCTATAGATGAAACATCCTTGGATTAGAATTAAGATTGTTTCTCCTAACTCTCTTCTAAATTAGTCTAGTGATGATAATAATGATCATTACAGTGCTAAATGTTATCATAATAGTAACAACAAAATTAATACCAGCACATATAATGATTAGATACTATTGTAAATGCTTTACCTTGTATAAATTGTAAAGAGACCTTTTAGGTAGATTCTATTATTGCCAAAGTTTCACATAAGCAAATTTACTAATGGCACATAATCTATAAGGATTAAAGCTCTGTCTCCAACACAATGGATTTGATTTCAGGGCTTGCCAAGATAACGTCTTGACAGTTAGATAAATATTGTTGACTCTATTTCCAGAATGAATGAAGATCCAATTGAAACTTAGAGCAGCATTAATAAAACTGCTTCCTTGATACCTAAGAGAAAGGAAGAAAAAGCAAACGATTTTAACTGATTAAAGGAAAGGAGCAGCAGTATATGAAATGAGATTCAGGGGGTGTAAGCAGAGGTTCTGGGAACTATTAAGGAGAAGAGAACCTGACTCTGGATTGATATAAGCATTGCACAGAATCAAGCGGTGTGTAGATTAGAGGATCACCCAAGGAGTTGTCCCCTGCCTATATGGACAGCATCATTGTCTGTTACCTGCATGGACAGCATGATTGTCTGTCTTCAGGGAAATGGCATTGGTAACCTGAAGGGTCAGAGCCTGGGTGCTTCTCATCTGTGCAGTTGTGGTCACCCCTGCACCTGCAGCACTGTGGGTACTTGAGTGTTGCTCTTTGAGGAAGCTTCAGGGCCCTCAGAAAAGATCCCTAAGCAGCAAGTGAAAGGTGTACTTGGGAGATAAAGTTCCAATAACTCTTCATTCCAACCATATTCTGTCATGCACCAGGGAAAACAACTAGGCATATTTAGGGTAGAAACAAAAGAAATGGGACCACACAACTTAATTTAGTTCCTACAAGTCTTGTACCACACACCATTCACTGAATCTAGATAATTGGTGAGACAGGAAGACACAGGGATATAAGACAGGAAGACACATGATATATGTGATCTAAGATAGAAATTCTACACTCAGGCTAAGCTAACAGCCTTTTCTGACATGACCACCTGGGTGAAAGCTGACCAATATAATATTCACACATCCAGTCATATAGATAGATGCATGTTATCAAATCTGATAGCATAAATATAAATATTTAGTCATCTATTTATAAAGACACTTAGAGGAAATTAAAGCTAAATGATATGAATTAAGTGAAATTCACCTCACTTATGGAAAAAGTGCACTTACGGAAACATGCACTTATCCACTGCTCAAAACTCAGCGGATAATAAAACTAAGCAGATATTTTCTTGTTAATAGATGTTTATGATAACAATGATGTGGCTGATCAAGGAAGAGCTTAGTGGAGTGGTTCTTCTGCCTCTAGATTGTGTTTCATTTGGGATCAAGGAAGGGCCTAGCCAAGACACAACATTTGTATGGAAGGCAGCAAAAAGGAACACAATTTTCAAACAAAACTGACCAGGCAAATGGTATCCTAATGTTCTCTAAAACAGTGAACACAATTTAATTTATTCTTTTACTTTGTTAAGTCCTAAAGTTTCTAAAAACGTTTACTGCATTTAACTATCAAAGTATTTGATCCATTGATAAAAAATAATTGTTTTTCAACTTTTAGAATATTAAAAATATTTTTGAATGTAATTTTGCATTAATTAGAAATAAAGCAGCATATATTTTTAAGTGGTTTTAACATAAATGTTCTCACTGTGGGGGAAAAAAAAATCTTTAGCTAAAGTAAATGTCTTCTAAAACTTGGCTTCTTGAAACACCCGTACGTTACCTCTTAACTAGTTGAAGTGCAGGTTATCATGCAACAAGGTCTAAAGCACATCTGCTACTTTGCATTTGTACTGTGTTCATAGTGACGCTGAGAATGCCACTGGAATCTGGACAAATTTTAAGTAGCAAAGTGCTCTTATATTAAGGAAAAAGTATGCTACGTGCACCTATAGGTGTTCTTGTTTGTTTTGTCAATTTTTTTTTCATTTGTCAAAGGATTGCTATGTATTTCAAGCAATGTTGTCATTTTTTTCTTTTACTTTACGACTTAATAAAATTTTCTTGCAATAATACCAAACTTTCTAATAATACATGTAAGAACATCCAAATGTATTCTGAAGCCACCCCATACCTGGAAAATTCTGAGATTTTGGGAAATACTTATCTCACTTGGCTGTAATTCCTCATATTCACCATGATTTCTAAAAGCACCTTTCCTGAAACACATTAAACCCTCTATGGTTTCTTGTAGAGTTACTCAAAGAGAAGACCTCTCATCATATTTGAAGGTAAGAAGAAGGCGATTCAATATTCTTTGACACCGGTAGGCAAACATGTTCACTGAGATAAGGACTGGAGAATCACCTGGTGAGGTGCTGCAACAACTGATAGCATCAGCATCTTCGCATACGGACTTCCTAGACAAAGAAGACTATATGGTTAGATAGCCCATGCCTTTAGCGGCTGATGAACTCTGGCTTCTGGCAGACCTCCAGAGACTCCCGTGTTTCTAGTGTCAGCTTCCCTAACTACCACACTCCCAGTTTTGTATATTCAACTCTAATTCCCTGTATTAAAACAATGCCTTCTGGCAATCTGTAGAGTGGTTTCTCTTTTAATCTATGACCCAGATGGATGCAATAACACAGATTCTTCAGGTATCGTAAATGCTATCCCTTATTAAATCAGGAGAGATAGTGTCATGTCTGTGCTGCTGGGGCTAAGCAGGAAGAAAAAGAGTTAGAATGCAGATGAGACTTCTGGCCATTCCTACAAAAACCTTTAAATCTTGGCTGCACCTGAGAAACACTCTCAGCAGATGGAGGCACCAGTGGAAGCACCTGGGGCAGCCATGAGTCATACTTCTGCTTCCCTGGGGGTTTATTTTATGACCTGTAACACTCTAGGATGGCTGCTGTAAGTCTATAGACAGCAATAAGTTATAACATCTTCAGGTTGCAGGCTCCTGATGGTGAGAATGTGTGAAATGTGTCCCAGACCTACTGCCACTGAACCGTGACGGGACCCCAGATTGCAAACTGGATGCAGCATAGATCAGGAGCTTAGGAGGATTCTCTAGTTTCTACTGATACTAGCTTAAATAATTGCAAATGCCCTGACTCGCCCAGCAAGTGATGGTGACTCTCTCTCCTACAGATGCAGTCAGGGAGGATGGAGACTGAGTCATCTGGAAATTACATCTGACTCCTGGGACATAAAAACAAATAATCCACACAACTATTTATAAGATGATTTCCCTGAAAGGCCAGGCTGTACTGAGCACATTGGCTGAGTAAATTCCTAGTGTTCTCCATCCGTACCTGGGAGCCAGAGCAGCAGGAGCCCCTGGAGCTGAGTGGGGACCCTCATGTCCATGCTGTGTCCTGACTGAGACTGACTCCTGCACAGGGTGTGACCAGCCTATTAAGAAGTCTTCAGAACAGGGGGTTGTGCTCTGGGAACATGCAAATCAGCAGGGAATGGAGCAGGCTGGGCACAGCTGCAGGACTGGTTCATGGATAAGTATCTTAGATCCAGATAAAACTTAATAAATATTCATACTCTTATTTTTCACATTTTCAGCTTGGCCCAGGGCATCCCAGCCTAGCTCAGTAGCAAGAATGTGAATCGTTTTTCTTTTTACTCCCATAAGAACAGTAACATAAAACCCTGTGAATGCTCCAGTCCTGGAGGAGAATGTGTGCCAAGAACAAGTGTAAAGTACAACTGGGGAAAGGGAGATAAGCAATGTGTTAACACCACCAAATATTCTCCCATTAAATATATACTAGTAACTGCTAAGCCAAACAATACCAAGAATATACCAGTGCTATGTTGTCATGTATCAGCCTCAGTTGTGTGACTGGTAGGCTGAATACATCTGGTTGACAAATGTATGCAAAGGAGAGAGGATTGAGATGAGCTAAGTCACCTTTCCCTTCCTCCTTCCTCCTGTCTCCTGGCTCAGAGGGCACTTGCATCTTCTGTAGGTTCTGCCCATGCTAAGGCTGCGACTGCTGAAGTGATCTTATGTGTGATGCCTGAGGTGTAGCTTCATACTAATCCCCTGAGTTCACCAACATCTTCCTGTTACATAGATTTAGAGAATATACCCTGTCTACTCCTCAGTGAAGGAACTAATTTGGGCAGCTGGGACAATCCAAGCAGGAGGCTTTTGTTTGGTGCTGAACCATTGTGGGAGGATATTGTAGAGTGTGGTGGCAGTTGTAATAGCCAAGATCCTCAGCCTCCACCCTACTGATCTTAAGCATAAAATCTGTCCCTGACCTGCAACCACTGCAAACTCACAGTTATGTGGTGCGTCACACAGGGCCGTAAGTCTTCAGTGACTCAATTGTTAGTGAAGTTCTTGTCCAAATGTATTTCAGGTCGTATCACAAATGCCTATTTAACCATAGGATATAGACCAGCTTCCAAAGGTTGAAACTAGTCCTGTGATATATCTGGGGATGACTGGTCTACTCTCTCCTCCCACTGGGGAGAACCTGTGTGGGAAGGCAGAAAACTGATTGGAAGTCCTACAGATCAGGAGCTGTGGAGAGTGGCCTGGCTTCTGCAGGAACTAATACAAATAGGTGTATCCATTACCATGTAAAAGGTTCTGACTAGACCTGCAGGAGATGGAGGCCGGCTCTCCATTGGTGACGGGCAGAGAGAGTGGAGTCTGGGTCATCACAATATTCCCACCGGATCCTAAAGTAATATAAAAAAGAAGTACAATGTTATGTAAATCATGAGACATTATCATAATTTCTCTACAATTATTTAATGCTAAATAATTGTATTGCGGCGCGTGTGTGTGTGTGTGTGTGTGTGTGAGTGTGTGTGTAATTTTGATTCATGCACCAAAAAAATTTAATTAAAAAAAAAACAGACATTTTGAAGGCCCAAGTTGCCCTTTGGAAGTCACTTATGCTACCCTCCTCTTTCTATGTCAGAATCTGCACCAGAGCACAGGTCTTTGCTTTTTCTGGAATCTTCCTCACTCTTTCACATATAAAAGTGCCACCATACATTTTATCCTGGAGCACAAGACACGTGCATCCAACACGTGGACAGAACACACATGGGTGACAGTGGGGCCCCCAGAGCTCACCCTCCCACCCCATTCTCCTCCCTCATCTCCTCTGTCCTTACCAGGAACCCAAAGCATTAGCAGCCCCAGGAGCTGAGCAGGGAACCTCACTGTGAGAAGGTGAACTGAGGAGTCCTGATCAGTTAAGGCAAGGTTACAGCTGAGCTTTACTCCCAGACTCACAAGGGAAGGTCATTCCTAAGGGACAATATGCACATCCCCTGGTGGTTGCAGTGGTGTGGAAAGAGCCAATGTACAGTATGCTTAATTCTAAAATGTATCTTTGTCTTCAGTATTTTAACATGCCGCATCATGGCCTGAAACAAGCAAACAAAATAAACCAGTAGACAAAACTAGTTACTACCTACTACACATATATACTAAGTGTTTCTAAGAGTTCAAAAAATATTCTCAATTACTTCCAGAATTGAAAGGAAGAAAAGTCCAAATAGTATTATCAGAAAATATTATTATGTGGTGTACATGTTTGAGACTCCTGTGAGCTTTGATTTGCTCAACAGCCAACATCATGCATTGCAGGCAGCTTTCCATTCTCCTGATGGTTGGTGAGAGTGAGAGTCACTCAGCAAAGGGAGAAAGAGGTGCCCTGAAAGTCATCAGTGGCAGCAGGTGAGGTCAGGATACACTAGGGTCGCCTCCCAGTGATGTGACTAAGTGTCCCTGCATTCATGACAGCAGTAGGGAACTTTAGTGGCTGTTGCAGGGAGGACATGACAACCACTTCCTGGAGAATCTGTGGGGTGTCAGTGCACTAATTGGAGAGAAAGCGAGAGGCTCTAGGAATTGTCCTGGAGGGCTCTAGCCCCTGTTTACACAGAAGAGGAGCCAGTGTTTGTGACTGAAACCTCATGGCCTCTTCCTGGAAGGCTCTCCAGCCATCTCTAACTGAGCCCACCTGGTATGGACGTGTGGCCTGGGTACCCCAGCTGCTCCTGCTGCATTGAGAGGCTGAGCCTCCTTGAGGTTTGTATGTGGGGCCATCACACAACGCAGCGTCCCAGTGAGTGTCTTGCTAACAGTCGTATGTGCAGTATCTCCAGGCCCCACAGAAGTGATTGTGAGTATGTAATGATTAAAATTTTGACTGCATGTGTGTCTCCACTTTTGAATATGTGCAGAAAAATACTTTGAAGGATTGTCATTCTTTGCCTATGTTACAAACGTCTTGCCATAATCCATTTTTTTCTGGATTTCTCTCCTCAAAAATTGAATTTTAACTTCCCTCACCACAGAATGCATTATCTTGGAATACACAGTCATTTCTAATATGGTTTACTTCCTTAACAAGGAAAAGAGTATGTTGTCCTGCTGATTCAAATGCCCCTTTACTTTGATCATATCATGTCATGATTAGTTTAGAAATACATTTAGGGCATTATTTTAAGTGTCATCTTTGCAAGCTATATATTTTCTATACAATTACTACTAGAAGGTAGGAATGAGGTTCATTTTCATGTAATGACTACATTGTGTGAAAATGATGCATGTACTTATATATTGAAAACCATTTATTCTTTTCATGACAATTGAATACCAAAATTGTCATTTCTAAAACATTATTTAGTTGAAAAAGTTATCTCCACTCCCAGGTACAATAACATTGTGGTTAAAAGCCCTAAAGCAACTGCTGCCAAAGGTACAAAAAATACAAAATTTATGAAATTATAACATCAGAGAACAGTGGACAGAATAAGGCCTAGGTAATCTAAAATTCCAGGGTGAGGAAATCCTCTCTAATTGAGCTGATGCTTACCTGACTTTTTGTTCCCCTGCCATATTTGCCAGGTTGGCATTTGGACCCAAGTTCTGCTTTGGCACGGGCAGAGAAACTCATCTGTGAAAGGAGAATCTGGCTGTGCCTCTTTGGTTGCACAATGCAGCCTCAACTCACAGATAGTGTTCTCCATGGAACATTGGCTGTGGTTTGATGACATGTGCAGTCTTTGGGTGCTGGTCTAGAAAGACAGAAACTCCCCATACAGAGGATTCATGGAGTTTTTGTTGTTGATAAATTCTGCGCAGACCATTCATAATACATGTCTGAATCATGGATATATTGGTCATCATTGCCACTGCTCCCCAGTTGATGTAGACTCTATTGGGACTTCAGGTTAGCATGCCACTGCATGATTTGTGTTCTCAAACCCAACCATATGGCATCTGCTGGGTTATTTTAGTTTGACTGTGACTGAGTCACAGAACCTCAGGTCTATTTGCACAGGAACTTCAATAAACATTTGATGATTGCAGAACTAAAAGATCATTCTTGATGAACTACTTTTCCTTGAAACTTGCAGTGGTGCAGGCTCAACCCATGGAGCCAGGGAGTGATACTTTCTCCTCTGTGATTCTTCATAAGAAAGACATTTGGGCTCCTTTCTGAGTTTATATCACCAACCCCCAACAGTCACTGTCATCCACAACTGTACCTAATGTAAGTCAAAGAGCAGGTTATTGGGCCATAGTTGACCTCCACTATCTTCCATTAATTCTCCCATTCTTGAAGTCTGCCCACTGTCTTCAAACTCTTACATTTTGGGGAAAGAAATCGCATATCATTCTGTGTTATTTCAGTGTTCTATGAGGTAAATTCTATAACCTATGTCTTATAGTTTAAGTTTCTGTTTATGAAACTCAACTTCTGAAATTTCAAAAACTATCCTTTTCTGTCAGCAAGACACAATTGAAGTGAATAAAATAATTTTAGCATTCATATTTTCTATCTCTCACCAATTTACAAAAGTCCATTCTGAGGCTGAAATCCAAGATTTTCACTAATTGCCCTCATCCAGCTCCTCATGATGACAGCTTGTGCGGAAGGCTCTTTCCACCATCAATATGTGGTGGGAAGATAGGTGGTGAAAGAGAAAAATAAGAAGTTAGGAAAGTTGAAAAGTTCAATTTTTGGATATTACCACATATTATCCTCTTAAATGTAGACTTTAAACTTCTAAACCTCAAGATATATTCAAGAAGTGTTGCAACAAATCTGGGTTACTTGTCTGGTTATTTACCTCTTTAAGTCTTATTTCCCAATGCAGGCAAGGCAGGGAGGATTGGAATAGGATTTTCTTAAGCTCTCCCTCAGGGCAGTCTATTACCTGTGCAGGCACTGGGATCACCTCTGGTTTCCTATGGCTTATGCCATGCCAAGGCTGTTGCAGCTGACAGGGCTGTGAACGGGTTTTGCCTGACGTACAACTGAGGCACCCATGGGACAGAACCCTCAGATGCAACCTGTTGCCCTGAGTTCTCCAACATGTTTATCTCATACAGATAGAGATTCTGTTCAACTGCTCCCCAGAGAAACAACACACTTGAGCAGCTGGGCCACTCCAGCGGGAGGTTTTTGTTCAGAGCTGTACCACTGTGTGAGGAAATTGTGTAGCTTGCATGCAGTAATAAACCCCGACATCCTCAGCTTCCACCCTGCTGATTTTCAGTGTGAAATCTGTCCCTGCCCCACTGCCACTGAATCTGTCTGGGACCCCAGAGAACCGGTTAGAAATCTTATAAATTAGGAGTCTTGGAGGCTGGCCTGGCCTCTGCTGAAGCCAACTCAAGTAGGTGTTTCCATCACTGTGTACGAGGCTTTGACTAGACCTGCAGGAGATGGAGGCCGGCTGTCCAAGGGTGACAGGTGAGGAGAGTGGAGTCTGGGTCATCACAATATCCCCACTGGATCCTGAAATAATGAGAGAGAAGTGCAAGGTTATGTAGAAACTTTAAGCACAATTTTAAAATAATTTTTCTTCTGTTATTTATTTCAGGCTAAATCAATTTTTATAATTTGATTCAGACCCTAGTAATATATAATTTCAAAATAAAAACATATTTTCAAAGCACAGCAGAGTGCTTTGAGTGCTAGAAGTTTCCTCTACCATTCCCTCTTTCTCTGTTAGAGTCTTCACCGGAGCACTGGTCTTTGTTCCTTCTGGAATCTTCCTCATTCTTACAGATCTAAACCTCACATGCCTTACTCACGCAGATATAAAAGTTACAAGCCCCATCCTGGAGTACAAGACGTACACATCTAACATGAGGACAGAACACACATGGGAGGCAATGGGGCCCCCAGAGTTCACCCTCCCACCCCATTCTCCTCCCTCATCTCTCTTCTGTCCTCACCAGGGACCCAGAGCATTAGCAGCCCCAGAAGCTGAGCAAGGAGCCTCATTGTGAGAAGGTGACCTGAGGAGTCCTAATTAGTTAAGTCAAGGTTGGTGCTGAGCTTTTATCTCAGACTTGCAAGGGAAGGTCCTCCCTGGGGGACAATATGCAAATCCCCTGGTGGGTGCAGTGGTGTAGAAATAACATGATATGTGCAGGGGTATGGGGGCCTTTCCTATGAACAACATATTTTGTATGCTTGAGAAAAAACTGGCAGAAATAACAATCTATGCAGCCTGATTGGGACAGGATATATTTCTATGTTTACTGTGTTTACTGTCAATTTTTTTACTTCCTAGTATTTTCCCAGTGCTTATTACACTTCTCTTTAATACGGCTGAGTTTCTGTAAATATTTGGTGCTTCTTATTTTTTTCTTCATGTGTGTTGAAAGGGTCTTGGTTTGCTGTTAATTTTATAAATCAAAATAAATTGTGCCCTGAGTAAAGTGCAAACATGTTCGCTGCTCAGCCAAATAAAGTACTCACATTCACTACCCAGATACAAATATGAATGATTTGAAATTCTCCACATGCTGCCTTCATTCACCTTTCTAGTCAATAGCTTCTGCCTCTAACCTACCAAGGGAACTGCAACTCTGATATCTATCACAAAGATTCAGTTTTCGTGAACATCAACAACATATGAATTGAGGTAAGTATATTTATGAAGCTTTCATTTAATTTCATGGATTTAAATTACTGTTCATTGTCGTTTACTGTGATTCTGAATTCTGAAGGATTTCTTCTTGAGTTTCTTATAGGAGATATATGCTAGTCACGGCTTCTTTTCTTTTCTTTAAGGATAGTTTTGCTGAATATAAAATCATTTTAAACTGATTTTTCTAGTACTTCAAATAGCTTTAACATTAATGGTTAATCCACTATTATTAATGAAGTTACAATCTACATTTGAATTTCACTGAGCTTTCCACTGATACATGTATTTACCATTTTTACTTTTAATGTTTTAGGATAAAATTTCTGGATCCCATATTGCATTCAGTTTTCATGCTTTCTTAATTTCCTTCAATCTCTGACAGTTTTTTAGTCTTTGTTTTGAAATACCTTGAAACTTTTGATGTATGCTGGCTGGTTATTTTTCAGAATGTCCCTTAAGTTCTATTGTTTGGTATTTTCTATTGATTAAAGTCAGATTTTTCATTTTTGGCAAGAATATTACAGCAGGGATGTGTCTTCAGTACATCCTATCAAGAGTTACACAGTATCAACATGTCATCACTGGTGTTGATAAATGAATATTGCTAAGGAACCCTTTTTGTAAGAAAGTCTTGGTCAAAGGTAACCAAGGCAGCTGCTTTTGTCACTCTTCCTATATGGTTATGTGCTGACTTTGTTAGGAGTTGTCTAGTCCCATCTGCTATGGTTTAGATGTTTGTGATGTTCCAAACTTAATGTTGGAATTTAAAGCCTAAGTTGATATTAAAAGGTAGAGCCCCTTGGGAAGTGATTAAGTCATGGGCTCTGCCCTCAATAAATGGGATTAATGGCCTTATATAGAAGATTTCAGAGAGCTGCCTGGCCCTTCCATCTCTGTTGCCATGTGCAGACGCAAGATTCAATTTGTCTCCTTTGCCTTTTCTGGCTCCACCAGACAGCTTCACCGACACTGAATCTGTTAGCATCTTGATCCTAGAGTTCTGAACTCCAGAACTGTGAGAAATAAATATTTATTGTTTATAAATTTCCCAGTCTGTGAGTTTGTTATAGTTGCATGAAAGAACTCAGACACTATCTGATTCTCTTTCTACTTATTTATTTTTTTCAGAATTCAGTTCTACTTAAAGCCTGCTCTCCAATAGAGAATACTGATTAAATAAATTATGCTCACTCTTAAATGTCAAATATTTCCATCATGGCCATTCAACACTGGAATGTTGATGATGTGAAGGAAGGAAGAGAGGACTGGTGTCTATTAAAACATAGTGGTACCCACCAGTGGATGGATGTTCCTGAGTAATTTGGACAAATATATAGTCCTACACATCACTTAGAATATTTCAGAAACTAAATGGAAAAGTTTAGAATTGATTGAGCTACTTCTAAAGTGGGAGGTTGAGATGCTATTGGTGCCATACTAGGATGCACACAGTTGAGACATGATTTCCAAGAATCTGAAATCCTAGGGACTAAGTTGAAGAATATGTGGCTATATCAACATGGTACTTATTTCTCAAAATAGATATTTTTCTAAGTTTTTAATTCCTGCTGTGACTAATCAATGGGATTTTGTCTTTTGATTGTTGTGAAAGTAGATAACTTGTTTTGATTTCAGAGACTTATCAGTGGAAGGATATGAGTATCAGATGTGGCTTTGGACTTGGACTTGGGACTTTTGTGTTAAAATTAGAATAAGGTAAGACTTTGGGCAGATATTGAAAAGGAATTATTGTATTTTCAAATGTGAAAAGGACATGAGATTTGAGAGAGTCCAGGGGTAAAAGGATGTTGTCTGCATATTTGTTACTGCTCAAATATCATGTGGAATTGTAATCCCCAGTATTGCAAGTCAGGCCTGATGGGAGGTGACTGGATCATGGAGATAGATTTCTCATGAACAGTTTAGCACCATCTTCTTGGTGCTGTTCTCATGATAGCGAGTTCTCATGAGATCTGCTTATTTAAAAGCATATGGCAACTCCTTCTCTCTCTTCTGCTCTTTCTCTGGCCTTGTGATGGGCCTACTACCCCTTAGCCTTCCATCATAACTGTAAGCTTCCTGAGGCCTTCCCAGAAGCTGAGCAGATGCCAGCATCATGCTTCCTCCAAAGCCTGCAGAAATGTGAGCTGAGTAAAACTCTTTTCTTTATAAATCACCCAGTCTCAGTATTTCTTTGTAGCATTGCAAGAATGGCCTAATAGATTTGGTCTCTTTTTTTTTTTTTTCTTTTTTTGAGATGGAGTTTCGCTCTGTCACCAGGCTGGAGTGCAGTGGTGCAATCTTGGCTCACTGCAACCTCTGCCTCCTGGGTTCAAGTGATTCTCCTGCCTCAGCCTCCTGAGTAGCTGGAACTACAGGCATGTGCCACCATATCCAGCTAATTTTTCTATTTTTAGTAGAGACGGGGTTTCACCATGTTGGCCAGGATGGTCTCAATCTCTTGACCTCATGATCCACCCGCCTCTGCCTCCCAAAGTACTGAGATTGCAGACATGAGCCACTGAGCCCAATCTCTCCTTTTTTTTTTTTTTTTTAATGAGGACACTAATTGAATCAGATCAGAATCTCAACCTTATGGCCTCATTTGACTGTTAGTTTCTTAGCGATACCTCCAAATATACGCGCACATGGAGTTAGGGCTTCAACTGGTGAATTTTGAGGGGACACAAATATTCAGTTCATAAAAGCTTACCTTATTTTCTTGATTCATCAAATACTTGCTCTCTTGGCATATTTTGTGGTCACCTACGGAGGTGAGATGGATCTTTTCTAATTAGTAGATATTATGGTGAAGCTGTTGACACTCCATGTACAAGAGAATTTGGGAGAAATTTTCTAACTCACACAAGGGAATCTTGGGGAAAGCAGGATATGCACAAGCTGGTATAAGCTGGCTCGAGTTACACAGAGGGCTGAGTTTTTATAGTTGGACTGGAGATATGCTATCTTGCATTGCTGAGGATCTATGAGGTTTGACTGTCCTGCAGGCAGTTGCACAAATATGTGGTGGAAGGGAAAGTGGGAGGTGGTGATTGAAAGCTGTCACTGATCAAACATCAAAAATGGAGTCAGATGCTTATTACATAGCACTTATTCGAAGGTACATGGTACCTTAGAGTATCAGCTTTTTATATTTTGTCCAGCTTTTTATATCTGTTTTTAGCAGCTTGGCATGAAATAAATTTATCTGCTATTTAACATAGTGGGAGTTTTAGGGGAAAAAAATCATAATTTTGTAAATAACATCAAAGAAAACAGTATTTGGGGAAACACTGGATCTACATAATTAAGAGATGTAGCAAAATTATAATGATTATTAGTAATTATTTAGTGTTTAATACATTTGAAAGTTATAAACATTTTATAAGTATTCAATTACTTAATTATTATAATAGTTTTATGGTATAGTTACTTCTTTATTTTCCTTTATTAGAGATAAAAAAACAAGGTAAAAGTGTTTAAGTCATTTGCCAAATTTACACATATATTAAGTGTAAGAGACAAAATTCCAACCAATGATATGTGATTACAATCTGTGTGTTCTGTTATCACAGAAACTAATATTTCAAAATCTCTTTCACTGAGCTTTCTACATGATTTCATCAATTATGTATGAGTAACTTGAACAAGATAACACTGCTGGATCATTGCACTGCCTTTGCTCAGTTTTGTCACACGAGAGAGGCAAGATTTGATGTTGTTGACAGTAACAGTACCCTGCATCTTCAGGCTTCAGGCTGCTGATTGTGGGAACAAAATCTACCTCAGACTCGTGGTCACTCAACCATGCAGGGACACTAGGGTTCTGGATAGTGGCTTGCTTCCCTCAACCTTAGTCCAGAACTTGAAAATTGAGAACTCATGAACACAAGTAAGGGAACAATACACACTGGGGTCTACCTGAGGGTGGAGGGTGGAAGAAAGGAAAGGAGCAGAAAAGATAACTATTGGGCACTGGGAATAATACCTGGGTGACAAAGTAATCTGTACAAGGAACCCCCATGGCACAAGTTCAGTTATGTAACAAAACTTCACATATATCCCTGAACCTAAAACAAAAGTTAAAAAAATAAAAATAAATAAAACTGAGGTGGCACAATATTCTCATTGACATTTGAATTTTTTTGAAAAAATCACATAAGCACAAATGTCAGTGAGGTTAAACACATCCCACTCTATGAGCTTATCATGTTACTCAACACTGTGAGTGCTCCATGAGAAATCAAATGTCACAGACCAAAAAAGGTACTAAAGATTCAACTTACAATGAGAAGAAAGCAAATTTCACCATCATGTGGCACCTCCTCATAATCCTTTTCCTTATCTGGGATCAGGCAGCAGGAGACAGAAGAGTTGAGCTCCTTATGTCCATTATGTACATGGCTGAGGCAGACACCTGCCCTGAGCCAGGGAACAGCCCACTGATAACGGCTTTGATATGTAGCCAAATGCTCTATGGAAAGCACGCAAAGTCATCCCAGGCTGAGATATTTTGGAGCTTCTTGTTCCAGAACAGATTATTTCACAGCTGTCACACACACACGGATGATCCTTCCCCAGTGTCTTCAGTCTGTAGAGGGACTATGTGGAACCCCTCACTTAATAATACTCCAGATCACCACAACATTTCCTCAGTCCTCAGCTGCAGCTGGTCTTGTTCTGGTGATGACTAATGCGAGTGACCACAAGCATGTTATATGAACCTTATAAGACCATGGTCATCATAAATAATAATCACTGATACAGCTATTAATTCAAGTGGCTTGAATACAGAGTCATTTTCTTGGTATGAACCTAACCTGGGAATGTTCCATACAAAATGGATCAAGATTATAAGGTCAGTTACCATACTAACAGAATTTGGGGATTTAGAGTTGAGGGAAACAAAGTAAAAGAAGAATGTGGAGAATTTTATACAAAAGCCATACTGACTATAACTGAAAATAAAAAATCCATGCCTTACAGTGTAAATTCAAGAAAAAAATTCACAATAAAGTGAAAACGGCAAAGAATTAATGAAGAAAGTTTACATTAAACTGCCTCAAAGGATAATGAGAGTTTTGATCAACATAGAAGACACTGCTAAAAACTCATTATTTGTTGTTTGATTGGATGAAGTTGCTTGAAGGGATGAAAAGTACAGTTTGAGTGAACTCCCATTCACAATTGCTACAAAGAGAATAAAATACCTAGGAATCCAGCTTACAAGGGACGTGAAGGACCTCTTCAAGGAGAACTACAAACCACTGCTCAATGAAATAAAAGAGGATAGAAACAAATGGAAGAACATTCCATGCTCATGGGTAGGAAGAATCAATATCGTGAAAATGGCCATACTGCCCAAGGTAATTTATAGATTCAATGTCATCCCCATCAAGCTACCAATGACTTTCTTCACAGAATTAGAAAAAACTACTTTAAAGTTCATGTGGAACCAAAAAAGAGCCCGCATTGCCAAGTCAATCCTAAGCCAAAAGAACAAAGCTGGAGGCATCACACTACCTGACTTCAAACTATACTACAAGGCTACAGTAACCAAAACAGCATGGTACTGGTACCAAAACAGAGATATAAACCAATGGAACAGAACAGAGGCCTCAGAAATAATGCCAGATATCTACAACCATCAGATCTTTGACAAACCTGACAAAAACAAATGGGGAAAGGATTCCCTATTTAATAAATGGTGCTGGGAAAACTGGCTAGCCATATGTAGAAAGCTGAAACTGGATCCCTTTCTTACACCTTATACAAAAATTAATTCAAGATGGATTAAAGACTTAAATGTTAGACCTAAAACCATGAAAACCCTAGAAGAAAACCTAGGCAATACCATTCAGGACATAGGCATGGGCAAGGACTTCATGTCTAAAACAACAAAAGCAATGACAACAAAAGCCAAAATTGACAAATGGGATCTAATTAAACTAAGGAGCTTCTGCACAGCAAAAGAAACTACCATCAGAGTGAACAGGCAACATACAGAATGGGAGAAAATTTTTGCAACCTACTCATCTGACAAAGGGCTAATATCCAGAATCTACAATGAACTCAAACAAATTTAAAAGAAAAAAACAAACAACCCCATCAAAAAGTGGGCAAAGGATATGCACAGACACTCCTCAAAAGAAGACATTTATGCAGCCAACAGACACATGAAAAAATGCTCATCATCACTGGCCATCAGAGAAATGCAAATCAAAACCACAATGAGGTAGCATCTCACACCAGTTAGAATGACAATCATTAAAAAATCAGGAGACAACAGGTGCTGGAGAGGATGTGGAGAAATAGGAACACTTTTACACTGTTGGTGGGACTGTAAACTAATTCAACAATTGTGGAAGTCAGTGTGGTGATTCCTCAGGGATCTAGAACTAGAAATACCATTTGACCCAGCCATCCCATTACTGGGTATATACCCAAATGACTATAAATCATGCTGCTATAAAGACACATGCACACGTATATTTATTGTGGCACTATTCACAATAGCAAAGACTTGGAACCAATCCAAATGTCCAACAATGATAGACTGGATTAAGAAAATGTGGCACATATACACCATGGAATACTATGCATCCATAAAAAAGGATGAGTTCATGTCCTTTGTAGGGACATGGATGAAGCTGGAAACTATCATTCTCAGCAAACTATCACAAGGACAAAAAACCAAACACTGCATGTTCTCACTCATATGTGGGAATTGAACAATGAGAACACATGGACACAAGAAGGGGAACATCACACACCGGGGCCTGTTGTGGGGTGGGGGCAGGGGGGAGGGATAGCATTAGGAGATATACCTAATGCTAAACGGCAAGTTAATGAGTGCAGCACACCAACATGGCACATGTATACATATGTAACAAACCTGCACGTTGTGTACATGTACCCCAAAACTTAAAGTATAATAAAAAAAAGAATTATACACTTAAAAAACAAAAAAGAAAGAAATAATTTATCCTATAGGATTTCCCACATTTAGGGTTTGCCTGACTGTATCCTCATGATTTCACTGAGTTTTAAATAATAATTACATTGTTTCCAAGGCAAAAAAAAAAAAAAAAAAGAAAAGTACAGTTTGAGGGAAAAAAACATTTAAAAAACACAGACGTTTGAAGCAGGAAGCCCTGAAAGGAAGCTGTGGCTTTATGCTCTGTGGAATTTTGACTGCTGAGTGCCTTCTTCCTGAAAGGGAGTATCTACAGCATTGTCTGTCAAGTATGTGCATCCTAGTCCTGTCTCATCATTGTTCACAAGTCTTGAGTGGGATAGGGGGACAGGTGATATTTAGGAACTATGGGCAAAGAGGCTCAACTGCACAGAGTCTGATCTAGATGAGGAGATCTTGAACTTTAACTTACCACCATCATGGGAAATGCTTGTAGATGTTGCAGATGAAAATTAGTATATGTTGCATACAGTAAAAATGTAGATTGATTTAAACAAGCGTAGAGAGTTGCCAGCTGGATACTCCAAGATGGTCACAAGATCTTCCATCTTATTAGTTCCTCTAATAGTGTGATGTTGATAATTTCCCTATTGGACATATTAGCATACTTTTCCCCCTTTGGAATCTTAGTGAACCTATAATTGTCATAGAAGTAACACTATGTGTCTTCTGAGGCTATAGTAAGTCATAAGAGGTTATAAAACATCTGTCTGGTACTCTTCGAGGAAGTGTACAAGAAGCCAAGCAGGAGCATGTAGAGATTCACAGCCTCAGCTGAGGACTCATCCTATAGCCTGAATTGGCCACCTTTTATATGACTCCATCCCCAGCTGCTATCTGACTACATCCATGTAAGAAATCCCGAGCAGAAATCTTGGTCAGCCCAGGAGACACCTAACAACTACAAAGATAATAGTATAATGATGTCAATTGTAATGTGTCATTAAGTTTTGGGTGATTTGTTCTGAATCAGTAGTAACTAGCTGCCAACTCATAAATATAGAAAGAATTTGGAAGTAGAAAGTCATCTATGGTTACTAAATGAATTTGGGTAACGTATACATTGGAGTTCTTATATTACTTTGGCAATTTTTCTTTAAGTTTAACAATATGCCCAAATAAAAAGTCACATAAAATATGTTCAACAAATCAAAACCACTATGAGATACCATCTCACACCAGTTAGAATGGCAATCATTAAAAAGTCAGGAAACAACAGGTGCTGGAGAGGATGTGGAGAAATAGGAACACTTTTACACTGTTCGTGGAACTGTAAACTAGTTCAACCATTGAGGAAGTCAGTGGGGCGATTCCTCAGGGATCTAGAATTAGAAATAGCATTTGACCCAGCCATCCCATTACTGGGTATATACCCAAATGACTATAAATCATGCTGCTATAAAGACACATGCACACGTATGTTTATTGCAGCATTATTCACAATAGCAAAGACTTGGAACCAACCCAAATGTCCAACAATGATAGAATGGATTAGGAAAATATGGCACATATACACCATGGAATACTATGCAGCCATAAAAAATGATGAGTTCATGTCCTTTGTAGGGACATGGATGAAATTTGAAATCATCATTCTCAGTAAACTATTGCAAGAACAAAAAACCAAACACCACATATTCTCACTCATAGGTGGGAATTGAACAATGAGATCAGATGGACACAGGAAGGGGAATATCACACTCTGGGGACTGTGGTGGGGTGGGGGGAGGGGGGAGGGATAGCATTGGGAGATATACCTAATGCTAGATGACGAGTTAGTGGGTGCTGCGCACCAGCATGGCACATGTATACATATGTAACTAACCTGCACAATGTGCACATGTACCCTAAAACTTAAAGTATAATAAAAAATAAAAAAATAAAAATAATAAAAATAAAACATAAAAAAAATGTTCAACAAAACCAAACAGAAATGTACAAAATGCAGTTGGATAAAAATAAAGAAAACTCCAATAAATGGAAGGTTGCACCATGCTCATGAATTGGGAGACTTAATAGTGTATATTCTCCCTAAATTTGTTGAAAACGTTCACAATAAAAAATCTCAGGGAATTGTTGTTGCAATTGAAAAGACATTACTTAAATATATATGAACATTCAAAATGCAAAAAGTAATCAAGACAGTCTTGCTAAGATAAAAAATGTTGGAGGACTAATAGTACACAATACCAAAGCCTGTAAGTTACAGTAATTAAAATATATGGTATCAGTGAAGTGTCAAACAAATTAGCCAGTTCAATCAGTTTGAGAATCCAGAAACTGATCCACCCATCCGTAGTCATTTGATTTACAATAAAAGTGCTACTTCAAAGTAGTAGAAGTAAAATAAATTAATCATACTGGATCAATTCAGTATCTGTATTATATGAAAATGAATCTTAATTCTATACCATATACAAATGTTAATCATCAATAAATTTTAAATATAAATATGAAAGGCCCAAGAGTAAATCCTCTACAAAAGGGTATAGAAATATATTTCATGACCCTAGAGATAAAAAAATAATTCTTAGAGAAAATAAACAAAATATCTAGCATAAAGAAATTAATAACTTAGACTTCACTAGTATGACATCCTTTTTATAATGTCTAAAAGAAATAAACAACTTTTTAAAGGAATACATATAGAAGAAATAAACTACATTGATAAAGAATATTGAATTGAAAATTTTGATTAACTTGGTGGTGGGAAATAATATGTTTAAGAGATTGTGGAGAACCTCAAAATGGATACCAGTTGATATCTTAAGTGGTTGTTTTGCAGGATAGTAACATGAATTTATTATATTACTAATATTAATGAATGCATTAGTGAGTGCTAAAAATATGAATAAATAAATAAGAACCATAATGGATTAATAATAAAAGTGCATTATGGACCAACATTATAATTGTGTTATTAACCATCATTGATTATTATTCCTTGCAATCAGTTAATAAAGTTGAGGCCCATTAAAAAAGATAATAGAAAAAGAAAAATGAAAGGGAAGAAGGAGGAATTGAAAGGAGGACAAGAAGATGTTGTAAAAAAAATAAATTAACGAGAAAAGTTAAGTAAAAAAAAAAACTCTTGCGGACTCCAGAACATTTCTACATTATGTTTTGCATAATCAATAAAATAAAGAAAAACATATAACCTAGGATGAAAAATAGCACAAAATATGTAATTATCGAAAATGTAAGCATAGTTCCTTAAACTCTGTTGCAATATAAGAAAAATAAAACAAACTGCATCATTAAAAACAAAACCCAATATTCAAGACAATATAGCAGAATTGGCACTGCAATTGATCAAAACAGTGATATGGAAGGCAAACTAGAGTAGCACTTTTGTTTTTCAAAGGAGAGAATCATGACATTAGATAATAAAGAGAGAGCTTAGACAGAAAAACAGAGTAGAAAGTTAAACCTGAGAATTAAACATTTTCCTAAGGAAGAAATGAGTCCTTAGAAAAGAATCAGTAAGAAGAAATGTAATCTGAAATAAAATTTCCATGTCTGTTAACTACTAATGAGTGTAAATTCAGTGGAGTCACACAATTGTATTCAAACATTTATAAAATGAGAAAACACAAATATTTCATAATAAAATACAAATTCAAAGAATGTAAGGGTTATTTTTTTCAAAGATAAATGTCAGGCTTTCTTCAGAGTCCTGGCCTGCAAAATGAACTCCCAGTAATCAATGTAATTATATTTGAAAATGTGCAAAGTTTTTATAAAAGAAATTATACTGCATGCATTTTCTATTGAACTAGGGAAATAAAATATGAAGAAAATTTTTAATTTGAAACAAGTAAATTATGATATGCATAAGGATTTATGAAACTAGAAACCCTTGAAAAATGTATTACAGCTGATAAAGAGATGAAGTAAAGTCGGTTGCTCAAGAAGAGGAAGCTGTGGTTTGTGATTGTAAAAGAATGTTGGTGAGGATAAAAATCAACAAAACCTATAAGTTAATCTAACTAAGTTAAAAATGTGTTGATAAATGCAAAGTCATTCCATAGGAAAAATTCCTCAAATATAAGGCATATAATGCAATGCAATTTAACTGTAATAATCTGACTATAACAATGACAATATTACTCATGCAAAATTAGGAATCATAATTGAAGGGCAATAACAAGTTTTACCATCATACTGGTTTAATAGATGATAAAATTTAATAACCAGTATTTTCCTTGACTTCAAAATTTAAAATTATAGATTTATATAGGCATAACAAAAAGTAAATATGACATATATGCTTATATTTTGTTCTTTCAGTTTATTCCCATTCTATCTTGTTTAGGATTCACTCACGGTGGTCATTTATTAATTTTTTTTAAATAAAACATCTAACCTTTCGAGATCATTCTACTCTATATAAGGAATTACAACAACTGACACAAAAAGTTAATTAGTGAGAGAGAGAGATGTCAGTGCTCAGTCCTTTTATGTCAGGCACTAGTCCAGAGCACAAGATCCTAAGGACAGACACACTACCTAAAGAACAAGGCATTCTGCTTAAATGTTACCTCCTTCCTACAGGAAATTTTCATTTCACTTTCCTCAGCTCCCCGTCTTTCATTCTGATTAGCTCTCCTTAGTTTGTGTCTTGAACCAGTTCTTCCTTGTCTGAAGGAACTTTTCCACTTCCTGAGTCCATTCCCAACTCTAAACACCATTGCGAGTGAGTACCATCCACCAAGTAGTAAAAACATGTAACCAGGTTTGGGAAGACTAGGAAAAATTTAAAAACTATTTAATGGGCATCTCTAAGCTACCTTGGATTTATTTTCTTACATCTGGATATATTCTAGTTCTTCTAAACGCCTCCTCACTCAGAGGTTTTTTCTTCTCATTGCATAGGTTGGCAATAAAATAGAATCTTTGCACTGCTGGTGGAAATGAAAAATGGTGCAGCAGGTTTGGAAAACAGTCTGCAATTCAAGTGGTTAAACATAGAGTTACCATATGATCCAGGAAGCTCTTAAGTGTGGACCCAAGAAAAAGGAAAACATATATCTACACAAAAACTTGTACTTCAATGTTCTTAGCAAGTTACTGGCACATCTTTAGAATTATTTAGCAACAACTTTGTCCTAAAAAGGGGTCACCAGAATTCTAAGTGATGCTCTTCAACTAGCTGGATCATCTTGAATAATTCCTATCAACAAATCTATCTGGGTTTTAGTCATCTCATCTTTACTGAAGGATAGAGCAAGTATAATTTTGTGTATGTTTTTATTTCACTTTTTATAGTGTAAAATTACCAGTGTCTTCAGTGAATAAATAAAAGTGAAAAACACATTGAAGCAAATTGTTCTGATTCTACAAATACTGACTTAATTGGATTCGTACATTTAGGGTAAATAGGAACCATCATTAAAATGCAATACATTTTGAGTAGCTTAGAATTTTGATGCTTTCCAGGACAAAAAAATAAAAGAGGTTATAGTGACTCATGTGTTCCTGATGACACTAACAGTGTGGTAACCTTGTAAACCCTGGGCTTCCTTACATTTGGTGCCCTGGTTCCATAGATGGAATGTGAAAATGAATACAGATTATAATTAAATACAATTTGATTAGACAAGGAAAGAAGTTAGGATGCATTGATTGGTGCAAATAACATTATGCTTCATAACTTTTTTAAAATAAACTTTTGATAAGATAAAACTTACCCATACATGTATATTCACAAATCTCAACATGTGTATATGCACTCACAAATTATAATGCAGGTTTTAATAAATTTTTCAGAGATTGAACACACTGTATAACAACCGTACCAAAGCAGAACACTCCCGGTCTCCTAGAAGCACCTTCTGTCTCCTCCCAAACATTAGCCCCACTCTTCTCCAATGCAAATTTAAATCTCACTTTCAGTAACATTGATTTAGTGATGGCGGTTTTTGAACTATATAAAAAGGAATCATGGATAGTGAGCTTTTTATTTCTAACGTCTTTTGCGCATTATTATGCTAGTAAGATACACCCACATTCATGGATGTAGTAGCAGCTTTTATATTTTCATTCATCCATAGTATTTAATTGTATGCACCTACCTCATTTTATTTATTCAAATTACTCTAGATTTGTATTTAGAATGTTCCCAGTTTGGGGCTATCACTAATAATGCTATGAGTGTTATTTATTTATTTATTTATTTATTTATTTATTTATTTATTTATTTTTGAGATGTAGTCTCACCCTGTCACCCAGGCTGGAGTGCAGTGGCATGATCTCGGCTCACTGCAACCTTCACCTCCCGGGTTCAAGCGATTCTTCTGCCTCAGCCTCCCTAGTAGCTGGGAATATAGGCGTCCGCCACCACGCCCAGCTAATTTTTGTATTTTTAGTAGAGACAGGGTTTCACCATATTGGCCAGGCTGGGCTCGAACTCCTGACCTTGTGATCTGCCTGCTTCAGCCTCCCAAAGTGCTGGGATTACAGGCTTGAGCCACTGCGCCCGGCCGAGTGTTATTGCACATTTCTTTCTGTGCACATCTGTACACATTTCTGAGTGGAAGGGCTGGATTAAAAAGGGATTATATATTCAGTGTCAGTTCTCCAACTTGTGGTACCACTTTATATTCCCAAACACAATGTGTGGCCCTTCTAGTTCCCCCTTTCCGTCACTGTATTTGGCATTGTCCCTTTGAGTCATCCTATTGAAGTTTTAGTGGCAGACAGTTGTGATTTTCATTTGTAGGACTGGGATGATTATTGATGTTGGACAGCTTTTTATTGTGTTCACTCTGTTGTGCAGTGTCACCTTTGTCCCTAAAAAGTGTCACTATATGTGTTAGTCATTCTCAGAATACTCTCTTCTGTTGCATTAGGCAATTTGTTTGAACTCACATCAGCAGCATGGTTCGAGTATCCAAGTAGTGTAAGTCCTCATTCTTGGGCTTCTTCGGGTTTATTGTGGTTATTCAAACTCCTTAACAATGTAATATGATATGTAGAATCAGCTTTTACATTTCCATTTAAAAACGGTTTGAAATTTTGATTTCGATTATCTTTAATATATCAATCTGTGAAGAATGAACATCTTTACAATACTGGGACTTTCAACCTTTGAAAGTACTGTGGCCTTCCATTTGCTTAGATTTTCTTTGATTTCTTTGAATTATATTCTGGAGCTGTCAGTATATTTTGTTAGTTTTTTCTAATGCCTCTTGGTTTGGTGCTACTATAAATGATGTGTTTCATAATTTTAATTTTAGCAGTTGTTACATTTATATAAAAATAAATATATTTTATATTGATCTTTAATCTAACAATTTGCTATGTATCTCATTAATTCTAATAATTTCTGTGTAGACAATTAGAAATTTCTCCCCCACACAGTCCTTTCATCAGTGAATTGTTATACCTTTAATTCTGCCTTTCTAATTCTTCTTCTTTATCATTGTCGCTGCTACTTTATCGCACTGGCCAGGACCTTTAGAGGCGTCCACTCATGTGAGTCTGATCCAATGGCCTTGACCATGAAATTGTGCCTGAACCTGGCTGTACATTTGGGTCTGAGAAAAAAATCCATGAGTGAAACTATAAATATTATAAGGAATTACTTTTGAGAACCTCAGAATTTCCAATCAAAGCAGAGATGCTAAAACTGAGCAGCACCACATCAGATGACTAAAAAGGAAGCAGGTAGTATAATCAAATAAACACCTTAGGTCTCCTGGAGGTTTTTGTTGCATGTCGAATCAGTATGGGACACCAACTACTATGCTGATAACAGTGATGAAGTGCAAATCTCCAGGCTCCAGGCTCCAGGCTGCCGATGGTGAGAGTAAGCCCTGTCCCCGACCCACTATCACAAATCAGGGCTGTACCATAGATGAGGAGCCTGGGAACCCGCTCAGGTTTCTTCTGGTACCAGGCTTAGTAGCTGCTAACACTGACTGGCCCTGCAAGTCAGGGTGGCTTTTTTCTCCAGAGACAAAGACAGGGAAGCTGGAGACTGTGTCATCACTGTTTCTACAGTGAAATCTGAGATTAGAAATAAAACGCCTTACAGTCTTTAGGATGGCTATTATAAAAAAGACAAGAGATAAATATTGATGAGGGTGTGAAGAAAATAAAACACTTGTACATTGTTGGTGGGAATGATGATTGGTGCACCCATTATGGAAAACAGTATGGAGGTTCCTAAAGAAATTCAAAACCTAACCACCTTATAACCCAACAGTGACCCTATTTTGGATACATACCCAGAAGAGATGAAATCACCACCTTCTTTTAAAGATACCTACACTCCCGTGTTTATTGCAGCATTATTCACAAGAAATGAGAAAAACCTGAGCATCCGTGGACAAATAAATGAATAAAGAAAATGTGGTATACATAAATGTACACACACACACACACACACACACACACACACACACACCATGGAATATAATTCAGCCTTAAACAAGAAGATTCTTTTTTATTATTATTATTATTTTTATTTTAGAGAAGTCTCACTCTTGTTGCCCAGGCTGGAGTGCAATGATGCTATCTCAGCTCACTGCAACCTCCTCCTCCCGGGTTCAAGCGATTCTCCTGCCTCAGCTTCCTGAGTAGTTGGGATTACAGGCCCATGCCAACACGCCCAGCTAATTTTCTTTTGTATTTTTTGTATTTTTAGTAGAGACAGGGTTTTGCCATGTTGGCCAGGCTGGTATTCAACTCCTGATGTCAGGTGATGCACCCGCCTAGTGCTGGGATTACAGGCATGAGCCACCACACCCAGCAGAAAAAGAAGATTCTTCTATTTGCCGTAATGTGGATGGACCTAGAGGACAGTATTCCAAGTGAAAAAAGCAAGATACAGAAATAAAAATATTGCCTGATTTTACTTACATGTAAACCTAAAAATAAATTAAATAACTAAAAAGATAAATTATGCAGAAATAGAGAATGAAACAGTCGTTATTAAGGGCCGGGGGTGGAATGGGAAGAAATGGGAAGATGTAGGTCCAAAGATGCAAGGTAGTAAATATTTACGAATAGCAAGTATAGAGATCTACTGTAGAAAATGAGGGCTATAGTTAATAAAACTGTACTGTATTAGAGATTTTTGTTAAATAAGTAGATTCCAGCTGCTCTTGTCACAGACGAAAAAGTAACTATGTGAGATGATAAATGTTCATTCTCTTCACTATAGTAAGCATTTTACTATCTATATGTATGCCACAACATCATATTGCAAACCTAAAATATACAGAATAAAATTTATTTTTTGAAAAAACAGTTTAAACAGAAAAACAAATAATCACACATGTAATCTAGATTATACCCATTGTCTTTCCAATAGAGTCAAGACCATTGATTTACATTGAGCTTTAATTATTGTGCTTGCTGAGCGGAAATGCCAGGTTGAAGGACCCAACAAAGTTGAGAGAGTTTTCACTGACACACAGAACCCCCCACGCCCCCCCGCATATTCCCCTCACCTGGGACCCAGAGTAACATAAAGAAATGGTAAATACATGAGCTGATGCACATCCTAAATATCCTGATTTGATCATTTTTCAACATATGTACATATCAAGACATCAAAGTGTACTCCATAAATATGTACAATTACAATGTGCCAATAAAAACAAATAAAATGCAAAGTTACCTATTAGTGACATTAGAAAGTAATGGAAGAAATGAGGACTAGGTGATCTAAAATTCTAGAGTAAAAAAACAACTAATTCTAGTTGAGTTGGTGTTCATCTGACATTTTGTTTTTCTGCCCTTTTTTTTTTTTTTTTTACCAAATGTGCGTTCGGATAGAAATTTTGATTTGGCACAGACAGAGAAACCCAGCAAGAAGAGAGAACATAACTGAGCTTTGAAGGTTGCACAGGGCAATTTCTGTGCAACCATAGCCAGATTTTTCATGTGGCATTTGCTGAGTTCTGAGTCAGGAGACAGGCTGCGGGAGCTTGGGTAGGAAGGCAGAAATCTCCAACACTCAGGATGTTTTTTCCTCCAGTGCTGTGCAAATCATCCTTTGTATATGTCTGAACCATGGACATTGATCACTATCCCTTTCTGCTGGGCCTTTTGGTTAACACGTCATTGCATGTTCATCTCCACAAACCTGACCACATCATCTCTGCTATAGGGGCAGAATGAGTTCTAGAAGATCTCTTCATGCTGAGTTGAATGGGATTGAGTCTCTTTGCACGGGAACTTCACTAAACCTTTGATGATTACAAACCTAAACAGCTTTTCTCGCCATTTTCCCATGAAACTTGCAGTGGCACAGGCTCAACTCAGGAAGCCAGGCAGTGGTCTCTTCAACTCTGTGACTCTTCACAAGAAATACCTCGGGACTTGATTTTAGGTTTATGTCATCAACTTGCAACACCCACTGGCATCTGAAGTTCACCAAATGTAAGTTAAAATGCAGGAGGATTGTCTAATACGGTAGACACAGTAGCTCATATCTACTGTGTTCCTTGTGTGTTCCCATTCCTGAAGTACCCTCGAAGTCTAAAACTGTTATCATTCTCTATTCTTCTAGCAATATATAGGGTGAATTCTATGCCCTGTATATTCCAGTGTATGCTTTTATTTTTAAAACCCAACTTTTGGAATTTCAAGAATTCCTTTTATGATCTATCAGTAAGAAGTAATCAAGGCAAATCAAAGAGTTTTAGCATTTGGATCTTGTATCTGACATTAATTTACAAAAGTCTATTTAGGCACTCAAAAACCAAGATTTTTGCTAATTGCCCCCAACCAGCTACCCGTATAAATGGGGAGCCACATTTTACAACTAGTGTAAAATGTTGTCTACAGTATCTTTATTACATAGGAAGAGAAGCAATAAGTAAGGAAAGTAGAAAGCTTGGAAGGTGGAAAATACCAATTTCTAAATATGACCAAATAATTATCCTATTAAAATATACAAAAATGGATGAAATACATACAAATGAGGAGGCACTCAGCATGTGTTGCCAACATTTGTATCAATTGCCTGGCACTTATGCTGATTAACTACAATTGAGAAATGTAAGAAAGGAGGATTCGAATGAGCTTTTATTCAGTTGCATCATGAATCAGCATCAGCTCCATGGGACCTTCCCCATTCTCCTACTGCTTTTGCCATGTCAAGGCTTTTGCAGCTGCACAAATGAGTAGTTCCTGAGATGTAACCAAGGAATTCATGAGACCAATCTACTCCTCTGAGTTGTCCAACATTTTCCTCATGCACAGACTCAGAGAACTTGCTGTGCTGCTCCCCAGACAAACATCACATGTGAGCAGCTGGGCCACTTCAAGCAGAGAGGTTTGTGCTCAGGGCTGTAGCACTGTGGGAGGATCTTGTGCATCTTGCATGCAGTAATAAACTCCAACATCCTCAGCCTCCACCCGGCTGATTTTCAGTGTGAAATCTGTCCCTGACCCGCTGCCACTGAACCTATCTGGCACTCCAGAGAACCGGTTGGAAACTTCATAGATCAGGAGCTGTGGAGACTGGCCTGGCTTTCTGCAGAAACCAATACAAATAGGTGTATCCATCACTATGCAGGAGGCTCTGACTAGACCTGCAGGACATGGAGGCCTGCTCTCCAGGGGTGATAGACAAGGAGAGTGGAGTCTGGGTCATCACAATCTCTGCACTGGATCCTAAAATAAATAGAAAGAAGTGGAAGGATATGTACAAATATCATGTGTCATTTATCATAAATTTTCATTTTTTATTTCAGGCTATATAATTTTTTGTTGTTTGTATTTATACACTAAACATATTCCAAATTTGCAAGCCGCAAAGGGGATTCTAGAAATCACCTACACCACCTCCCTTTCTCTGTGTGACAATCTTCACCAGATCACACAGGTCCTTGCTTCTTTTTGAATTGTCCTCACTCTCACAGATTTAAACCTCACATTCCCCATCCTGGAGAACAAGACCTGTACATCTAACACATGGGCAGGGCAGAACACACATGGAAGGCAGTGGGACCCCCAGGCTTACCTTCCCACCCCATTCTCCTCCCTCATCTCCTTCTGTCCTTACCAGGGACCCAGAGCATTAGCAGCCCCAAGAGCTGAGCAGGGAGCCTCATAGTGAGAAGGTGAACTGAGGAGTCCTGATCAGTCAAGGTAAGGGTTAGAGCTGAGCTTTTATCTCAGACCCACAAGGGAAGGTCCTCCCTAGAGGACAATATGCAAATCCCCCGGTGGGTGCAGTGATGCTAAGCGCAACAACAGGAGGATGAGGGCTTCTCTTGTGGGCAAGGGGACATAAAATATCCTGCGTGTTTCAAGGAAAACTAACCAAGATAAAATCTGTGTTGCTTCAGTTGGAGAAGAGACATATTATAATATTTCCTTTTCTTTCCACCTGTTTTTCAACAGTTCTTTAGCACTTTTCCAGGCACATTTTGCACTTGTCTTTAATAAAGTTGAGTTTCCATAAATATTGGCTGATTCTTTTTTCTTGCCTCCAATTTTCTTTAAAAGAATCTAGGCTTGGCTTTTCTATTTTTTTTTCATTGAAATAAACCACATATAAAGGGCAGAAATCCTAAATGTGGAATGAATAAAGTTTTATGTATATTCACTATCCAGCTGAAACTATAGAATGTTTCAAAATTTCTGGATGATTCTCTCGTACACCTTCCCATTCAATAACTGCCTCCCCATCCCAACCAAAGTAACTGTCTTTCTGACATCTACCACGATAGTTTGTTTGTACTTGGTAGTGAATATCATAGAAATTGAAGTAAACTTTTTTTTATCATTGTGTCTATTTTTTTCCCAGTTCTTTACTATTTCGAGGCCTTTATTTCTGCTTGTGGATTCAAATTACTGTCCTCTATAATTTCATGTGATTCTGAACAATGTTTTCTTAAATTGATTTCAGATAATTTATTGAATGTCTACAAGTAATAATTTCTTTTCATTTGTGTTTATCAAGGTAAGGACTAAGCTCTGATTTTTTTTTTCCTTGTCTCAGTTCCTATCTAAGGAGTCTGGGGAGTCATGCCCTACAAACTATAAATTCTCATCAGATGGGTTTTATTTAACCCTACATATCCCTGGACTTACTTTCCAACCTGACTGTGGTGTAACATTATGCAACAAGGCAGAAAATTAAAATATTTTACCCCAAAACATGTTTCTTTGCCCTATCTTGAAATGGCCTTGCAAAGCTGTCCTTTGTGGGGAAAAATTTGCATCTGTAAAGAATCTCTATTAACATAGCTAGATCTTTTTCTTCCAGGCTCTCCCAATCTTAAAGAAGAGTGTAGCACATTTTAAAGATCTGAATAGGAAATATTTGTAATCTATCGTCTCTAAAGGCAGCCACTATATGACTTCAAAAGAACCTTGGTCTTCCACAGTCTTTTATCTTAACCTGAACATTTATTTTCTATTGATCCCAGGTCTTTAGACAAACTCAACCAATTGTCAACAAGGAAATGCTAGTTAGAGCCTGGACCCTCCCCCGCTTCCCCACTCCCGATCCTCACCCCTGCTTTGAGTTGTCCCGCCTTTCTGGATCAAACCAATGTATTTCTTAAATGTGTTTGATTGACGTCTCATGCCTCTCTAAAATGTATAAAACCAAGCTGCGCCCCAACCACCTTGGGTACATGTTCTCAGGACCTCCTGAGGGTTGTGTTGGGGGCCACGGTCACTCATTTGGCTCAGAATAAATCTCTTCAAATATTTTAGAGAGTTTGACTCTTTATCGACAAAGAAATATGTTTAGTTTGCTTTATTGTTAAAGTATACTTTTGCTGTATATAGAATTTTGGGTTGATTTTTTTCTTTCAGCATTTGAGTATGCCATTCCACCGTCTTCTCGTCTCCATTAGAAATAATGGACCCTTATTCAGTGTCTACATTATTGTATCTTTGTACATAGTGGTTTTTTTTCTCTTGAAGATTTTCCCTTTGTAACTGTATTTCAGCATTTTAATTACAATATGTGTAGTTATGAATCTTTTTTGCTTCCCCTGGATGTGTTTCATCACATTTCTTGGATCTATATAGTAATGTATTTCAATACATTTGAAAAGATGTTCCCATTATTTTTCATATACTTTTTCAGCTCCTTTCTCTCTCCCTTCTCCTTTGTGACTCCCATCCACATTTGTTGGTGTTCTTCACACTGACCTATACATCTCTGAGGTCTTGCTTGGCTGCTTACATCTTTATTCTTTGGAACAGATTATTTCTATTGGTTGATCTTCAAGTTCACTGATTCTTCTGACACTGTCAACTATTGTGGTACCTATCTAAATTTTCAATTGAGTTATTCTACTTTTCAGTTTTAAAATTCTCTTTTGATATTTTTTTGTCTTCATAACTTCCACTGTTATATTGAAAGTCGCTATTTTGAAACCACCTTTGCAAAAATTTTAATAGTAGGAAAATTATGGCAGTAAAAGAGATCTGATCTAACCCACCTCCCCATCTTGCATTTTCCTTAATTATTCCTGGGCTTTTGGGCAGAGCTAACTTTGGAAGCCATTTAGGTTATAGTTTAAATGATGATATGGGTTACCCAAAACTCAGCTACCTTTGTAAAGATCATGAAAGGCCATCAAATAGTGGGAAAAGAGGAGCCTGATTCTGCTAAGGTGTGGACTGGTCACCAGATACTCCTGCAGATAACACCACTATTGTAGATTGGCCTTTTAAGATATATTTTCAAGTATTGTTGCATATCTGACAGCAATGGCTCCACCTGGACCTGCTAACCCACATCCTGTGGCCCCACTCAGGAGAGATTCAGCTCCAGAGAACAGCTCTGACATTTTATGACTTCATTTCTGACCCAACCAATCAGCAGCAAGCACCCATTACCTGGCCACCCCTTCCTCCAAACTGCCTTTGAAAAACCCCTAACTACAGGCCTTCAGGGAGATTGATTTGAGTACTAACTCTGTCTCCCATGTGGTGTGGCCAGCCTCATGTCTACCAAAACTCTTTATTGCAAATGAAACTGACTTTGCAAAATTATGACTGAGACAGTGAAAGAGGTCTAAATTAACTGACTCCATCTTGCTTCTAACCTCCAAGTTGTCCTTGTTCATTCCTGGGCATAGGCTGAACTAACTTTGAGAGGAATTTAGTTTAGAGTTTAAAACAAAGACAATAACAGCCTTTTCCCAAAGCAGATGTTCTTCTTGCCTGGGGACTAGATAGGCTTTGTAGGACTAACATTAGCCACAAGATTAGAAATTATGGTTTATGAGTCATGCAGCTGGAGGCTACAAGGTTCTGACCCCCCCTAAACTGCTCCTAAGATCAGTGCTTGAGATATTTTGCAGATCTTGCACTTGATGGATCAGCTGGCACCACCCAGATCAATAAACTGCTAATCTGATCTTATGGTCTCCCACCCAGGAACTGACTCAGTGCAAGAAGGCAGCTTTGACTCCCTATGATTTCATCTCTGACCAATCAGCACTCCTGGCTCACTGGCTCACCCACCACCCACCAAGTTGTCCTTAAAAATTCTGCTCCCTAAATGCTCAGCAAGACTGATTTGAGTAATAATAAAACTCTGGTCTCTCGCATAGCCAGCCCTGCCTGAATTACTCGTTCTCTGTTGCAATTCCCCTGTCTTGAGAACTCAGCTCTGTCTAGGCAGCAGGCAAGGTGAACACATTGGGCAGTTACACAATGTCGTGGTCTTCATTTGTGCAGTGGTTAGGAAAAATCCCTCAGCTAGGTACAATGTGTTTAATCATTTTTTTCATATTTTCCATTTTAAGTATTTGATCATAGAGTGCTGATCGAAAGAAATAAATTTTTTAAACATCTTTAAAATAACTCTATTGAATTCAACATCTCATTTGGTCTTTTACAACTGCGAGGTGAGCAGCAGGTAAGCAAGCAAAGCTTCCTCTGTCTTTAGAGCCTCTCCCCATTGCTTGCATTACCACCTGAGCTCCACCATCTGTCAGATCAGCAGCAGCATTAGATTTTCACTGCAGTGCAAACCCTATTTTGAACTGTACATGTGAGGGATCTAGGTTGTGTGCTCCTTATGAGAAACTAATGCCTGATGATCTGTCACTGTCTCCCATCACCCCCAGATGGCACCATCTAGTTGCGGGAAAACAAGCCCAGGGCTTCCACTGATTCTACATTATGATGAGTTGTGCAATTATTTCATTATATATTACAATGTAATAATAATTGAAATAAAGTGCACAATAAATATGTGCTTGGATAGTCCTGAAACCATCCCCGACTCTTGAGACCCATGGAAAAATTGTCTTCCATGAAACCAGTCCCTGGTGCCAAAAAGGTTGGGGACCACTGCTATAGATAATAGAAACCAGGATTGTCATTTCAAGAAACAGAAATCACAAATAAGAAAATGAGGAAAAATAGAATGATACTTGTGGAATTGCTCCTTAGGAGCTTATGTTCTTTTCTTACTTATATTTTCATTTGTATATTTTAATTAGTTTTGAAATAAATTTAGATTTATGCAAAGTTTCAAAAGTAGTAGATTGTTTCAATATACTTCTCCTCTACCTTCTCTTAATATTAAACATCTTAAATAACCAAAGTGGGATGATATAAAATGAAAAATTAATATTGATACAATAGTATTTACTCCATATTTGGATTCCACTAAATTTTTCACTAAAGATTCTTTCAAGTTCCAGTATCAAATCCAGGATGACATATTGCACTTAATTTTCTTGTCTCCTTAATCTCCTCCAATCTGTGATCATTGTTTATTCTTTCTTTGTCTTTCATGACCTTGATGCTTGTAAAATGTACTATCAATGATTTTTAAGATTGCCCTTCTAATTTTCTCTATTAATTAATTCAGATTATATGTTTTTGACAAGAATATCACAAAAGAGATGGTCCTTGTCAGCCAGTGCATCATCTTGAGTTGCATAATGTCAACATGTCTTATTACCTGTGATGATGAAGGACTGTGATCAATAAAATCCTTTCTGTAAAATGTTTTGGACAAAGGGAGCACACGCAACTGCTTTCACTGCTCTTCCTATTTGGTCATGTCCTCACATTATTAGAAATAATTTATTTTTCTCTGAGCCTGCCATTACTTATTTTTTTTTCAGAATTTAGTTATTTTTGAAGTCTGCTAACCAATTAAGAATATTGAAAAAATAATGTTCATTCTTAAACAGTAAATTTTCAGTGATGCCATTTACCAATGGAATGTTGTTAGCTTGAATAATGGAACAGGGGAATAGGATTATTAAAACATAGAAGTATACACCAACAGACAGCTGTTACTAAGCCATGTAATTGGATAAATGAATTGAGTTTTCTACCACTAGGAATGTTATAGAAATCAAATGGAAAGATACTGCAAGCACTGAGCTGCTCCTAACTGGAGAGATTGAAATACAATTGCTGCCATATTATATAATTCACACAGTTGAGACACAATATTGGAGAAGATGAAAGTCTAGGGCCTCAGTTTAAAATATATAGCATTTGTTATGAAGAATATATATTTTTCCAAGTTTTTGCATTTGTCATCTGATGAATCAGTGGGATTATGACTGAGTGTTGCTAGGGGTATGGAAAGAGGAGCTATTAGAGAAGGGCTACCAGACTTTACTGGATATAATTAGCCTAACTTGGACTTGTGGAGAAGAAGACTTAGAAGAAAAGCATTTGGTAAAGCCACACATGTTTTAAAAATCAAATACTTGCATCTTGAAAAACTATTTCCAGAGAAAAGCAATGACTTAGCAAAAAAGTTAAATGACAGTTTAGGTGACCAATTCAGTCTCATACACGTGCAGCTGCTTTGCTCTTTTTGCCTTGCATCCCTGAGGTCTCAGAAGGGCCTAGGCTTGAAAGGACTTGTTTCCCCAGGAATCAAGCAAGTAAGAAAATAAATTGACAACATACTTAGAGGAGAAGCCTGTCAAACTTCCAGGGGAAAACCTGGGATTAGGGGAAGCCAGGAAGAGCATGGCTGAGCCAGAAAGGGTGGAGCACATGAATCTCATGGAGATGAGCCATTAGGCAGGAAGTTGAGAATCAGAACAGCTGATTTAGAACAGACCAGTACCTCCTTATGGATCTGACACTGTGTATGGTCCAGTGGAATCTGCCATGAGGCTGTGAGTTGAGCAGCAAAGTCAGGGCAAGGCAAACTGTTCTTGGAGCCATGGACAACAGGAGAGTATTTCTTCAGGGCCAGTGATACAGGGGGCCTGAGAAGAGGGACTCAGGATGGAGCCCTCTGGGAGCTGCCTCAGCAATGCTGTCTGGACACTGATCATTTAATGAGAGGGACCCCTGGGCTTAGAGCCACACCACATCTTCCCACCTCCTTCAAGGGCTCCTCACCATTTCTACCTCACCCCAATTTCCTTCTTCTCTAAGAGGAGCAGCTGCTCAGACACTGATTCCCTGGAGGAAGCAGATGCTCAGCTGAGCAGAAGGGTTGACCCTGCATGGGTGTGTCACGTGTGTCCATGTAAAGAGAGTCCACCAACAGGCTCTGTGTGAGCAACAAGGCTGTTTATTTCACCTGAGTGCAGGCGGGCTGGTCCGAAAAAGGAGTCAGCAAAGGGTGGTGGGATTATTATTAGCTCATATAGGTTTGGGATAGGCATACAAAGTACATTCTCAAAGGCGGGGAGAATATTACAAAGTACCTTTTTAAGGGCAGGGGACACTATATCGTATCAGTTAGGGTGGGGCAGGAAAAAATCACAATGGTGGAATGTCATCAGTTAAGGCTATTTTCACTTATTTTGTGGATCTTCAGTTGTTTCAGGCCATCTGGATGTATACATGCAGGTCACAGGGGATGTGATGGCTTAGCTTGGGCTCAGAGGCCTGACAGGGAGGTGTATGTTTAGGGCTGTTCCACTGTATAGGGTCCCAGTGAGTGCGCTGCTCACAGAAGTAATATGCAACGTCTCCTGGCTCCACATTGGTGATTGTGAGTGTGAACTTCCTCCCAGACCCACTGCCACTGACGTGGGCTGGGACCCAGGAGCCCTGTTTGTCACCATATAGATCAGTGGTTGAGGAGATTGGTGTGGCTTCTGTTGGAACCCGTTCAAGTAGATGTCTCCATTCCTATGGATGAGATTGCGACTGGCCTTGCAGGAGACGGAGACCCTGTCTCCCACGGCCACAGACAGGAGGGATGGGGGCTGAGTCAGCACAGTAGCCTGATGGGAAAGGGTGGAAAAACAATTGATCAGTCTGAATGCAAGTCAAAAACAATGGTTGTGAATGAAAAAAAAGATACATCATATCTAGGTGTTCTTCAGGTTTTTAAGCCTCTGCCATCTGAATGAAAGGCTGAAATAAAAACTTTGGCCATTGATCTTCACTGTCTCACCCACTGGATAAGAGTGGCCACCACTGTTCTCATCCTGAAAATTACATATATGTACAAAGAATCCTGTACCATGAATGCAGAGCACCAGGGGCAAGAGGATCCATCCCAACAAGACCATCCTGGGCAGGGGAATCTTCTGGAAGTCTGTTTTCAGCCTAGATGAGCAGAATCAGATAACAGGTTCACTTTCACACCTTAGATGGAGCGGTCAAATAGCCCATGTATGTTTCTATGCAAAAGACCTTGAGTGCTAGGCATTCATCTCTGAACCTCAGTCAAAGCTTCCTATGAGAGAGAATGCCTCACTGCGGCTCCCAGGCCGGCTGTATTCAGATGCCTGGGCATGGTCCAACCATGGGCTCAGGTTGAGCAGAATCATGACTTAACGATAAATATCCCAGGGGTCAGCTGACCTTCTGAAGTGTCAAACATGATATTAAAGGATCGATATGGGAAAGGAAAAATGTCACTAGGATGTGATTTTTCATTTAGTTCAGAGAGCTATTTCTTCTGCTCATTTTTCTTTCCTGAATGGAGTCATAGATATAAATCTAACCAAATATACAATTTTCATTGTCCTCTTAATCATTGGCAAACTATATCTACACTTCTGGAGCATCCGGGAAGCTAGCCCATACCAGTGCTATCTTTGGAGCCAGGTGGTAACTGTGGATGTGAGCAAATGACAGTTAGATCTACAAGTCTCCAAGACCATGACCACTGGCCTGGGAGGACCTGCAGGGTTTGCATGTCCTCACACCTGGATGAAGAACATCTTGATCCTTGTCCTTTTGATGCCCTTCAATTACTAGGCCACACTCCAAAAAACCTAGTCCTCACTCCTCTCCTTTGCTAGACAGACCCTCTCACTCACAGCTCTTCCTCATGGACATTTCCTGTGAATCATTTCTCCAGGCTTACACACACTCTGCATGTCACAGTATGTGACAGAGGGAACTGATGTTTAAACAATTACCCATTGATTAGGTTGTTCTGAGTCCTAAGTTTAATTGTCCTTCTACAATAGAGTCAGCTAGAAAAATAAGAAACGCGAAGAGGTGTAAAATTATTAGTGCGTGAAAATGGTAAGCTATGAACTGGGATCATGAAGTAATAATAGTAATAATAATAATAATAATAATAATAATAATAATAATAATAATACCCAGAACCGGCCGGGACTCTGGGCCATTGTTAATCCGAGATCCCAGAGCCCTCTCTAGGATCGCTATTGCGCACGTGCCCCCTCTTGTGGTCAACTCCGCCAAGACACCTGGTGTTTTTTCCCGGTAGGTACTTGACAGTGTCATTCCTAGTGAATAAAGTAAGTCTTTTTTGCATATTCTCAAACACGCTTTCTTGTTTGTTTGCTTGCTTGTTCATGATGCCTAAAACAATCATAAATGGTTTTCAGGCACTATCCAAGACTGTGGAAACATAAGCGAGTGGTGGGTAGCTTTCAGTTAGATGTTAATACCTATGAATTGGGATTTCCTCATGTCTGGTTTCCAAGTGTTGTGGAGGCCACACAATATGTTGCTGTCCAACGCTCTCTAGTTAGCAATAGAGTGACCGTAAGTTTATCAGACTTGAGGCCCACAGCGGCTCAGTCAGTGATTTCTTACTCCACTCTTTCGTTGTTCCCTCAGTCGGAATCTGTGGGCAGTTTCCACCATGTCTGTGCCTCTGGCCTCTCTCAGCTCCCCTGCAGTGCTGGGAGTCAGGGCTGATGGCTGCACAGAGAGAGGTCTTCGTATTATCAGCTCTGGCTAGAGCTCAAGTTCAGAGCAGGACAGTGCCCTCCAGATGATTATAGAGCAGAAAGACTGCCTCTTCTGTCTTCTCTAAATGGAGTACATTCTAGATTTTTATGAAATATTTGCATTCCAGTATTTATGGAATGATTTAAATTATTTTTCAAAACTGTATTGGAAGCTGTGTCTGAAGGCGAGGAGCAATGCTTCTTTTTTTTTTTTTTTTTGAAACAGAGTTTCCCTCTTGTTGCCCATGCTAATGGCTAGACTGCAATGGCATCGTCTTGACAGTCTGCAACCTCCGCCTCTGGGGTTCAAGCTATTCTCCTGCCTCAGCCTCCCAAATTGCTGGGATTACAGGCGGAGCAATGCTTTTGAAAATGGCTTTGCTCTCTGGTTCCACACAAGGCACTGAAGCCTGCGGAATTTAGGGCTTCACGTGGATTCGAGGGTCCCAGGCTGCCACCTCATCACTCAGCCTCCTTTTCTTGCCCAGTGCTCTGTGTTCTTTCTCTGGTCAGGAAATTCTCACACATTTTGGTCTAAAATGGAAGGAGTGTTGCTTCTTTCACCTGAGGATCAATCAATTTACAATTTTTGAGACAATAATTTACACTTAATTAAATCAAATCACGTTCATCATATTTGTCTAGAAATGATTTTATTCTTTTTATTTATTACAAATTGCCTCATGGCCTGACCAAACTTCCAGTGGATCACTTGCAAGAGCAAATTTAACTGTCAAATTTACCGTTACATTCATCCATTGAGTTATTGGTTTGAATTACTTTATATTTGACATTTGTTTGATTTCTTTTTATAGTTTCTTGTTCTCTGCTAAAATTCTTGATCTTGTCATAGAATGCATTCAGCATATAATATACTATTGTCCCAATATCCGCAAATTATTTTGGTCCCTTTCTGTTGCCTGTTTTTTTTCTCTCCATTTTGTATGTTTGGGTATTGTTGATTGAAATCACACTATGTTTAATACACTTAATATCTATGTAGATTTAAACTGATACTTGCCCTACAACATTTTAGAAGCAAGTTTGGGCTCTGGAATAATTTTCACACTCCAGAGAGGATTTACTTCTTATTCTGCCAGAATGAAATGCTAGGGCTGTACCAAGTTAATGCCATCAAAGGACTGCAGTACTTTGGGCCTGGGTATCAGCACGGTGGTGCCTTGCTACTCCTGGTGCAACCTCCTCCCGGTATGTTTCCCTAGCAAGATTTCACCTCAAGACCTCGGTATGTGTCAGGATCCCTCCTTTTCTGCAGTCGTTCGGGACAGTTTTTCACCTGTGGCCATATGAGAGTTTTTTAAAGCTCTGATGGACTCCGAGGCCCCTTGGCCCCTCCTTTCTTTCAGATTTTCAGGACTGGGCCTCTATTTCTGAGCCTGCTTATGTCTCAAGGGACACTGAAGGCACAAAACTAGTGCTCCCCTGTCTATGCTTCCCTGCTTTTCTTGTCTCCTTGAAGACCTGCTGGGTTGTAATGTTTAATGCCCCATCATGGAGGTAGATGGGCCGGTTCCCTAATTAATAATTATTAAGTTGAGGCCAAGAAAACTTGAGAGAGTGTTTATTGTTCCCACGAAGGATGCCTGTGTGGGGTGGGCACGAGCTGGTGCAGACCTGCCTGAAGAGGCAGAGTTTAGGCTTTTAGAGTTGGTAAGGGGAGAGAGTGAGAGAATGTTCTCCCTGTGAGCTGGAGGGTTGTGGGGAATTTCCTACCAGTGCTTATAGAGATATGGGCAGAGAAAAAAGGAGGAGGGGCTTGGAGGATGTCAGGGATAAAACATCAAAAGTAATCAGACTCTCAGACATGGTGATGCTCTAATGCCTTCAAACACGTTTTCATATTTTATTCAGCTTTTTTTAGGTGTACCCAGAAGGTTGGTTCCACATAAGCCGTTCCACCATTTTACAGAAGTGGAAGTTGCAAAACAATTTTTAAATTATGAAATGGTTCAAATTTAAAAATATGGTGAGAAATATTATATATATAATTACCGGGTGGAGCAAAATAATGATAAATAATGTTATCAAATGTTTACTATTTATAAACATTTTAAAAACATCTATTCAACTCTTATAATACCGTATGATGTAGCTATTCCTTTATTTTTTATTATTACAGATGGGAAAACCAAGCAAAGAAAGTTTAAGTAACGTCCTGAAAGTCACACAGCTGTTAAGTGGATGAGCCCAAATTCCCATCAAATGTGTGTGGTTTCGGTTCCTGTCTTTCATCATGGGATAAAGTAGTATCCAAAGGCCCTTTCTGAGGGGTTCATTAGATTTCCCACTTAGATGTCAGTCATTTTGACAAGAGAAAGGAGTGGATTGGTGTCCTCTCGCTGTCCAGAGTTCTCACACCGTGACAGGCAAGCTCCTATGTTGTTGACAGTAACAGTACGCTGCATCTTCAGCCTCCAGGCTGCTGATGGAGGGGATGAAATCAGTCCACCCACTGTCACTAATCCTGGCAAGGACAGCAAGGTGCAGGTCATAATTACTATAAATAGTAAGATTCAGAGCCTGACCTGGTTTTTGTTGGCTCCAATTCAGGCAGCTACAAATATCGTCACAGCTTCTCAGCTGATGGTGGCCTTTCAACTTCTCTCAGGAAGCTTTGTCTGGAAGTTTTGTAAGTTTGGGCACGATAATGTTCCCGTTGACAACTGAAATGAAAAAAAAATCACATGAGAAATGGTGATGTAATTGAGGTTAAATACATCACACTTCATGGTCTTCTCAGGTCACTCAAGTGTGTGAGTTCCCCGTGAGAAGTCACAATTCACAGATGCAAAAAAGCCCTCAGAACTCATCTTACAATGAGAAGAAAGGCTGTTTCCTCATCATGTGGGAGCCTCATAATTTCAGCTCCTAACTGTGAGCAAGGCATCTGTCTCAGACCAATTCCACTGAGTCAGGGTGAAGTCAGACAGGCGCATACACAGTAAGAATCGCAGGATACTAAACTGGGTTCTGCCAATACCAGGCTGAGTCACTGCTCAGCCCTAACTGATCAAGCTGTTTTTGGAGACCAGAGCCTGAGTCAGCACAGTGATTACTGTGACATCTAATTCAGAAATAGAACACAAACACATCAAATATTTTTCTGAAAATATAAGTGTTATGAAATGATATTTCCTAAGCTATCAAATATCTTAAGAAATATTTCCTTTATTTCTAATGCTTGTCCTTACTTCATGATATGCACAATTTCCCCACTCCAACCAGTATGTATTCTATTTAGATCATAAGATACGATTAGTGGTTATGTTTATGTTTGCCACTCAATATCAGCGGTATAGTACTCCAAAATCTCAAATTGCTAGAAAAGCATTGTATAAAATGTTTAAGTGAAGTGATAATTCACAAATAAACATGAATTTCAGATTTGTAAAAAGAAATGAAAACACAAATGTCCTAGTAAAGCAGGATAAAATACACTTTTCTACACACAGAGTAAAGGATAAAAATTATAAAGGGAAATATAGTTGCACATATAAGCAATTTTTAAAAATCAACTGCCATCGGCTGTGCAAACCTCAGTCCCATCAACTCTCTCACTGAAATATTTCTCAGGTTTATCTCTCTATCCCCTCCAACATCTCGATAACCACAAGGAGCCTTAAGAATGATGTTGCTCATGTTCTAATCTCTCATTGTCTAGTTTGATAAGTTATGTTGACAACTGCACAATAAGAGTGATAAGATCAAAAGACTATTGAAGACATTTCAAATGGAAAAACTAAAAGTCAGTATCTCTCATAAATACAGACAAACATTCAAAAAAAAAAGGGAAGATTTACCTCTATCTCTCTCAGATAATCTGCCATGCCCAACTTGAATATATTTCAGAAGTGCAAGGTTATTATAACATTACATAATCAATCCATATAATGCATCACACTGACAGAATTAAGAACAATAACTTTTATTATCTCAATAGTAGCTGAAAATCACTTGAAAGAAGTCAACAGCTATTCATAATAAAACTCTCAGCAAGCCTGGGATAATGAAAAACACCTTATTCTGATAAAGCATCTACAAATGATCCATCTTTAGAATTACTGAGGTTTAAAATTATTGAGAAGTCGTACAGGCAATTCTACAGCAAACATCTTAGTGATAAAATATTAAACATTTCACTTCTCAAATTATAAAAAATACTGAACCATCCACTATATGAAATCATAATGGAGGTCCTAAGACATGCAAAAATTCAAAACAAATAAACAAACAAAACCCATGGAGTATGGAAATGAATAAGCAAAACATTTGTATTTGCTGAAAAAATTTGTACATAAGTTCTTAAAGAATCTAAAACTTAATCACTAGAAATAGGTCTCTGCATACAATGTGGATTAAAGGAGATATAAATAAATAGCATTTTCTGTTCATAGAACAGAAGATTTGATATTGTTAAGAGTTAATGGATGCAGCACACCAACATGGCACATGTATAAATATGTAACAAACCTGCACGTTGTGCACATGTACCATAAAACTTAAAGTATAATACAAAAAAAGATTTCAGTTTTCTCCAATTTGATATATAGACTCAATGCAGTCCAATTAAAATCCCCAAAGGAATTTTTGAAATTGAAAAGGTGATTCTACAATTTACGTGGAAATTCAAAGGATGTAGAATAGCCAAGAAAATCTTAAGTCTAAAAATCTGGTATTATGTCTTCTGACTTTTTTTTCTTTATAATAAAGCCACAGTAATTAAGACTGTACTGTAAGCACAGAGATAGACAAAGAGTCAAGAAAAATATTATTTTTACACAATCATGAGATTTTTAAACACAGGCAATAGAGTGAGGTATATGTTTTCAATTGTTTTTTGTTTTGTTGTGTTTTGCTCTATTTTTGCAAGAAATGGTGAGGAGTTGTTGAGTATGAAAATAAAAATAAATAAAACAAGATATCAAAATAAAATTCTTGATCCACCTCACCCCAGGCAAAAAACATGAATTAGAGATAGACTGTAGCCTATATGTGAGAGGTAAAATAACGATGCTTCTTCAAGAAAGCATAGGAGCATATCTTTAAGCCCTTTGGTGGTAAAAATTTATTAAACAGAGGACACACGTAAATACACAAAACAAACACAGGAGAAAAAAATGACAAGTAAAATGACAAATTAGATTACATTATAATTAAGAACTTCTAATCGCATCAATGTGTATGATTAATATAACATTACACACACAGACACTCACACACACGATTTGAACAGGAACTTCCCTAAAGATATGCAAACAGCCAATGAAAATAAATATATGAAAAGTGACTCAAGATCATTACCTATTAAGGAAGTATAAATTTTAATCATGATACAACTTCAGATTTATCAGTACAGATGTTTTGTGTTGGATATGTATAGTGGAACTTTGACATAATTGACTCCATCTCAGATAAAGACTGCATTATATGTTTCATAGGGCAGCTTGCCAACAAGAATAAAATGTTTTGCCTACAAAATAAAAAAAATAAAGGCTGCATCCAACCAGATAAGGTCACAAGCAAGCACAGTCTTGCACTATGAGTTCTCACCAGAGGACTCTGTGACCATGAAAGTGCGGGCTGTCAGTATCTCAAAAGGGCCATCTTAATTCACAACCATCCCGTTGTCATTTGTGATAAGAACTCCTCATCTGCCTAAGAAGGCTCTGACACATCAGAGACTCTTCCTTGCAAGGACCAAGGGACCTTCAGGCCAGACCAGGATTCTTTTTGTCTTCTTCACTACCCCTGGATTGATTTGATAACTCTTTCTCCTATTTTTTTTCTTTTGGTGTTAAATGTTGCATTGTGTAAACTTTAACTTATAATGTTTATGTATTGATTAAGAATACTATTATGTATGGTTTGCAATATTGACCGGCTTGTGCAATGGTTTTAGCCTGTGTGCCCGCAACACTGACAATCGAATGGCTCCTTGGGAGCTCCATGTAGCTTGCAGCTTCTGTGTTGGAAATAGCATCAGTAAAAGTCTGACATTGTGGAAAGACATAAACACGCATGGGCCTGGTTAACTCTGACCTTGGAGCGCACATGACAGGGTAGATCTATGCAAACTTGACCCCAATGCCTGAGGAAGCTGAAAGGCTGAAGAAAGAGGCTGACACATCCAGTTTCTCAGAAAGAAACATTTAATAGAGACTTAAAAACAGAAGCCGTGTCTGTGTCTCTGACAGTAGGCAGATAAGATGGTCAATCACTTGCCATGACCCCTCTCAAATAGGGCTTGTATACCATAGGAGACCAGTGATTCAGAAAGGATGTGTACGACAATCAAAGAATGATTACATCAAGGTTGTTTAAGGGCAGGATTTATGCTAAGTACTTGCTCTTAAATAAGATAAAATAGATAAACTGAAAATCTTAGAGACCGTCCCAGAACTCAGGTTAATCAGAAGTCAGACATGGAAAATTAGCATCCAAGATGGGGTTGCTTTGGCCTCCACCCTAGATATAATAAAAGTTTGACAGTACTGAGTACTGAAAAAGATTGACAGCAATTGAGACTTTTAGGACGTGGTTGGTTTCATGTAAACATGTTCAGCATTTCAGTAAACTATTGTCAATGTTTACTAAGACAAATTCTATGCTAACTTTATAACTCAACACTTCCATTCTTAGGAATATTCCCAAGAGAAATGAGTGCATAAGTTCACAAAAGACAAGCACAAGAATGTTCTTAAGGTTTTTACCAGTAATATTCTTAAACCAAAAACAAATAATTAGTTGAAAAATGAATATATTTTGGCATATTCATGGAAAATTGTTCCTCAATAAAAAGGCACAAATTACTGCCAGAGAAACAACGCAGATGAAGCTCAAAAATATTTTGACCAAAATAAGCAAGACGTCAAAGAGTAAATACTGTATGATTGAAATTATATAAAGCTTAAGTATAGGAAAAATTAATAAATATTGATATAAAATACAGTGGAAGCCTAGGATGATGATAGATGGAACACGGAATTGACAGGGAAGTAAACTGGGGAGATATTTGAGATGCTGGGAAGAGTGTGGATCTTGATCTGGGTAGTGTTGGAAGAAGGTGGGATCGGAGCATAAATGTTTACAGTATACATATAGGTGCAATATGTTTATCTGATATGTTGTTGGCTGAACATACTTATATGTGTATGTACTTATGTCTGATCTTTGAAAGGTCATAATTTAGACTCTAATCCCCTGTATCAAAAAAAATTCTTTAAAAATATGTAGAGTACCTTCTCCTTTTCTGTATAAGTCTGACTTTTGCTGCAATCTAGACCTCCTAGGTTTAATTTTCTTTGTCCTTTATTAATAATAATCAGGAGAGATACTTGCATATCAGCTGATGGAGCTGAGGATAAAGAGAGATAGAATGTAAATGTGCCTCCCTGACCCCTTCTACCAAAACTTCCCAGTGAGCTTCAAACCTTGGCTGCATCTGAGAACTGCTGTCAGCAGAGGGCGGCACCAGGAGGAGCAGCTGGGGCAGCCCAGACTCACACATCTACTTCCCTCCATGGTTTATGTTCGGGCTTGTATCACAGTGGGAGGGGCACTGTTATACTTTTGACAGTAATAAGTTGCAACATCTTCAGGCTGCAGGCTGCTGATGGTGAGAGTGAAATCTGTCCCAGATCCACTGCCACTGAACCGAGATGGGACCCCTGATTGCAAAGTGGATGCAGCATAGATCAGGAGCTTAGGAACTTTCCCTGGTTTCTGCTGATACCAGGCTAAATAATTGCTAATGCCCTGACTCGCCCGGCAAGTGATGGTGACTCTGTCTCCTACAGATGCAGACAGGGAGGATGGAGACTGGGTCATCTGGATGTCACATCTGGTATCTGATATTAGGAACATAAAAACACATATCCACATGATTAGTAATGTTCTAAGAAGAATTTCCTGAAGTGCCAGGCATTAGTGGCTACACTGGCTGAATAAAATTTTTGTTGTTTCCCTCCTTACCTGGGAGCCAGAGCAGCAGGAGTCCCAGGAGCTGAGCAGGGACCCTCATGTCCATGCTGTGTCCTGACTGAGAGAGACTTCTGCACAGGATGTCACCAGCCTATTGATAAATGTTCAGGGCAGTAGGCGTTGCTCTGTGGGACATGCAAATCTGCACAGCTGCAAAGATGTCTTATCTCAATAACACTGCACAGGCCCAGTGCCTCCCAGGTGTCCAAAGTCTGCAGAGCATGTGTTTCTCCCTGCAGGCTACAGGACAGAATCAGCCTACTGTCCTATATGTGGAGTGTTCTTTTGCTCTCTTCATGTTTCATGACATGCTTCTCTTGCTAGCTTTCTATTTATGACAAGGTCTGCTAGGGAAAAACATCTCTAGAAACTCAAGACATTTTAGAAGTTTCCTGCATTTGATACAGATGAGTACTATTAAGGTCAGAGAGACTTCCTTTTTGGTCCAATTCCCTGGAACCACCAGTGCTGTAAATTGTCAGTGCTACCAACAATGGATGCATTAAGGTATAATCATGAATGATAGATAGATAGATAGATAGATAGATAGATAGATAGATAGATAGATAGATTTGCTCATTAAAAAAGAAATAAAAAACTTAAAAAAAACCTAATACTTGAAAATAGTGCCACAGCAAGGAAGGGTCCTGCCACTGGCTATCTGGCATAGCTAATCTCCCATCTCCAGACACATAATTGTTATCCTCCATATCTGAATGTTCTTTCCTACCTCTTTCAGCTGGGCCAGCCAACATGATAAATTTTCTCCCTTTACTTCTGAAAGTTCTCAGCTATATTCTAGCTCTGTATGCCATCCTACAGTCTCATGCTAGATATTTCCCTGTGCTCCCTGAATTTTATTTATGCCTTTTATTTCTCTTATCCAAGCCATTCCCCTTCAGAAGCTGAGGTGTCCTCTAAACCAAGTTGTCACCCTCTATCCCTGTGACTACTCTGTTTCTTATACCTGCATATTTCCAAATCACCAATCTCTTCCAGCTCCTAAGAGAAAACAGTTCTTAGTGACTGGGTTTAGGGCACTTGATCCGAGCAGGTTCAGAAAGAAAACTATGCAACAAAAAGCCAGGGAATTGTATGAGATACTGAGCCTACACAGTATAGAAAGTGCACCCGTGTTGTGGGGTGTAGAGGAAAGCCCACCTGGGCGTTGAAGCTATAGTTAGCAGAGACAAGTATCCCTACCTGGGTGTGCAGGATGCAAGACCCCTCCTCCCACTTATGCAGGACATCACAGCTGGATGAGGATGAGCAGGACAGTCACAAGGGTGGAGGACACTGTTGCTAATGTCAGAGCCCGGGGGGGAAAGGGCAGCTATGCAGAGATGCAAAGTTCATGGTGGACTGGCACGGAGTATCAAGACTAATGAAGGTGTGTGAGGCATAAGAGGGAAGTTGTCCACAAGGAAAGTTTAGGTGACAGGGACAGTGGGAGATTGGTGTCACACAAAATGTTTGATCATTTAAGTAAATATGGTATGAATAATTACAGCCAAGATTCTCAGTTTGGAAAAAAGCTACAAATATAAAAAAGGAGAAACTGTAGATTTGGATTGTAATTAGAGACATTAATGTAGATTCATTAATTTTTTGGATAGTTTTATACGGATATAGATTAAAACATATGCAGATAGACAGGTAATTTTTCCTAGAAGCAGTAACACACAAGTCTCAATAAACACCTTGAGTGCTCAAATCTTGTTTTATTGAATATCAATCTCTATTAAAAAGAATAATTACTGGAAAAATATCTGATATCAGGTTTAGAGCAGAAAAAATATAAGATAAGCCTGCACTTCTTGTGTCAGAAACTAAGGAAGTGCTCAGAAAATGATGGGGTAAGAGAAAAAGGTATTAGGAACTAGCTTGAATGGGGCTCCCCTTGGACAAAATAGGGGAATGTTGACTCTGAAAATAAATAATGACAGTAACATATTTGTTTCAGTCTGTGCTGTTATAACAGAATATTTGAAACTGGGTGATTTATCTTTTCAGTTAGAAATCTATTTCTCACAGTTCTGGAGGTGGGAAAGTCCAATACCAAGGTGCAGTTATCTGGTAAGGTCCTTCTGGCTGCATCTCCATGGTGGAAAGGCAAGACAGAGTGAGTAAGAGCAAGAAGGGGTCAAACTTGTTTTTATAAGTAACCCACTCTCACTATAACAAACTCACCCCCATCATGATGACATTAACCATTCATGAGGGCAAAGCTCTAGTGACCTAATTACCTCTTAAAGTTTCCACTTCTCAACATGGCTGCACTGGGGAGTAAATTTCTAACAAATGAACTGAGGAGGATACATTCAAATCACAGCATTCCACCCTACTCTCTCCAGTTCATGTCCTTTTCACATGAAAAACACATTCATTTTATCCCAATAGCACCTAAAGTCTCAATTTGGTCCAGCATCAACTCAAAAGTCCAAAGTCCAGAGCCTCATCTGAATCACATATGGGTGAGATTCGAGGCACTATTTATCCCAGGCAAATTAATTCCAGCTATAAGCCTGTGAATTATCAAGTTACATGCTTCCAAAATACAATTAGCCCTCCCTACCCATGGGTTTTACATCCACAGATTCAACAACCATGGATTGAAAATAGAGTATTCAGCAGATGCAGAATCCACAGATGCAGAGGGTATACTTTTCATATTTGCAGGTTCTTCAGAGCTGACTGCAGGACTTGAATGTCCACAAATTATGGTATTTGTGGAGGACCCTGGAACCAATTCTCCATGGAAACTGAGGGACAACTGTACAATGGTGGGGCAGGCATAAGATAAACATTCTCATTCCAAAAAAGAGAGATAGGTAAAAAGAAAGGGTTAACTGGTCCCAAGTAAGCCCAAAACCCAACAGGAAAAACATTAAGTCTTAAAGGTGGAGAATAATCTTTGACTTCAAATCTCATATCTGGGGCAATCTGGGGTGGGAGTTGGTTTACCAATGCCTCAGGCAGCCCCACCTCTATGGTTTTACTGGGCTCACTTCACCCAGAAGCCTTCATGGGTTGGAGTCTTGTGCCTGCATCTTTCCCAGGCTGGAGTTGCATGCTGCTGGCCCTACAATTCTGTGGTCTCCCAGGCTGCCTCACTTTCATGGCTCTACTAGATATTGCCCTAGCAGGGATTTTCTGTGGAGGCTTTCTCCCTGCTACAAGTCTCTGCCTGGGATCCAGTATGTCCATAGCCTTTCCCAAGACTCAATCTGGCATTCTCCTTGCTGGGAATCCAGAGCCACTCTCCGGCTATCCTTTTTGGAATTCAGCCCTAAGCCCCTGGAAGCTTTTCTTTTAAACCCTCCAAACACAACCTCTGACAGGAATCTGGCTGGAACAGTCGGCATCTTCAGCAAAAACAACTGAGAAGGAGAGGAACCCTGCAAACACCACATTAGTGTAGAGGAAATGCATACAAACCCTAGATTTCATGTTTTCTCCAACTGTTTTTTCCAGTTTCTTAACCATGATTCTGTTTCTATGATCTTGAAGGATGGAGACATTAAGAAGAACAAGGAGCTGTTTTATGCTTAAGATATAAAAAGAGAAATGGAGACAGGAAGAGAGCAGAATTTATACATTCTTCAAAGTGGTTTGGATTTCTCTAACCATGGGCATAGAATGACAAAGATGTTAGGAGAAGACATCACTTTTTCTGATTTCCTGTTTTTTTTGTGTCTTAGACTCCCATAAACACAAATAAGAACCCAGTCAGTCTCTTTCCCTTGAATATTTTTTCTGGATAAGTTAAAATAATTTTAGAAGCAATTGCAAGAAATGATAGCAATAGCTGAAGCAGAGATAAGAATTCTGAAGTTTGGAACATTTGAGGTTGGTGCAGCAACTTGGTGACAGCAAAAGGACCCAGGTTTTTGCTACATTTCTTCTTTGCACTTCAGTTTTTCAGTCTTGGGTTCAAAGCCTCATGATCTTAGGAGGGCTGCAGTGCCTCCAAGTATCAATGTGCACGCATACCTGTTTCAGGAAAAAAATGCAGGACAAAGCTCTTCACCTTCTATGCCTTTATGAGGGATCAAAGTCCTTCCCTGAAGTGCTGCTCACCTCTGACATCTCATTGTGGAGCTCATGTGCCCCACTCCCTGCTCCTCTTCATTGTCCTTGCCATGTGCAGCAGGACGAAGCTGGTCCCTTATACGCCCAAGGAGAGGGGATGGCTGCTGTGTAGGTGCCAAGAGTTTTGCGATGTTTATATTTCACTATGTGTCTAAGTTAAGTTGCATGGGAAAGAGAAAGTTCAAGGGCCTCTTTATGTGGTGGGATTGGAGTGGGCCAGACCCTGAGGATGACAATGAAGTCAAATTTCTAGTTTTTCAGTTGCCAATGCTGGCTTCACTAGTTAAGGAAATGTGGCCTGTGCAATTAAGACCAGGACAGACTTTCAGGTACTGGAATAAATGGGGGAGATATTTGGCATAGGGTCCTCAGTCCAGGACTAATGTTTGCATTACCCAAGCTGCCGGTCACTGGCCCTGGTCTGTGGCAGTAGCAGCTTCTCTCCTGAACCATGGGGCTGAGGACCTGGGGGGAACCACAGGCCCTATCCACGGGGCTGCATGGAATGGGGCTTCAGAGAAGGAAACTGCTCACACACCCACGGGTGCCACACCAAGCCCAGTGCCCGAGGTCAGGATGAAAGTCTCTGAGACCAGAGCCTTAGGGCTGGGCCTGGGCTCCTGGGGCTGGCTGTCCTCAGCTCTGTCCTCACTGGTCCTGAGACACCAGGACCCTGTTGGAGCCAAAGAGGGAGAGTCAACAAATGTCCACAGACTTTACTCAGCGAGCCTCTGTTCTGCTTAGAAATAAAAGGAACACATGCTACAAAAATAATGAATATATGGACATACTGTGTAAACTTTTAAATTAAATAGATATAATATTATGGATATAAATTATTGATGTATCTGTATATAATATGTATCTATATTATACATCTACATAATATGTATATTTATATAGAAATAGATATAACTGTTGGTATAAGGTATGATTTCAAATTTGATAAATTGAGCATGAACATTTAAAACCAGCAATAGCACACCATAAACATGATCCTTCCTGACTTCCTGAAGGTCAGGAAGCTCAGGACCTTTCCCCATGTCCCTGTTGAGCAGGACAGAGAGCCCCCAAGACCCAAGGGGGGTGTGGGGAACACAATCAGCAGGTGGCTGGGAGATGGGCAGTGGGTCTGGGCCCTGATTGGAGAGAAGTTTTGTTCCCAGATCTCCGAGTAGACAGTTCCTCCCCTGGGGGCTCTTCTCAGACACAGCAGCACATGTGACTCAGTGGCTGTGTAGTCACAGGGTCACAGGACAAAACCCTTCCACTTGACAATTGGCAGCTTCTCCTCTGACTAGAGTGATGTGGGATCTCTCTGCCCAGCTATCATGGCTCATGTGGCTGCTGACATCCTCTTCACAAAACGAGACGCCATGAAGGCAGCTCAGCTGCTGATGGCCCGAGTGAACTCTGTCCAAGCCCATCACCCCTGACCCAACAGGCATTGTGTAGAGTAGGCAGCAGGAGCCAGCAGAAGCTCAGAGCCAGCTGTGGCTTCTGCTGGTGCCAGGCTAGAACATTGTTGAGACTATGGCTGGCCCTGCAGGTGACAGTGACCCTCTCTACTAGTACACATGAAGAGGGGCTAGAGACTGTCCATCTAAATGTGGAATAAACATGAACACCCCAAATATTAATACCAAGCATGTAGTTTGTTCAGTTTGGTTAAATTCTATTCAGAAAATAAAACAGGCTAATTAACTGATTGTCAAGGAAACATTCCTGTTTATTGCAAACAAACTGAAGATGAAGCCTGAACCCTCCCTTCTTCCTCAAGAGAGAGAACAGCAGGAGGAATAGGAGCAAAGCTGGGTCCCCACATCCATGAGATATTTCTTGATGCTGATCCTGCTCAGAGAGGGTGGGGATAGTGAATGAGTCTTCTTTCACTGCAACACCAAAATACTCTGGGTGGGTGGCTTGAACCATAGACATTTATTTTCACATTTCTGATGGCTGGGAAGTCCAACATCAAGGTCCAGCAGGGTTCACTTTCTGGTAAAGACCTTCTTCCTGGTTTGTAGATGCTACCTTCTCACCATGCTTTCATATGGTCTTTCCATAAGAGTGTGGGAGTTAGAGAGAGAGGAAAAAGAGAGATCTCTGGATCTTATGAGAACCACTAATCCTATTGGATCAGGGCCCCACCCTTATAACTTCCATTATATTCTTATAGGTCCTATCTCCTACAGCCACGTTGGAGATTAGACCTTCAACATGAATGTGGGAACACAATTTAGACCACAGCAGGTGGACACAGGTAAGGCAGTAGGGAGGGAAAGGATATGCTTTCAGCCTCCAAGCACAGAGCAGGTTCCCCACAACTCAGCACACTGGCAGCTCATCCCAGATGTCCCAGGTCACACATGAGACACCGTTCTAGATTTAGGGACTTCCCATTGATAATGGGACACTATCAGTCTTATTTTCCCAGTGTTTCTAAGACCTTGGTGTTCTTTATTGTTTATTGTGGAGTGTGTTTACACCCAGAGACAGGTTATTGACATAGCAATTTATGGGATTTTTAATTTTGTTATAGTGAAAATTACTTAATAAATTTATCAGAAATAATAAACTAAAATTAATATATTGTATGAAAATGAGATTAACTGAATGTCCTAAAAGGAGCCTGAGAGGATAAAAAACCATATTCTTTTCAGAAGAGGACAATTAAAGTCATATGACTTTTATAACAAAGACATTTTAGTAGAAATTATCAAATGATAAATTCAAATAGGCTGCCACAAACATAACTATATACTCAAAAAATTATTTTCTAAAATAATTTTACATTATCATATAAGAGCAAATAACTGCCAGGTGCAGTGGCTCACGCCTATAATCCCAGCACTTTGGGAGGCTAAGGCAGGTGGATCGCTTCAGATCAGGAGTTCGACACCACCCTGGCCAACATGGTGAAACCCTGTCTCTACTAAAAATACAAAAATTAGCCTGGAATGGTGGTGGGTGCCTGTAATCCCAGCTGCTCCGGAGGCTGAGGCATGAGAATCTCTTGAACCCAGGAGGCAGTTTGCAGTGAGCCGAGATCATGTCACTGCGCTCTAGCCTGGGTGACAGAGAGAGACTCCATCTGAAAACACAACAAAACAAACAAACAAAACAAAGTGGGTTTATCAGCAGATCCACTGAATGGAAAATTTCTCCAATGCGTGCTTAAAGTAAAAGAACATTTATCCCTGATGGGAAACTCTAGATTTCTTTGGTCTTTAGAAGAAAACAGCTTTCTCTCTAGTCGTTCCACTTCATGCTGTCGAGGATGGGCATGGGGGCAAGTGACTCTGAGGAAGGAGGAAGGCTGTGTCTGAGGGTGGTCGTGTCTCCTGCCCATCTGAGCGACCTCTTGGAGAAGAGCCACCGACACCACCAAAGCCACCCACCTGCCTCTGCACTGTCAGGCAACAGACACAGAAACCATGTCACATTTAGTCCACCATATTTTGAGGCTTCTTTGTAACAGCCTTAATTGTACTCTGATTCTCCTTGGTATTTCATCTCAGTTTTTGGAATCATTTATTTTTCACCTAATGGGGCCTTAACATGTGGGACTGAAGTACAGCTGAGGCTATCATGAGCCAGAGTCCTCAGCAGCAACCTCTGCCCTGAGGTCTCCAACAGCCTCCTCTTCTGCAGACTCAGAGACCCTGCTGAGCTGCTCTCCAGACAAGCAGCACATGTGAGCAACTAGGCAACCCCAGGAGGAGGTTTCTGTTAGGGGTTGTACCACTGTGGGAGGAGTTTGTAGAGCTTGCATGCAGTAATAAACCCCAACATCCTCAGCCTCCACTCTGCTGATTTTCAGTGTAAAATCTGTGCCTGATCCACTGCCACTGAACCTGTCAGGGACCCCGGAGGCCCGATTAGAACCCAAATAGATCAGGAGCTGTGGAGACTGCCCTGGCTTCTGCAGGTACCAATCCAAATAGTTGTATCCATTACTATGCAGGAGGCTCTGACTAGACCTGCAGGAGATGGAGGCCGGCTCTCCAGGGGTGACGGGCAGGGAGAGTGGAGACTGAGTCATCACAATATCCCCACTGGATCCTGAAATAATGAATTGCAAAGTTATGTACAAACCTAATGAGCAATTTTCATAATTTATCTTATGTCATTTATTTAAACTTAATTTTAAAAAATAGTGATTTATGCCATAAAAATACACATTCTAAAATGAATTCAATTTTTGTAAAGTATAAGAGACCTTTATATTTTGAAGATCTTAATCAGAGCACCAGACGTCATATTTCTTATGAGGCTTCTAATTATTCACAGAGCAAAATATCAAGTTCCCTTTTCTACAGCACAGATTATACTCCTCTAACACAGGGTAAGACTAAACATGGGATCATGGGATGCTGTGGAGCCCTAGAGCTCACCCTCCCACCCTATTCTCCTTCCTCATCTCCTTCTTTTCTTACCAGAGACCCAGAGCATTAGCAGCCCCAGGAGCTGAGCAGGGAGCCTCATTGTGAGAAGGTGAACTGAGGAGTCCTGATCAGTCAAGGCACAGTTACAGCTGAGCTTTTATCTCAGACTCACAAGGGAAGGTCCTCCCTGTGGGACAATATGCAAATCCCCTGGTGCATGCAGTGGTGTGGAAAGAGTCAATGGGGCAGGCGGGCAGGGGATATGTCTCTCCTGTGAGCAATGTGATATAAAATGGGAGGAAGGATCTGACTGTGACAGTTTGGATCTTGGGTAGGTCCCATTGTATAGGATATGCAACTCTAGGAAAGCATAACAACCCTAACAATGTAGAGATATGTCTAGAATGAATATGGATGAATGCCATTCTTCTTGGCTCCCTCCCAGCTAATCTAAAAAAGGAAACGTTACCCTTTCCTACAAGCACTGATGAGCAGACAGCCTACAAATAAAACATAGTCTTGAGCCAGTTCAAGAGTGGTCTGGTATCTGCGGTTTCCAGGATAACTGTTCAAGAATGTTCATAGCAAGTGTTGGAATCTACCCTCCCCTGGCACCTGGTGAGTGAGCCCCATAAGAGCGCTCTGTCCAAGGGCCTCATAGGGAAAATAATGTGGGTCTCTATATTTAGATTCAAGAGCCCAGTGCAGGTAAGAGGAAAGTGGGAAACAATTTATTCCTCAGGCAGTGAATATAAAATTCCTGGTGACCAATTGTTCAATCTGGTATATATCCCATCATAATCATCTCACATATGCCAGATTAACCAGAAGGATTTATTAAGGGAAGACTTTTCTAGGATAATTATATAGAAAGAACAAAAACTAACTTTGCACTATGTTTTTCTGAATGGTGTTAACAAAAGCTCTTCCCACAGTCTTCCTCATCATGTGGAATGAGGTCCTATCAGGACTTCCAGTTTTTCGTCAACTACCAAGTGAGATCTGAGTGTCCCCTGGGCCTGTAAGTGGTGCAGCCACAGCCATGAGTTCACAATTCGAGTGGAAATTCTCTATGTAAGAAGAGCACGAACTGGATCCACAGCTTTACTGTCTCATGGTCACCATTACCCATGACTGGCATTTTCCTGAGCTTTCATGTAAAGACGATCACAGCTCAGAGATGTCAATCTACCACACAGCTGATCATGAAAACAGGGAAACAATCCAACTATTTGTTTGTCAATGATATGCTCAAGATTGAGTTGAACAGCTCTTGAAAGATTGTGCCTACATCAGATCCCTTCACAAGGACACGCACTGTCCTGGAGAGAAAACATCTGGGGAGAGCCAACGTAATAGATTGCAGTACTATGTAATCTCGGGTAATTTAACCCAAAGTCATGCTTACTTGGTAAAAAACACAAACAAATGCAGTTCTAAGTATGATCCCACAAGAAAGCTTGGTCTGCATATCTTTTGGGAAATCTACCAAAATAAGACTTTTTAACAAGATTGGAAAAAGTAATTGAGTAAAAATGATCTTAAATGTCGAACTCCATGTTAATATTCTGAGTTGATGACCACAAATTATCATGAGGAGGTAGGAGTACAATAAAAGTCTTATATTCCAGTCTTTAAAATATTTATTATTTTCTTTTATTTAATTTTGTAAGTTTTGTGTATTTAACTTTTTTATCCCATGATGTTGACCAATTCAATGCAGGTTCTTAGTCTTGAAAATTTCAGACTCTTAATTAATCATGCTAGTGAAAGGATTCAGAAATATTGGTAGGTGGAAAGAAAAAATAATAAATGCAAACTAAACTTAACATACTAACAAAAAAGAACACTATTGAATGCATTATGTCTGGTTTTAAAGGATTACTCTGAAAGTATGTTAAATGAAGGATCAGTTCTATCTACCATCTAATATGGATGCTTGAATTGAGAGAAAATGACAAATGATAAAAAATCTTTCGTGCTTTCTTTTGCAAGGCAATTCAAGAATATGTTATTTTTACAAAATATTCTTTAATATTTTTGAATTTCAGAGAGTATTGCTATTCGCTATGAAAATTAACAACAAAGCTTTAAGGAGTCTGCCATTGTATTTGGTAATTTACTTCAGAATCTGTTGCCCTTACGTATTCAGAAAATGTAAAATCTTATAAAAATTATTTGGTGCAAAAAAAAGTTTTGAAGCTACCCTATACTACCTATGTACTTAAATAATAATATTTCTAATTCCAAATAGAAATCTCTGTCTCCCAAACATTAACACATTATGCCAAGGCTTTGATAACAATGGATGAAGCTGGTGGCTCCACAGTGGACACAGGTAAGAAGGTGTAAGAACAGTCTCCATTTGATCCAGGTGGGAAGCAGGCCTCTGTGTGTCTCTAATCTGAACCATGGTCATCTGAATGAGGAAGGACTGATACAGGTGGATCTTACTGTAGTTGTGTCTCCTTTGCCTGATGCTGTGAGATCGGAGCCCATAAAATTGGAAGTAAGTGTATTACTTGTATGACATGGGAAGATAATCATGGAAATGGAAGTGTTTGTGTCCTTGGAAGTCAGTGTTTGTGGGGTTGGATGGAGAGTGTGATCCTGTTGTTTGTACATCATTTGAGGACTTTGGAGCCTGGGCAAAGAAAAAGAGATGTCCACAGGATGGCAGTAGCACACACAACTTTTATTGGGTGAAGCTTTGACAGGTTTGCCGGTAGTTCCTGAGAGCAGGAGTCTGTCTATAGGCCAAGGGGCCAAGGTTGTTATTCAGAAGGGGGGGAGGAAGAAATTTGCTGTATAAGGGGCTTATGTGTCTAGGTGTTGTCACACAGCAGTGTTGGGGTGATCAGACCCAACACCAGGTCATGGGGATGACCAAGTCTGGTGGAGTCAAAGGATTGAGAAAAGACAGTTTGAGAAGTAAAGTGGGACCAGGGGGCCATCGTGATCATGGAGGCTGCGAAGGCCCCGAGCTCTGGGAGCCCAGTGCTATTTATTGGTTATCCAACAAAGAAAAAGGTGGTGAGAATGTGGAGGTCAAAAGGGCACGTTGCATTAGGCACAAGATTTATAGCTGTGATGGTTTAGCATTCGCTCTGCTACTTGAGATAATGGAGAGCAGGTTCCTTTAACTCAAGATACAATCGAACCTGGGAGAGCAAGGAGCAAGGAGCCAGCAAGTGTAGACACATTCCAGAGCCATGAACCCTGGATTCTATCCAAGCCACGAGGGATTTTATGCCCTGGGCTTAGATTACAGTGTGTCAGGGTAGCCTTCCACCCTTTATAGCACAGAGCTTGGTGTTCCAAACGCCACAATGGGTTTTAGACCCTGGACCCCAGACATGTTCCAAGACTGTTTTACATTATGTCAGACATGCAAGCCCTGCCTCAGCTTCTCCCAACACTCAGCTTTTCCCAATACAGCAGCACAGTGGGGAGTCTCTAGGTCAGAGAGAACCAGAGGGAAATATTAGTCTGGGGTTTTCATAACCTGGGGCTTACCTATTTCTAGCAGATGTGAGCAAGGTTCTCTGAGATACATAATGTAAGCATTCTTTACATGGCAAAAAATCTGCTTTGGGGGGCTGTTTTTGAAATGATAGGATTGTAAAGTTTGAGTTTGGCACAGGCCATAGAGAAATAAGCTGCAATTTGGAAACAAACAACATATGGGCAGTTCACACAAGACACCTTTGGCTCACTTATACATCATTGTTGCACATTTTGTAGACTTTGTTCTAAAGACTATATTAGTGCAGATAGACAAAATCCACACTGCTATGGATGAGACTGAAGACACGCTGCAGTCTTTTCCCCACCTGGACCTCAATGGAGGTTTTTAAATGTTTTATTAAAGTTGAAAGTTTGTCCTTGGTGAGAACTGAGACCAAGCCACCCACAGAGGGAGCTTCACTTTGTGAAGCTGCAGGTCCTCTGCGCTGGATTTCTGGCTTCCAGGGCACGTGAGATTGAAGTTGTCTGCATTATCTCATCGACTGAAAATTGTGACCAACTGGAGCACAGATTCATGGATAAATATCCAGGTACACAGAGAACACAGGGAATGAGGGCTCTGTGGATAGGTATCTTCTGCTTCTGAGAATCTCTCTAAACACTGGGAGACACAGGGATATTTACATATTTGACCTTTCTGAATCTTCAGACCCTGTTCTTGATCAGCCTAATCTGAGCCTGTTTCCAAATGTTTCAATTGATTGTCCTCTTTCTTAGAAAAAAACAGAAAAAAAATGATATAAAGTATACACTGAGATATGAGATTAGCTAGTGGAGTCCTGTGCTTCCAGGGATGCTTTTCCTCCGTGCATGTTCATCTTTCTGTGGGGCCCATCTCACCCCCATCAGACTGCACAAAGTGAGGCAGTGATTTTGTTGCATCCCTAAGCATTCTGTGTCCCTTACATTCTTTATTCCCTCTAAGATTCCTTCTCAGTTCTGACCCTTAAAGAAAGGGACCTCTGTCCCTGAAATAAGGTCTCCAAAAAACCACAGCTTCCCTGGGTGTTTATAAGGTTTTTACATTGTTGAGCTGCTATTCTGACCACTATTAAGAATTAATTTCTATTCCAAGCAAATTACCTTTATTAAATCTCAAAACCACATGCCAGCTATAAAAGCTTGCTCTTTTTTGGAAGCATACTCAAGAATATAATTTCCCAGTAAATATTTCCTTTAATTTAACAAGTTAATCAGCAGGTTTCTTCTTTTTCTTTTGTCTTAGATAATTTTGGTGCAGTCGAGCTCCCCAGTAAGTTGTTTAATATAAATTCCCATAATTGGGTTTAAATTTCTTCTAGGGCTGCTATATTCCATCCTACGCAAGAATCAAATAATCTTTGAGTTTTGGAGTTCACTAGTTTCCAAAGCAAGAATAGGAAACATGTGTAAGAGCTGCCTAAATAAGTAACTAACAAGTCATCCTAGCCTCCAGCTATTTGTAAACTTTGTGATTTCATCAGACGACTGTTCTAGGGAAAACAAAATTATTTATTTTATTCTATTCTATTTAATTGTCATTTACTACTAATATTTCATTTTTTGGTTGGCATAAGGGTAATTTTAGAAGAGCTAACATGTACATTTCTAAAATTACTAAAAGGTGAGGCCAATTGTCCTTCAAGGAGCACTTAAACTTTGGATTATTCTCTCTCGGCCAAGAAAAGCCAAGATAGATGTTGACATGGTTTGGATATTTATCCCACTCAAATCTCATGTTGAAATATAATTCCCAATGTTGAAGATGGGGCCTGGTGGGAGGTTTGGGGGTCATGGGGGTGCATCCCTCATGGTTTAGTACTGTCATGATGATGAGTACTTTGTGAGATCTGGTTGTTTAAACACATGTGGTACCTCACGCCACTCCCCACCTGCCTTGTTCCCACTTAAGCCATGGGATATGCCTGCTCCTGCTTCACCTTCTGTCATAAGTAAAACCTCCCTCAGGCCTCCCCAGAAGCCAAGCAGATGCCCACACCATGTGTGCACAGCCTGCAGAACTGTAAGCCAATTGAACACCTTTCCTTTATAAATTACCCAGTCTCACATTTCCCTGATTCCAAAAGTGAAGTTTATTACTATGCTACTGCTACCACATTAGAGGCAATTCACCATTTCCACCTGCTAGTGCAGAGCTTGTGTTATTATTTAAGACTAAGAATGGCCACTGAATAATTCATTCAGCCCGTGGCTCTTTCATGTTCTGTATTTTGGATTTGTGGTAACTTGGTATGGAATTAAATGGTTGAAAAAATACTTTTGTTAATTTTGGAAATCAACAGAAGTTATTTAGTTTGGTCTTTTATTCTTCCTTGGGATCTTAAAATAGCCTTATTCAAAATCTGTAAAAGCCCTGGCCCCCATTCATACAGAAGAAGAGCCCGTGCCCCTTACTGAGGCCTCATGGCCTCCTTAACTCAAAGGCTCTCCAGCCACCTCCACCTGAGTTTGGTGTGGATGCATCCTCTGGGCACCACAGCTGCTCCTGCCACACTGAGAGGCTGAGCCTTTTTGGAAGGTTTGTGTTTGGGGCCTTCACACTGTGCAGGGCCCCAGTGAGTGTCCTGCTCACAGGAGTCTGTGCACTGTCTCTAGGCTCCACACTGACAATTATGCAAGTGAAATCAATCCAATTTTGGTTAAATGTGTGCATGTGTATTCAACTTGTTTTGCTACAAAGCGGCCTGAGTTTTCTGGCTGTTCTGCTACCTGTATTTGTTAGGCATCTGCACACCGGCAGAAAGAATCAAGATGAGCTTTCATTGAGCCTTTCCTCTGGCAAGATGTGGCTCAGAGCCCACTGCATCCTCCTTTCTGCTGTTGTTCTGCCCTGCCGAGGCTCTTGCAGCTGAAGGGGACTTTAAATGTGTCACATATTCTTCCATTGTTAAATGTGAGATAATTTGTTTTGCTCTGCAGGAAAGCTTCATTCACTTGAAGAAGGAGATTAAAGATTTCTAAAGCAGGATGCTAATCTTTTGATCTTTGTGCAATTTTGTTATTAAACCTGTCTCTTTCTGAGAGTAAAAGAGGTATAATTTGATTTAAAAGTTTCCAGCTTTAACATCTGTCAATGTAAGCCTTCCAAAGAAAATTCTGGCACTGCTCAAGTCAACTAAATATTTTCTTATGAACCATCAGTTTTGCTCCATGTAATTTTCCAAATAATCCCCGCAATCCAAAACACACACACCTCTTAGAAGACAACTAAGGAGATATCCACGAGGCTTTTGTATCATTATTTCTAAAGATGAGGAGTTAGAGACAATCTGGGTATCTATTACCAGGAACATAGGTTAAATGTAGTTGACATCTTGACTGGATCATCAGGCAGCAATGAGAAGTAATAGACAAGTTTCACCCTTAACAACACTGAAATATTTTAACTCATACATCTCAGTAGAAAAACAGTGAGCATAATGACATATTTCACAGGATGATATTTACATAAAATAAACATAATTGTGCACATACGATATGTATAACACATTGAATGGAAAATATACTAAAAATACAAAACAATAAGCAGAGAGAAATGTTCACTTCTCTAGCCCCACACCAGCCTCTCCTTCTCCCCTGGCTTCTCCTAGCCTAGAGCTATCCATCAGCACAGGGAAGGAATATTATGTGCAGGCCCCAAGCACTCTGAGCTCAGGAACCAGCTTTTTGAGGAAGGCCTGGATATGCCAGGCATTCAGCTCCTGGCAACCTGGAAGCTATGGAAAATCATAGCACCTCTTTCCAGGGAAAAGAAGCACCAAACTTCAGCCAGTTTGTTACCAGGCAACTGAGAAAGAGCCCTGGGGTATTTTCTGACAACCCGTGAATTATTTGGCCTCCACCCCCTTAAGAGAACCTAAGGAATAACAGTCCATTTCTAACCTTCTTCTCTGCCTCCTTCTATTAGATCCTAATTCAATCATGCACCAAGACAAGTCAAAGCCTTGGTGGGCATATCAATCCTGATGTGTGACATTTTATTCACTTTTTTATTCTGAAAGTAAGTATCTTCTTAAATTTTGCATCTATATTATAAATCAATGTAATATATGTATTTATACAGAAATAAATATAACTTTGTTGTTATAATGCATGACTTTAAATTGTGATAAATTGAGCAGGAACATTTAAAACCAGCAATGGGTGCACCACTCCATGGCTCCTTCCCCACTGCAGAGCCCGAGAGTGAGGAAACTCAGGCTTTACCTCCATGTCCCTGCAGGGCTGAGCACTGACCTGCTCATTGCTGAGAACTTTGAGTGACCAGAGCGGGTCTGAGGAACACAGAGCAGCAGGTGCCAGGGAGACAGGCGGTGGAGCTAGGCGGTGGAGGAACATTTGGTGCCCAGAGCTTCCTGTGGGCAGGTCCTTCCCATAGGGGATCCTGTCAGACAGAGCAGCACATGAGGTCAGTGGCTGTGTGGTCACAGGATGAAAGCCCTCCACAGCCTATTGGCAGCCTCCCCTCTGACTGGAGCCATGTGGGACCTATCGGCCCAGCTTTCACGACTCACACAGCTGCTGGAACCCTGTTCACAATGGGGTTCCTTGATCAGCTTCACTGCTGATGGCCAGAGTGATATCTGTCCAGGCAGTTGAACCCTGACCCGGGCAGGTGTTGCATCCACAGAGAACCAGGAGCCAACAGGAGCTCAGAGCTGGGCCTGTTTTCTGCGGGAGCCAAGCAAAAATAGAACGCTCTTAACACTCTGGCCGGCCCTACAGATGACAGTGGCCTTCTCTCTGGGGACATAGGAAAAGGGGTAAGAGATGGAGTGCACACAACATACCCACTGGCATCTATGTCGGAAACAAACATGAACATCCCCAAGTATTAATACCAAACAAGTAGTTCATTCAGTTTGATGAAGTTCTGATCAGAAAGCAAAACAGGCTAACCACTTCATCTTCAAGGAGACATTCTAGTAGAAAATGCAGACAAATAGGATGAAGCCTGCATCTGCCTTCCTCACTAGAGAATCAGAACAGCAGGAGGAACAGGAACAAAGCTGGGTGCCCATGTCCATGGGGAGCCTCTGGAGGCCTATTCTGCTTGGAGCTGGCAAGGATGGTGTAGTAGTCCACTGGGACTCCAACACCAAAATGGATATGGCTGGACAACTTAAACTGCAGAAATTAATTTTTATATTTCTGGTGGCTGGAAATTGCAAGATCAAAGTCCAACAAGGTTCACTTTCTGGTAAGGACCTTCTTCCTGGTTTGGAGATAGCCACCGTGGGTAGAAAGTTGAGTTAGGGGCAAGAGGGAGGAGAGAGAGAGAGAGAAAAGGAGAGCTCTCTGGTTTCTATTCTTATAAGAACATTAATTCTATTGGATCATGGTCCCATCCTTTTGACCTCATTTAGCCTCAATTACCTCAATCATCTCCTACAGCTGCATAAGGGGAATAGGGCCAGGCTTGCATTCTCAGATCACAGAGCAAAGAGGGGTTTCCCCACAAGACAGCACGCTGGAAGCTCCTCCTGGGTGCTCCAGGTCACACATGAGACCCCATTTCAGCCTTAGGGGCTCCATGTTGATAAGCAGACATCATCACCCTTACAATGCAAGTAATATTTTTAGATCATGGCAATCTCTTTGGTTTATTGTGGGGTTTGTTTGCCATCTAGAGGCAGGTCTTTGACATAGCAACGTTCAGGATTTTTGACTTTGTGCTAGTGAAAATTAATTTTTTTTCTTTTTTTTATTATTATACTTTAAGTTTTAGGGTACATGTGCACATTGAAAATTAATTATTAAACATAAATAATGAATTAAACTTAATACATTGATTGTTTAAGAAAAACCCAAAGGCCATCAAAGGGCTTAAAATGGGTATAAAGGGATAAAAAGACAGAGTCCTTCCAAAGGAGGACTGTCTGTCACAGATGAGTCTTTTTTTATCAAATGACTTTTTAGCAGTAATTCTCAATGGTAAATGACAACTTCAGGTAGACTGCCACAATATAATCACATATTCAAAAAAATTATTTCCAGGAATCATGTAAATACATTTTCAGATTAAAAACAACAAAAAGTGTGAGTTTCTCACAAGATTCACTTGGTGAAAAATTTCACAAACCTGTGCTTTACACAAAAGAACATTTATCCCTGGTGGAAAACTGGAGTTTTCTTTGGCCTTTAGAAGAAAACAGCTTTCCCTTCACTCTGCTCCACCTCATGCTGCTGAGGATGGCCGTGGGGGCAGAGACTGTGAGGAAGGAGGAGGGCTGTGCGCTGAGGGTGGTCGTGGTTCCTGCCCACCTGAGTGACCTCATGGAGCAGAGCCACCGACACCACCAAGGCCACCTGCCTGCCTCTACACTGCCATGGCACAGACAGAGAAACCTTGTCACATTCAGTCCACCATATTTTGAAGCTTCTTTGTAATACATTTGATTATGCTCTGATTCTCTTTGTATCCCTTTCCGTATTTGGAATCATTTATTTTTCACCATTTTGACTTGAGAGTATCGCCCCTTGAGGTATCAGCACCATGTAGGCTGTATGTTTGTTTGGTTTTTAAAGGTGTCCAACCACCTTGAGTGGTTTGGGCCTTTTCCCCTGTCTCACATCAAAGCAGAATCTTAGGTCACTAGGTGCTGTCAATCACTTGATGGCCAAAGATGGTGATGACAGTGGTTAGTTCCTGCCCTTGCTACTTACGCTTGTCTTCTCTCCCTGCATTCTGTAATAACTTTTAAGCTCCATGATGAATTAATTAGCATTTTAAACAGTGTATTAAGTGTCTTATGTTTCTTATTTTCACAGTTTCAGTCTGCTTGATTTCTATATAAATATTGCAATGTCTACTAAACCCAACAGAAATGGCGCTTCGGAATTTTAATTGCACTTGCCATGAAATCCATTATCTTAGAGTAGAAAATCATCTCAAATATACTTTAAACCTTAAATCTGAAGCAGGAGCTTCTTGTTCTGTTGCTTCAATCATTTTGTGTCTATCACACAATATTGTAATATGTAACTGACATAGCTCATCATTGAGCTTGATAGAATATTATAACACTAGAACACTATTTTACATGGAATCTATTGAAATAATAAATTTTCTATGTTTTTACAACTAAAACATATGATCCAGATTCATTTTCTGGTAATGATGTTATCATAAGTAAATAATACATTTTTGTAACATTTGAAACCTTTTATTATGATGACATAGTACTAAATTTATCATCCCTAAAATAGTACTTAGAATAAATACTTTTACAATTAGAATTTGGTTGAGGAAAAAAAAAACCTCTCATATAATTCTGCATTTTTCCTGTGGCATATTTAGTAAACTCTGTGTTTTTCATCTTTCAGTTTATGCTGCTTTTTTTTTTTTTTTTTTTGACAGAATTTCGCCTTGTAGCCCAGGCTGGAGTGCAGTGGCACTATCTCCAGCTCACTGCAACCTCCACCTCCCAGGTTCAAGTGATTTTCCTGCATCGGCCTCCCAACTAGCCGGGATTACAGGTGTGTGCCACCACGCCCTGGCTAATTTTGTATTTTCAGTAGAGACCGGGTTTCACCATGTTGGTCAGGCTGGTCTCGAACTCCTGACCTCAGGTGATCCATCCACCTCGGCCTCCCAAAGTGCTGGAATGACAGGCGTGAGCCACTGTACCCGGCCAGTGCTGCTTATTTCTGAAGCTCACTTTTGGAGTTGCAAGAACTCCCTCTTCACTGGGAAAAACGTAATTGAGGCAAATCAAAATCTTTTGGCATTAAGATTTATATCTGCCATGGATTTACAAAGTCTAAGAATAGTCAGAAATCAAACATTTTTTTTCTAATTATTCTTATCCATACTCCCCCTGAGGACAGCTTGTATAGAACACGTTCTCCCACATGACACTGGAAAGTGCAGTTTAGTGTGAGTAGTAAAGTGAAATAGAAAGTAAGGAAAGTGGGAAAATACCAAATTCGCAATAATTCCAAATATTATCACCAAGTATTAATTTGTGTAAAATAAACCCCAAGCTGGTCATTTGCCACATGTATTCCACCTGTGTTGTCACTAAACTGCATCTATGTTCTGGCTGTTATGCTGATTGAGTGTACTCGGCAAACGTGGGCAAGACAGGCAGGGTGAGGATGAGCCTGGCAACTGATAAAGCTTTGACCATGTGGGACTGAGGTGCTGCTGAGACTCTCATGGGCCAGAGTCCTCAACAGCAAGCCCTGCCCCTGAGTTCTCCAACAGTCTCCTCTTCTGCAGACTCAGAGTCCCTGCTGAGCTACTCCCCAGACAAGCAGTGCAAGTGAGCAGCTGGGACACCCCAGCAGGGAGGTTTCTGTATTGGTCTGTACCACTGTGGGAGGAAGGTGTATACCTTGCATTCAGTAATAAACCCCAACATCCTCAGCCTCCACCCGGCTGATTTTCAGTGTGAAATCTGTCCCTGACCCGCTGCCACTGAACCTATCTGGCACTCCAGAGAACCGGCTGGAAACTTCATAGATCAGGAGCTGTGGAGACTGGCCTGGCTTCTGCAGGTACCAATACAAATAGGTCTTTCCATCACTATGCAGGAGGCTCTGACTAGACTTGCAGGAGATGGAGGCCGGCTGTCCAGGGGTGACGGACAGAGAGAGTGGAGTCTGGGTCATCACAATATCCGCACTGGATCCTGAAATTATGAGAGAGAAGTGCAAGGTTATGTGAAAGCATAATGAACAACTTTTGAGATTTGCCTTATGATATTGATTTATGGCTAATCTTTTATTTTTACAAATTTGTATTCATATCATAAAAACAAAATTTTAAATGAACCCTTTATTAAATAGGCACAAGAGTTCTTTCATTTCTCAAGATATTATTCAGAGCACTGCTTTTAGGAGTTTTCAAATCATCATCAGGGCAAAATATGAATTCCTCTCCCTGGAGCATAGGGCATATTCCTTTAACACATGGTTAGAATAAACACGGGAATCAGTGGGGCCGCCAGAGCTCAGCCTCCCACCCCCTCCTCCTCCCTCATCTCCTTCCATCCTTACCAGGGATCCAGAGCATTAGCAGCCCCAGGAGCTGAGCAGGGAGCCTCATGGTGAGAAGATGAACTGAGAAGTCCTGATCAGTCAAGGCAAGGTTAGAGCTGAGCTTTTATCTCAGGCTCACAAGGGAAGGTCCTCCCTAGGGGACAATATGCAAATCACCTGGTGGGTGCAGTGGTGTGGAAAGAGCCATTGGGTGGGGGGTGAAGGGGGTAGATATGTCTTCTCTGTGAGCAATGTGATATAAAGTGTCCCTTGGAGGAAACTAATAAAACCTAATTCATCATAGAGGAGGAAGAAGGACCTGAATTTGAAAGTTTCAATCTTGGGCAAGTAACGTTTTATAGGATGTCAGGGCTTCCAAATTCTTGTCAACTCTGAGGGTGAACCCTTGTCTCCCCCTGGCCTGTATGTGGCACAGCCACAGCCATGACACCACAGTTCAAAATGAGATTCTCTATGTAGGAAGAGCAAGAACTGGATCCCTGGTTTTAAGTCTCAGGGTCAGCAGTACTATGGACGACATTTTCCTAGGTTTTTATTGAAAGATGATCACAGGTCAGGCATATGAATCTACCACACAACTCATCGTTACAATAGGAAAACAACTTGAGTATTCTTCATTTGTCAGTGATGTGCTTAATATTGAATTTAGCTGCTCCTGAATAACGGTGCGTACATCAAATCACTTCACAGAGACTGCCACTGTCCTGAAAAAAACAACAAAAATCCTGGGAGCAATTAAAAGAATAGTTTCTAGTGCTATGTAATCTTCAGTGATTTAATACAACATCTGATTTACTTGGTAAAGAACACACACCCAGAAAAGCAAAACAGAGCTCTAGGTGTTTTGCACACAAAGCTTGTCCTGATTATCTTCCGGGAAATGCACTGGCATATGATGTTTTAACAAAGTTGGTGAAAAAAATTGAGTAAAAATGATATTGACCTTAAAACGTTGAACGTCATGGCAGTAACCTAAATTGAGAATATCAAATTGTAGTGTGGAAGTAGGATTAGAATAAATGTATCATATTTCACTATTTAAATTTTTATTTATTCTATTCTTTCATCACTTTTTGTAAATCTTATGTGTTTCACTTTTTTTTTTTCTTGAGACAGTCTCTGTCTGTTACTCAGGCTGGAGTGTAGTGGTGCAATCTCTGCTCACAGCAACCTCTGCCTCCTGGGTTCAAGCAGTTCTCATGTCTTTGGAGTAGATGGGACTACAGGCATTCTCCACCATGCCCAACTAATTTCTGTATTTTTAGTAGAGACGAGGTTTCCACATGTCGGCCAGGCTTGTCTCGAACTCCTGGCCTCAAGCGATCCACCTGCCTTGGCCTCTGAAAGTGCTGGGATTACAGGAGTGAGCCACGGTGCCTGGCATTGACTTCTTTTTTCTTGTGATGCTGAGCAGGTCAAATATGGTTCTTAGCCTTGGAAATGTCAAACTCCTAATTCATCATAATAGTTAAAAGAGTCAGAAACATCAGATGCTGAAAAGAAAAATAAAAGTAAAGACACAATCTAAAAGAGAACATTAAGGTACATCTTATCACTGGTATAAACGGATTAGTCTGAAAAGGTGTTAACTGAATAATCAGTTCCACCCACTATCCTATATAGAAACTTGCATTGTGGGAAAACGAATAACAGTAATAAATCTGTCAGGCTTGCTTTTACTATTAGTCAATTCTTCAAAATCTTAGTTTTACAAAGTATTCTTTAAGGTGCTGAATTTCAGAGAGTACTGCTGTTTCCTTTGAAAATTAATGACAGAGCTTTAAAAAGTTTACGATTGGGATTGGTTGTTTTATCTCATAATCTCTTGTCATTACATATCTGAAAATGTAAAACCTTGTAAAAAATTGTTTCAATCATAAAAAGGCTCTGAAATTACCCTATACTAAAGGCCTTGAAATTACCCTACATTATTAAACTTAGAGAATAATATTCTTAATTCTAAAGAGGAACCCCTCTCTCCTGAAGGTTTAAATAGAGTACACAGAGGCTTCACAACAGCAGACAAAGCTGGTCGCTCCATGCTGGACACAGTTAAAAAGGTAGAAGAACAGCCTCTATTTGATTCAATTGTGGAGCGGCCTCTGTATTTCTCGAATCTGGACCATGATCAGTCGAATGAGGAAGGACTCATCCGGGTGGGGTTTATTGCATCTCACTTGCCAGATGCTGTTAGTTTGCAGTCCATAAAATTGAAGGCAAGTGTATTATTTGTATGACTTGAGAAGACAGCCTCGGAGGTGGAATTGTGTCCATTATGCTGGAGTCAGTGTTTGTGGGGTGGATAGTGTGGTCCTGTTTATAGAGAGTTTGAAAAATTGAGGTTCTGATCAAACAGAAAGAGATGTCCATAGGGTGGCAGTAGCACACATGACTGTTGTTGGGTGAAGCTTTGACAGATTTGCCCAAAGGAGTCCCTCACAGCAGGAGACTGTCTAGAATGAAAGATGTTGGGGCTGCTACTCAGAAAAGGTGGAGAACAAGGGAAATCCTAAGGTAAAGGAACATTGGAGAAAGGCATTCTCTGTCTAGGGGTAGCCAGACAACAGCTTAATCTGGGTCTGAGATATCCAGAGGGCAGGAGTGATTTGCAATTTTCATCTCCTGGGGCTTATCTTACCTACTGCTAACAGATGTGGGTGAGGTTTCCTGTGATATGAAAAGCAAGCATTCTCTGAATGGCTAAAAATCTTCTTTCGGGCTGGGCGCAGTGGCTCACGCCTGTAATCCCAGCACTTTGGGAGGCCAAGGTGGGCAGATCATGAGGTCAGGAGATGGAGACCATCCTGGCTAACATGGTGAAACCCCATATCTACTAAATATACAAAAAAATTAGCCAGGTGTGGTGGCAGGCGCCTGTAGTCCCAGATACTCAGGAGGCTGAGGCAGGGTAATCGCTTGAACCCGGGAGGCAGAGGTGGCAGTGAGCAGAGATCGTGCAACTGCACTCTAGCCTGGGCAACAGAGCAAGACTCGGTCTCAAAAAAAAAAAAAAAAATAATCTTTGGGCTGTTTTTGAAATGATTGGATTGGAAAACTTGAGTGTGGCACAGGCCATTTAGAAATAGCCTGCAGTTTAGAAACACACCACATAGGGGCAGTTTGCACTGGCCATCTTTAGCTCATTTCTACAACACTGTCACACATTCTGTAAACTTTTTTCTGCCGACTGTACTTGTCCAAACAGGGAAACTCACACTGTTCTGGAGGAGATTGAGACATACAGAGGCCTGTTCTCCACCTGGACCTCAATGGAGGTTTTTCCTGACTAAAAGTGAGAGTTTGCCCCTGTGTAAGAGGCGGGCGGATCACGAGGTCAGGAGATGGAGACCATCCTGGCTAACACGGTGAAACCCTGTCTCTACTACAAATACAAAAGATTAGCCAGGCGTGGTGGCGGGCGCCTGTAGTCCCAGCTACTCTGGAGGCTGAGGCAAGAGAATGGCTTGAACCTGGGAGGCGGAGATTACAGTGAGCGGAGATGGCGCCACCATACTCCAGACTGGGTGACAGAGCGAGACTCCGTCTCAAAAAAAAAAAAAAAAAAAAAAAAAAGACCAAGTCACCTACAAAGGGAGCTTCAGTCTCTGACGCTGCAGGTCCTGTGACTAGATTCCTGGCTCCAGACACCTGAGATTGAAGCTGTCTGCATTATCTCACTAACTGAAAATTGTCACCACTGGGGCATAGATTCATGGATAAATATTCTGGTACACAGAGAGCTCAGGGAATGAAGGCTTCTTGTACGTCTATATCTTGTGCTTCTGAGAATTTCTCTCTCTAAAAACTGGAGAAAACAGAGTTGTTTACATGTTTGACCTGGAAGGCAACATGTAACATGTTTCTGAGTCTTCAGACCCTGTTCTAACCTGCCAAATCTGAAACTGTTTCTAAACGTTTGGATTATTTGTCTTTCCTTTTGCTTAAAAAAAAATGGAAAAAAGTCCTATAAAACAACAGACTGAGCTGTGAGATTCAGTGCTGGAGTTTTCCTTCATGCATGTTAATCTTTCTGCAGAGCCCACCTCACCAAACATCAATACAAAAAGCGAAACAATAATTCCATTGCCTCCCTGGGCCTTCTGCATCTTATAAGTTCCCTCGAAATTCTCACCCTTATAGAAAGTAGGTCTCTATAAAACCACTCCTCAAAAGTAGGTTTCTAGAAAATCACAACTTGCCTGGAAGGTTATTAATTTTTTCCACCATGTGAACATGAAAGTTGTCTTTTTGACCTTATATTAAAGCTTGGTTTAATTGAGAGGTGGAGGGTGGAGACCCCAAGAAGATTCTGGGGACGGAATCGGGAATTTGAGCCTTTTAAACTGCAGTGGAAACTGCCTGTGATGTAAAAATTTGTATGAATATACCAAGAAGACAAATAAATTTGTTTCTTACTTTTTAATTTAGAGAGCATGGTTCACCTACAGAAAAATTAAAATTATAATTTGAGAATTTTGACATTTATTACTCATTTTATATTAATTTTAAGATCAACAAAATACTCATATACATTTTGAATGCAGAAATGTTAAGACCTTCAGGAAAAAATCAGAGACAAAATCAAATCACTTAATTTATAAAATCAACAGAAATTCTCTTTTAGCCTCTTCCTGTCAACTCCTGTTCATAAAAATCTAAAGTTCAGAATAAGAAAGAGGCAGGGGCTGAACAAATTACCTGGTGTTCATTCCTTGTTATAACAACAATAATGGTAATAATAACAATAACTGCACAGCCTCTACATGGACACCTGGAAATGGTGACTCTGCCTTATGGAAGCAGCAGCTTCATGTCATAGTGGTAAATTTCACTTTTACTGGTCCTTTCTTGGCCAGGAGTCAACGATCACCCAAAGTTCACATGCGCTATGAAGCATTAACTGTGCTCAAATTTCAGTACTTCTCCAAATTTGTTTTTCTAAAATATATCCTAGCAAGAAAAGAATGCAAGATCAGTAATAAAATAAAGTTAAATAAAATAAATTTTAATCTCCTAGAAGCAGTCAGGGCATGAAATTATAAAGTGTAACAAAGGACTATAGATATGACTGTGTCTTAGAGACTTACTTTACCAGCTCTTACTCCTATTTAATGTTCTTACCCTAGAAAATGAAGAATATCGTCAACCTAGAAAATGACTTTTTGTATTGTGAAATCCTAGCAGTCCTAGGTAGAATTTAAAGCCTAATATGAGAATCTCTGTTATCCGCTTATCCCAGAAAATCTGATTGCACAAAAAGTGTCTATATTTAGCACATTAAAACAGAAAACCTATTGATCCTGTGGAATACTGTAGCAAATATGTGCAAGTTTATGATACTCATGAATAGACCTTTAAACTTGAGCAACATCTTTTGTTTCCAGGTTGATGCTAAGGTATTAAATTTCAGTAAAAGTAATTTGTCTTGAGCTCAAACTAGCTTATAATATTTGTCATTACATACAGTTCAGCTTATTCAGAACTGGTAAGAAAATATGACATCATGAGAAAACTGTTATTAAATTTGCCCCAATATTAATATTTGCAGAGAGACTGAGAGGCATGATTTGCACAACCGTATTCAAGATATTAAAATGTTTAATGGAATAGGCAAATCCATAAAAGAAATAAAAACTTTAGACCAGGTTTAATATACTTATCGAGAATTTGACTTGTGTAGCCTACTGAGTTATTGACAGAAGGACTGGGTAAGAGTTGGTGCAGTAGAAGTCAGGACATCACAGTGTCAACTTTTACCCCTTCCTCATTAGAAAGCCAGGCCAGAAACTGCCCTGACACAAGGAAAATTATCAGAAAATTCCTGGAGAACTCTTTGTGACTGCCTGGTCATACTCTGGCTATGGTTGGGAGGCTGACCTCTCCCAGCTGGTATTGCACTGCAGCTCATATTTCTGGGTACTCAGCTCTATAGCTGCCATCAAATGGCATTAAATGGTTTACCCAAATCAATAAGGTTACGATAGTATGTGCTTCATAAACTTGGAGAGAATCAGAGTTCCTGATGATAGGTATATGTATTCCATTCCATTCTGTTTCATGAGAGTCTTTATTTAAAAAAATGAAGGAAGCTCACAGCGGCCTTTTTGGAATCTAGAGGCAACAGATTCTACACCGTGGAATACTGGTCATGTCACCATCCAGGTGACATGGAAGTCTTCCCAGCCTTTAGTGGAGACCCAGGGCAGAAAAGGGCTCTGCAGCAGCTCCAGCCTGCACTGTAGGCAACAGTGTCTCTTGGGCCCATGCAGATACAGATGACTTGCCAAAGCCATCAACCATGTGGGTAGGATTGACACTGAGAGAACACTCTGCCACAACAGCAGACTCCATAGCCATTTTAAAACATTAGCTAAGAGAGATCATGCTTTGGGCCACAAGTTATTTCAAAGAAATTAAATGGATTTAAATCATATAAAATAAAGTTTCAGAAGCCAAGGGAAATTTATTAGGAATCAATGACAGAAAGCTATCAGAAAAAAATCTCAATATTTTAAAACTATGTAACATACTACTAAATAAAGCCTGGGACAAAGATGAAACCAAGAGATGGACATTTCAAAGCAATCTGAAGTGAAAGAAAACACATATCAAAAGTTGTGGGATGCAAGAAGACATTTAATTTATAACACCGAATTTCTAGAAATATTCATGCATTTTAGCAAATAAATTTTCAAACCGATCCCCTGAGCTGCCACCCTGACATACAAGTACAAGAAGAGCAAATTGTGCTCAAAATACTTTATTCTTAAAAATGTGGGCATGTGATGAGCACATGTCTAGTATTGCAGCAAGGAAATCACATCAGCCTGGAAATAAAAACCCACATTAGCAGCTTCACAGGAGAAAGTGGATGGGCAGAGTAAGTAAGTGTGCAGAGAAAATTGGAAGAAGATAGGAAAAGTGAAAATAGGAATTGTGTGTAATATTAATACAGGCTATGCATGTGTGAGACTCCTGTGAGCTTTGACTTGCTCAAAAGCAAAAATCATGCAGTGCAGACAACTTTCAATCCTCAGAGTGTTGGTGAGAGTGAGGTCATTTGGCAAAGGGAGGACAAAGTGCCCCGAAGGTCATCAGAGGCAGCAGGTGAGGTCACGACCCACCAGGATCCCGTCCCAGTGACGTGAACGAGCATCCCTGAAGCCATGAGGGCAGCAGGGAACTTCATGGTTGCTCCAGAGAGGACATGGCAGCCACTCCCTGGAGAGTCTGTGGGGCCTGAACACCCTAAGTTGGGAGGAAGGAAGAGGCTCTGGGAGGCTTCCTGGGGGCCCTGGCCCTGTTCGCACAGAAGTAGAGCCCATGCCTGTAAGTGAGGACTCATGACCTCCTCTTCAAAGGCTCTCCAGCCATCTTCACCTGAGCCCATCTGCTGTGGACTCCATCTCTGGGCGCTGCAGTTGCTGGTGCTGCACTGAGAGGCTGAGCCTCCTAGGGAGGCTGCGTTTGAGGCCCTCGGGCTGTGCAGGGTCCTGGTGAGTTTTCTGCTCACAGGAGAACGTGCAGCATCTCCAGGCTCCAAACTGGTGCCTGTGATGAAGAAATGAATAAAATTTTGATTGTATGTGTGTCCTTACTTTTTGGTATGTGTAAAAATATACTCTGGAGACTTGTTATTAATTTTGTCTTATACACCACTTGCTATAAACCAAATTTTTACTGTATATGTTGTCTGTCTGGTTAAAACTACAGATTTAATTATGCTTGTCATGGAATACATTATCTTTAATAGAAAATTATCTCGAATGTAACATATTTCTTTAATCTAAATCTGGATTACTTTATCCTGTTGATTGCAACATTGTTTTACTTTAGTCATACCACACTATAGGACGTAAATCACAGGCTCATTACTAATTCACAAATATTCATAGAGAACTATTTTAAATTGACTCTATGGAAAGCATACATTTTTTATATCACTATTGTTAGAATGTGGGAATCAGGTTTATGTCCAAGTACTGACAAGGTACAGTGAAAATAATACATTAATTTATTGTTTAAAAATGTTTTACTTTTTTTGACTAAATAGTACCAACATAGTCACTTCTAAAACTTTATTTGTGTTTAAAAAAAAATGAAGGGAATCTTCATTCCCAGGTACAGCAATGTAGATAGAAGTGGAAAGGCCAAAACAACCACTGCAAAAGGTACAAACCATTTAAAACAATAGAATACCAAAGTTAGAATTAAATGACTTTAGAAAGTAGTGGAAGGAATAAGGAATGAATGATCTAAAATTCCATAGTAAAAAGAACCTTTCATTGTTGAGCTGATGCTCACCTGACTTTTTGTCCTTCTGCCATAGCCGCCAAGTTTGCCTGTGGAAACAAGCTCTGACTTGGTACAGGCAGAGGAGCTCTCCTGGGAAAGGAGAATCCAGCTGAGCCTTGGGGGTTGCACAGGGCAGCCTCTATAAGTGGCCCGTGCTTTCCATGGGACACATGTTGAGGTCTGAGTCAGCAGGCAGGGATGGAGGTGCTGGGCTACAAGGACATAAAACTTCCACAGATTCAGCATGCTCCCCCAATCCCCAAGGCTACACAGATACATGTATCCCGAATACATGTCTGAATCATGGACACTGGTCTCCATCCCCACTGCGCCCCCTGCTGGTGTAGACCCTGCTGGGCCTTCTGCTCAGCATGTCAGTGCTTGTGACATCTCCAGACCCAACCAGCAGTCTCTAGGGACAGAATGAGTTTCAGATGCTCTGTTTGGCTGTGTGGGGTTGACAAGATATGAGTGACATGACCTCAGGTCTCCTTGCACAGGGATTTCACTAAGCCTTTGGTGATTACAGATCTAAAACCCTTCCCAAAGCATTATTTTCCCAGAAAATTCGCAGTGATGCAGGCTCCACCCAGGAAGCCAGGTAGTGGTGCCTTCAACTCTGTGATTCTTCACAAGAAACACATCAGGCCTCCTGGGTCCACATCATGAACTGCCAACTCCACCACCATCCACATCCCTACCTACCAAAGGCCAAGGGTAGTTTAATTGAAGCTGACCTCTCCTGGGTTTCCTTCATGCTTTCATCCCTAATGTCTGCCCAATCTTAAATTCTTAACATTTGGAAATAAAAACGTTCACATCATTCTGTACTTTTCCAGTTTTCTATGGGAAAAATTATATACTCTACATTTTCCAGTATATGCTTTTTATTTTTGAAAACAACTTCTGGAATTTCAGGTACTCCTTTTTTCTATCATTAAGAGGTAACTAAGGCTAACTAAACAGTTTTAGCATTAGGATCTTGTATCTTCTATGAATTTACAAAAATCTATTTGATACTCCAAAATCAAGATTTTTACTGACTGTCCTCAGCCAGCTTCCGCTTAGGATAACTGGTATAGAATGCTGTCTCTACTCTATTTTGGGAGTGGGAGAAAAGGGGAAGCAGGAAGTTAGAAAACTGGCAAAATACCAACATTAAATATTATCAAATGTCCTCTGAACAATATGCCAAAAACTGCTAAACCCAAAGATGTATCCAACATGGATAGTCACAATCTGTGTCAATGGCCTGGCTGCTCTGCTAATTACATTTAATTAACAAATGGACACAAGGTAGGGAGAGTTAGGGTGAGCTTTCATTCTCCTCCCCCTTCCATCTTGCTTGTTTACTCACAGGGCACTTGGACCCCTCATTCTCCTGCTGCTTATGACAGTCAAGGTGGTGGCAACTGGCAGGGCATAAAGGAGTGGTGCCTGAGGTGTGGCTGGGCTCTCAAAGTCCAGAGTCCTCAGATGTGAATTGTTCCCTGGTTCTCCAGCATCTTCCTCTTACACAGATTCTGAGACCCTGCTGAGCTGCTCCCCAGACAAGCACCACATGTGGGCAGCTGGGCCACTCCACAGGGAGGTTTTTGTTCAGGGCTGTACCACTGTGGGAGGCCAGTGTGTACCTTGCATGCAGTAATAAACCCCAACATCCTCAGCCTCCACCCTGCTGATTTTCAGTGTGAAATCAGTGCCTGACCCACTGCCGCTGAATCTGTCTGGGACCCCAGAGTCCCGGTTAGAAACCTTATAAATTAGGCGCCTTGGAGATTGGCCTGGCCTCTGCTGAAACCAATTCAAGTAGGTGTTTCCATCACTGTATACGAGGCTTTGACTAGACCTGCAGGAGATGGAGGCCGGCTGTCCAAGGGTGACGGGCAGGGAGAGTGGAGACTGAGTCATCACAACATCCCCACTGGATCCTGAAATAAATAGAAAGAAGAGCAAGGTTATGTATAAAGTTTATGTGTAATTTTCATAAATTTTGATTTGTTGTTTATTTCAGGCTATATATGTATTTGTTCATATTTCAAAAATACACAGTTTCAAAATGGAACTCAAGGGATCCAAGGCTCAAAGGGGTCTCCAGAAGACCCCACACCATCCCCTTTCTGTGTCAGTCTTCCCCAGAGCACAGATCCTTGTTTCTGCTTGAATCTTCCTCACTCTCACAGATCTGATCATCACATGCCCCACTCTGGAGGACAACATGTGCATGTCCAATACAGGAAAGGAACACACATAGGAGTGTAGTGAGACCCCCAGAGATCACTGTTGTTAGAGGCAGTGGGGCCCCAGAACTCACCGTTCCATGCCATTCTCCTCCCTCATCTCCCTTCTACCCTTACCTGGGACCCAGAGCATTAGCAGCCCCAGGAGCTGAGCAGGGAGCCTCATTGTGAGAAGGTGAACTGAGGAGTCCTGATCAGTCAAGGCAAGGGTAGAGCTGAGCTTTTATCTCAGACTCACAAGGAAAGTCTTCACTAAGGGATAATATGCAAATCACCTGGTGGGTGCAGTGGGGTGGAAAGAGCCAAGGGGAGGGTAGGAGCCTCTCTTGTGAGCAAAATGACTTAAATATCTTCTCTGTTTGGAGGGAAACGAATAGGCATAAAATCTATGCTGTCTATGTTGGAGAAATTTAAGTATTTCCTTCTGTCTTCCCTAACAGATTTCTTGTTTCATAGTACTCTCCCAGGCACATTTTATACTTCTTGTTAATAAGGCCATGTTTCCACAAATATTTACTAATTCTTATGTTTTTGTTCATTTTTGTTTAAAAGAGTTCAGATTTGGCCCTTTCAATTTTTTAAAAATTTAAATAAAACACACACAAAGTAAAAGACAGAAATGTTAAAAAGTGCAACCGAATAAAGTTTTACATATATTCTCCACCGAGATTAAACTGTAGAATACTGCAGAATCTCCAGATTCTTCCCTCATGTACCTACCTTTCAGGAAACAGCTGTTTCCCCATCCCAATCAAGGAAACTGGCATTCTGACATCTGTCCAAATAGATTGGCTTTCCCTATACGAAACCTCATATAAACGGAAGTAAACATGTTGGTTTGGTCTAGCTCTTTTTTTGTTCCCTTAGTACTTTTGAGGCCTTCCTTCCTCCTTACAGATTCAAGTTACTGTCTGCTGTCATTTTTTGTGAATCTGAAGAATTTCCTAGATAAATTGTTATACAGCATGTCTTTAAGTAATTATTTCTCTTCATTTTTGTTTATCAAGAAATGTTTTTACTTTACTTTTATTTTGAATGCATACTTTCACTGGATATTGAATCCTAGGTTTTGTTTTGTTTTGTTTCCCTGCATTTACATATGTCATTCCGCTGTTTTCTAGCCTCCTTTGGGCACGATGAAAAGTTAGCTGATGGCTTTATCACTGTATTTCTGTATATAGAGAGTCATTTTATTTTTGTGCATTTGCGATTTCCTCCTTGTCGCTGGTTCAGCATTTTAATTATAATATGTATAGTTATGTGTATCATTGTGTTTGTCCTGAATAAGTTCTTTCAATTTCTTTTATCTATAGACGAATGAGTTTCATTGCTTCTTGAAAGCTTTTGTCATCCCTCCAAAATTTTTTTGGCCACTTTCTCTGTCTTCTCCTTTCTGACTCATTGCATATTTCTGGTCTTCTTCACATTGACTTGTAAACCTCTAAGGTCATGATTATTTTTCTTTAGTCATTTTCTTTCTTTTTCAGATTAGATCATTTCTACTAAATTGTCTTCAGGCTCATTGATGCTTCTGCCAACTTAAACTCCTGTTGCCCTATCTAGTGAATTTTCCATACTGTTTTTATAGTTTTCATCTAGAATTCCTATTTGTTCCTTTCCCATAGTTTCCCTTTCTCTGTTGAGAGTTCTCATTCTTTGAGTAATTGTCTTTATATTTTCCTTTTTCAGTCCTTGCTCATAGTTTTGAATATTCTTTGAAGCATTTATGTGACAACCACTTAAAACTCTTAGCAAAATCCAGTATTTAGGAACAGTCAAGAGTCAGCTTCCACTGACTGATTTATCTCAATATGGTTTATGATTTTCTCTTTCTTTTCAGGAATTTTAATGGAAAAATGCCGGTTGATAATATATTTTTTATGTCTCACAAATAATATATAATTCTGCATTCTGTTTTATTTTTCTAAGATTGTTGAATTTCCTCTTAATTGACTGGTCTTATGCTGCAGAATCTATCCCTTACTAGCTGTTTGGCGATTGATATTTCTGATTTTTTTCATTTTAAGTTTTAGCCAGAAGCCCTACCTGTGTCTGCACAGTTTGGTAATCACCAGTAACTTAGGCATTTGTGTTGCTCAAACTCCTTGACCTCAATAATCTACTTTCTGCCAATGTATATGTGTGTGGCTTGAAGCGTGCCCATAAAAGACACCTCCTTCACTTTTATTCACTGGGCCCACTTGGGTCTCTGTCACTCAAATATGCAATTTCTAAGTCACATCTGCTCATTCTAAGAATGTGTGCAGGGATGATCTCTATAATTCTATGACTCCATGGTTTCCAGTAATCCATTATCAAGTTTTAGCTGGTGTACCAGTCTCCCAGGGTCATCACCTTGGACTTGCAAAACTCTGGGCCTTTTCTGGGCATTTCCTGCAGAGTTCAGCACCATTAGCTGAAAACACTGAAGGATCTTGTTCTACTCTCCAACCCAGCTCAAGTCAATCCCGTTTGGCAACAAGCTTCCAGTTGTTGCTGCCATTTCAGCTGGTAAAACTACAGTTCTAAAATTCTTGTTGACGAAGCTTGGGTGAAAAAAAGCAGTTCCAGGCAAAAGGCCATAGACTTTTCCTATCTGTTAGTCCGAGGTGCACCATTTTGTAAGCCCCCCTGCCATTTTGTAGACCTTGGTTAAAGTGAAACATTACACGGGGGGTTGGAACTGTGAGAAACATCCTGCCTAACCACGTGAATACAGGAACATCCCTATCGTCTTCTGCTGGACAGTGGGCCCAAGAAACATTCTTATCACGCCCCGCTGGGCAAAAGGCCCAAGGAACATCCTTGGCAAAACCGCCTGACCACAGGAACATGTTATCAACGTCCTGCCGGGCAGCAAGTAATACCGTCTAGACCCCTCCCGCCCATACCTATAAGTACCCCAGCCTGTAAGCGGCAGCGGGTTCTGGTATTAAGCTAGTCCCCCACCTCCACAGTCTTGTGCTGGACATAAAACCTGCTTTGCTGTAGAGCCGCCAACTCTCTCTCTGTCTTTCTTTAACCCTTCCCTTCCCTTCAAAACCTAACACTGTCCTTACCCAAAGCTCTCATCCTTTTCAAGATACAGCCATATCTCCTTTTATTGTGTTTTGCTTTACTGTGCTTTATAGATACTGAGATTTTTACCAATTGAAGGTTTGTGGCAACTCTGCCTCAGGTAACTCTTTTGGTGCCGTTTTTCCAGTGGTAGGTTCTTACTTCCTGTCTCTATGTCAGTATTGCTCAGCAATAGTTTTAAAAAATTAAGGTATGTACATTTTTTAGGCATAACACTATTGTACATTTAACCGAATACAAGATAGTGTCAACATAACTTTTATATGCACTGGAAAACCAAAAAATGAGTGTGACTCCCTTTATGATAATAGTCATTTTATTGCAGTGATTGGAAACTAGACCAGCAATATCTCTGAGGTATGCCTATAAACATGTCTCAATTTCTTTGATGTCTTTGGCAATTTCCAGAGCAGCCACAGTGACGAGGTCTGGAGCGAGGGTGCACTTGCAGTGATGGTGGGTCTGGGGCTGGGCATGGGCTAGTCCACATAAAGGTGGCTTACTGTCTGAGTTGCCAGGGCAGGGTGAGACCCGGAGGCCTGGGTCTGGGGCAGTGCAGAGGGTAAGGTTGATGCCAAGGGGCTGGGAGGTAGCCCTGTCACAGGAGAGAAAACAATGGCTCCTCACTGCGGAGTGCGTATAGCAGCATCTCCCTCTCTGGGGAGTGTGCGACTATGGCTGCAGGTAACTGTCCAGGCAAAAGCACCAGTGGCCCCTGTGGAGCAGGCTGCTGTGATCCTCGACAAGAAATATTAAAGGGCCTCCACTGGGAAAGCTGAATGGTGGGGGATTGCCTGGGTGGCTGCTGAGGTTATCAGCAGCAAAGGCTGCAGGGTCCTGCCACAGAGCAGGCTATGGGGCCCACAGTGGCACCACCGTTGGCTGATAACAATTGCTTCCCCTTTCTTTGTTCCTAGAGGTATCAGGGCTCTCAGGTGTGCCATCAGCTTCCAGCCATCCTTTGCGTGTGCTTATTCTTGGCTTTTTACTCTATCATGTTGCTGCATGTTTGTAATTGAACTCTTCAGCCCTCCCAGGGTATTGGCCTTCTTGGATAACTGACTAATTGCTGGGTTTTGTGAGGGCTGAAGCCTGGTATCTCTTACTCTGCTATCTTGCTAACATCAGTCCCCAGGACATCATTTTGGTGATGATATTTTGAATTTTGCCCTGACACTATTATGGAATAATACTTAGACTTGATGGGGTGAGAATTAGAGCATTTAACATGTAAGAGGGATATGAATTGTTTGGGCCACAGGGTTGACTGATGCCAGTTATATCCTTCAAGATGGCTGTCACAAGGCCTACCATTCTACAGGTTCCTCTAAAAGTGTGATCTCTGGGTGGGGTTTCCACGATGCCATATGCCTATCTCCCCCCACAGTTAATCAGAATTCTGAATCTCATATTCTTTATAATTTGACTTTCCTCTCTGTTAATTTCTTCTATATGTATTCATCAAATAATATTTTTAATTTATTTGTTTAAAACCCTATAAGAAGGAATTCATACAAATAAAACCTAATTCATGAATCTTTGTCTTTGTGCCTAGTGCTTTGTGTGTTCTCTTTAAGAAATTTATTTCTGCACCTGTTTATGATATATGTTTTTATGCTCTTTACTAAAAGCTTTATTATTTTGCCTTCATATTTCATTTTATGATTCATTTAGAGTTGATATTTATATAATATAGAGGTGAAATATAGAGGTCAGGATTCATTTTGATGTAATATAGATATCTTATTGATCCAATACAGTTCACTTATTATATATTTTTCTACTGATCACTGCTCTGGTCTGAATGTCTGCATCTCATCCAAGATTCCTGTTTACCCCATGCAACAGGATTACAAAGTGGGGCCTTTGGGAGCTGATTATTCATGAGGATTCCACCCCGGTGAATGGGATGAACGCCCAATAAAAGTGGCTTCACACAGAATTTGTCTCTTTTGCCCTTCCACCTCCACAACGTGAGGACACAGCCACAAGCCACCATCTTGGAAGCTGGAGCAGCCCTCATGGTACAAAAAGATTGCCAGTGCCTTGACCTTGGACTTCCCAGCCTTCAGAACTGTGAGAAAGTACATGTCTCTTGTTTTAAATTACCTGACCAAGATATTTTTCTCTTTCAGTATGCATCATCTATGGTAACAGTGTTTTTTTCTTTTTTTTTTTTTTTTTTTTGAGACGGAGTCTCTGTCACCCAGGCTAGAGTGCAGTGGTGCGATCTTGGCTCACTGCAATCTCTGCCTCCCAGGTTCAAGTGATTCTTCTGCCTCAGCCTCCTGAGTAGCTGGGATTACAGGCATGTGCCACCATGCCTGGCTAATTTTTGTGCTTTTAGTAGAGATGGGGTTTCACCACGCTGGTCAGACTGGTCTCGAACTCCTGACCTCGTTATCTGCCCACCTCAGCCTCCCAAAGTGCTGGGATTACAGGCATGAGTCACTGTGCCTGGCCCGTGGTAACACTTTTATCATAAATTGGGTGATTACATATGTGCGGATCTGTAGTTACATTATTAATTAGTGTTATTTGTAACAGGGTTTGATATTGCCTGGTGTTATTCCTTCAATTTTGTTCTTTTTTTTTTTTTTTTTTTTGAGACAGTCTTGCTCTGTCACCCAGACTGGAGTTCAGTGCTATGATCTTGGCTCATTTGCAACCTCTGCCCCCTGGGTTCAAGCGATTCTCCTGTCTCAGCCTCCTAAGCAGCTGGGACTACAGGAATGTGCAACCATGCCTGGCTAATTTTTTGTATTTTTTTAGTAGAGTCAAGGTTTCACCATGTTGGCCAGGGTGGTCTAACTCCTGACCTCAAGCGATACACTTGCCTCAGCCTCTCAAAGTACTGGGATTATAGGCGTGAGACACCATGCCTGCCCTGTTATTCTTTTTTTGTTTTGTTTTGTTGTTGTTTTTTGTTTTTGTTTTTTTGAGATAGATTCTGGCTCTGTTCCCCAGGCTGGAGTGCAATGGTGCGATCTCAGCTCACTGCAACCTCCACCACCCGGGTTCAAATGATTCTCCTGCCTCAGCCTCCTGAGTAGCTGGGATTACAGGCATGTGCCACCACACCTGACTAATTTTGTATTTTTAGTAGAGATGGGGTTTCTCCATATTGGTCAGGCTAGTCTCAACCTCCTGACCTCAGGTGACCTGCCCACCTCAGCCTCCCAAATTGCTGGGATTACAGGAGTGATCCACCACGCCCAGCCCGACCTGTTATTCTTATGCAAGATTCCAATGGCTATTTTTGTCCTTTTTAAATGCATGTGTGATATGTATGTATCTATATATATACACACACACTCTCTATATATATATTATACACATACATATCACTATATATATACATACACCATATATAGTGTGTGTGTATATATATATATATATAGTGCGTGGTATGTGAGTACATATATATATATATATATATATATACTATATATATATGAAACATCATTTCAATTTCACAAAAGTCCTCTGGGATTTTAATTGTCACTGTATTGAATTAATTAAGGGAGAATTATGTTACTCACAATATTAAGTTTTATAATGCATGAATGTGGTATAAACTTCTATTTATTGAAGTCTCCATTGTTTTCTCTCAATAACTAAGCAGCCACCATAGTAGCTTCCCATAAGTAAACAGAAGGCTTGAGGAAAAAACACCAGCTGTCTTGTGGAGGTTTGGTTTCCTGTGGAATCACTGTGGAATACCCACCACTATGCTGATAACAGTGTTAAAGTGCAAAATCTTCATGCTCCAGCCTGCTGATAATGAGACTGAAGTTTTCCCCGAACCCACTGCCACTCCACCAGGCTGGGACATTGGTGGTCCTGGTGGATGCACCATGGATGAGGAGCCTGAGAGCCTGTCCAGGTTTCCACTGATACCCTGCTAAGGAGCTGCTAATAGTCTACTTGGCTCTGTAGGTGAGGGTGGCTTTTTCCCCTAGAGATAAAGACAGGGAGGCTGGAGACTGTCATCACAAGTTCTCTGGTGGTATCTGAAATTGGAATAAAAACAGAAATGTCACACACGTACACTACATCATACCTATTGTCTTCCCAGTGCATCCAGGACCATTGATCTACATTGAGCTTTAATCATTGTGCCTTCCCAGCAGGTGTGCCAGGTAACAGGACTCAACAAGGTTGAGAAAGTTTCACTGACATGCAGAACCATCCGGTGTTTCCTGCACCTGGGAGCCAGAGTAACAAGAATCAAAGCAGCTGAGCTGCAGCTTCCATGGTTCCCTCTGGGTCCTAACTGAGCTGCTCTTTCACAGACCTACCCCCACGGATTGATATGGGCTCTGGACAGCAGGGTGGCTGGGAGAGACATGCATAACAGCCACAGATGGCGCTGGGCTTCGAAACTGCAGAGACCACCTGCCTGGTTCAAATGATTCTCCTGCCTCAGCCTTCTGAGTAGCTAGGATTACAGGCACCCACCACTATGCCCGGCTAATTTTTGTATTTTTAGTAGAGACGGGGTTTCGCCATGTTGGCCAGGCTGGTCTTGAACTCCTGATCTCAGGTGATCCGCCTGCCTCGGCCTCCCAAAGTGCTGGGATTACAGGCCTGAACCACTGTGCGCGGCCACCATTGCTTCTTGAAGTAGATTTCCCAGCACTCCTTTTGCCTTTCTGGTTTCCTAACCATTATATCCTCTGGTCTTTGAAAAGTTGTAATTTAGACATGGATTTCCCATATTAGGAAAAACTTTCTATTTGGGTTACCTACAATAGCTTCTCTTTTGTTGTATGAACCTGGACCAGTGCTGTAACCCAGAGTCCTCATAGGTAATGACTCTTCTATGAAATTAGGAGAGGCATTGCCATGTCTGCTGCTGGGGCTGAGGAGGATAAAAGAAACTAAGGGTGTAGAGACACTTCCCTTACCCCTTCTATGAAAACTGCTCAGTGACCTTCAGAGTGTGGCTGAGTCTGAGAAACACTCTCAGCAGATGGAGGAAACAGGAGAAGCAGCTGGGGCAGCCCACCCTCACATATCTGCTTCCTTGGGGAGCTTATTGGGTTTGTAACACTGTGAGAGGGTCACTTTTATACTGTTGACCAATAATAAGAAGTTGCAGCAACTTCAGACTGGAGGATGCTAATGGTGAGAATCAAATCTGTCCTGGATCCAATGCCACATAACTGCAATGGGACCCAGGTTTGCAAATTGGATGCATCGTAGATCAGGAGCTCAGAAGCTTTCCCTGGCTTCTCTTTGTATCAGGCTAAAACATGGCTAATGCCCTGCCTGACTTTCCTGGCATGTGATGGTGACTCTCACCTAGACAGGAAGACAGCGAGGATGGAGACTGGGTCATCTGCATGTCATATCTGGCACCTGAGATGGGAAACAAAACTATTAACACTATTAACCATGTTATGAGAGGACTTTCCTGAATAGCCAGGTAGTACTGACCACACTGGCTCAGTAAATTCCTAGTGTTCTCCTTCCTTGCCTGAGAGCCAGAGCAGCAGGAGCCCCAGGAGCTGAGCAGGGACCCTCATGTCCATGCTGTGTCTTGACTGGGACTGACTCTTGCAAGTGGTATGACCAGCCTGTGTACAAGTCTTCAGGAAGTTGGCTGTGTTTTTTTGAAAATGAAAATTTCAACAGATGCAAGAATGACTTTACCTGCATAATATTGCACAGGCCTAGTGTCCCCCAGGGGTCCTAAGATTGATCAGGCCTGCATACACTTGTTAGCAGAGAACAAGTTTCTCTCTGGGGGCCACAGAACAGAATCTGTCTACTGTCCTGCAAGGAGATTGCTTTTCTGCTCTGCAGAAGTAGGTCATGACCTACTTTTCTTGCTAGCTTCCCGTCTAAGACCTGGCTTGTTGGAGAAGCACATCTCCAGAATCTGCAATAAATTTTAGAAGTGTCCCGCGTTTGGTACTGATGAATATTATTGAGGCCAGAGAGACTTCTTCTTTGCTCTGATCCTCTAGAGCCCTTGATGTTGTAAATCATCAGCACTATCAGCCAGAGATGCAATGATGAGGTATAAGAAAGATGGATGGATACATAGATGGATGGATAGAAGGACAGATTTATTTATTAAAAATAAGAAAAAGGAAAATGTTAACACAAAATATGTGAAAGTAGTGTAATGCTTTGCAAGGATTGGGTAATCCTTGTACACTGGGTAAACGACATGGCAAATCTCTTATCTCAGACATGTGATCATCTTCCTGTATTTCTACATTTTCTTTCCTACTTCTTTCATCTAGGCCAACATCAGAAATCTTCTCCCTCCACTTCTGAAAAGTGTCAGCTACTCTCTACCTCTGTGTGCCATCATGCATTCCTATGCTAGATGTTTCCTGAGCTCCTTGGATTAATATGTGTGCCTTACGTCATTCTTAAGCTAATATCTTCCGGAAACTGAGATGTTATCTAGACCCAGTGCTCACATCTACTCTTGAATCTACTCTGTTCCATAAACTGTATATCTCTATATTACCAATCTCTTCCAGTTTTTAAGAGAAAGCAGTTCTTAATGACTGGGTTTAGGGCATTTGACCAAAGTAGGTTCAGAAAGAAAACCATGCACCAAAATGAAGGGGAAACCAAAATATTGCACAGAGTGTGAAACCCACATGGCATGGAAAGGGCAGTTGATGTGCAGTAGAGAGGGAAGACCACCAGAGGTGTTGAAGCTATAGTGGAGGGAGGAGGGTATCCCCACATAGGCGCAGGATGTGGGGCGACATCCTCCCACTAGCACATATGTCACAGCTGAAGCAGGATGAGCAGGGCCCTTCAAAAGGGGTAAAGCCAGTGGTACTAGCATAACGGCCCATGTAGATTGAGAAGGTCACCCATGCAGGAGTCAAAGTTAACAGTGAGCTGGCAAAGCATATCAGGGCTAATGCAGGTTGTGAGGCAGAAGAGGGAAGTTGTCTACAAGGAGCGTGTAGGTGGCAATGACAGCAGGAGACTAGTGTCACAAAGAGATGTTGATCCCATAAGTCAGTGTAGTAAGGATAATTAGAGCCAAGGTACCCAGGGAGAAATGTTAGAAATATTTTAAAAGCGCGTACTAGAATAAACTCTATGACTCTGGATTATAGCTATATCAGTGCCAATTCATGGTTTATGTAGATATAGGTAAAAAGATAGATGAATAGATGATGATGATAGATAGACAAATGATAGATAATAGATAGCTCATTTTCTCTAGAAGCGATGACACATCAGTCCCACTGAACACATTTAGTGTGTAGATCTTATTTTTCTGAATGCCGATTTCTACTAAAAGGAATCAGTAATCTTTGGAGAAATGGCTGATGTCAGGTCTAAAATAGGGGAGATGGAAGATGAGCTTGTACCATCTAGTGCCAGAAACTAAAAAAGTGCTCAGAGAATGATGGGATAAAAACAGCAGGTATTCAGAGGCAGTGTGAATGAGGCTCCCATTGGACAAATCAGAGGAGGGTTGACTATGAAAATAAATGATGATGGTAGCAGAGTATAACCCATTGAAGAAAATATGGATCCATGTCTATATTTCGATTAGGAGAGGGATATTCATGAAGTATCAAGAACATCTCCACAAATTCTTATCTCTTTCAAACAGAACAACAGTGAAGGTGCAGGGAGAAGCCTGGCAGACACCCCCTTCAGCAGGAGTCAGATTGAACCTCGTCAGTCATGTGGCAGATGGAAATCACACACATCCCAATAGGATTCAGTGAGAGCACAGTATCGCTTCTGGATATTCCCGCAACAGTTACACTAACAGAGTTCAATCCTGAAGAAAATTCAAACAAATTCATAAAGTCCAAACAAGGACACTGGAACTGTTCTAGATGGAAGAAAACTACGGAGGTACAGGCCAGCAAAGGCAACCCGTGAATCATTTTGTTACAAAAGACATTATTGGAACAATTAACAAAAGTTGAAATACACTTGAGGATTAGATGGAGTGATGCACCAGTGATGATTCCCTGGTTCCACAGATGTATTGGGTTATGTAGGAAAATGTCTTGTCTGAAGGAAATACATAGCAAAGTCTTAAAGGGTGGAACTATGAGGTCATCAAGTTACTCTCAATGGTTTAGGGGGAAATGTGTTACTTTGTACTCTACTTACAAACTTTCTGTAAATGTGAAATTGTTTCAATATTTTAAAAATAAAAATGGCAGCTCTTAAGAGCATACCCAAGCTATTCTAAGGTATTTTGTGATGGCACTGAGCCACACCTGTTACAACCATAAGACATGGAAATTTACTGTAGACGCACAAAGATAACACTGTGCTTTCTCAAAGGTGTGTAGTTCACAGACAAATTATTATCTGAAGACACAGGTCTCTTTAGTATCCATCAACTAAATGGGCATCCTATTCTTGGTTTGGGGACCTACATAGTCTACCCCTCACGACAAATGTAACTTGTTTGTTTTGTTTTGTTTGAGACTGGGTCCTGCTCTGTCCCCTACACTGGAGTGCAGTGGCAAGATCACAGCTTACTCCAACCTCAACCCCTTGGGCTTAAACAATCCTCTTGTCTCAGCCTCCCCAGTAGCTAGAACCACAGGCGTGTGCCACGGCATCTGGCTAATTTTTTCATTTCTTGTGGAGATGGGGTCTCACTATGTTGCCTAGGTTAGTCTCAAATTCCTGGGCTCAAGTAATCCTCCAGTCTCAGCCTTTCAAATGCTGGCATTATAGGTGTGAGCCACTGTGCCTAGACCCATGTAACTTTATTTCTCTCAGCTCATCAGCATGAAAGTTCTGACTGAGGATGCCAAACCTGATTATCAAAAAAACAAAAATCAAATCAAATACAGTTTCTTTCATCAACCAAATAGGATAGCTGTGAAACTGAAGCCTGAATTAGGATAAATGTACAACCTTAAATACCCCAGAACCACTCAGGATCAATTCTCTTCAAAGTAGGATGAAGACAAGATCACATCACCTGGGGAATTGCTCCGAGTTTCACGGAAGACACAGAGGAAGGGAGGATGAGGCTGGAGACAAAGCTAGCTCTGCTGCGAACTCATCAAGGCCAGGGAGCCCTCAACAGCCTGCTGGATCATAAAGGAGCCCTGTCAACACTGACAGAGCATCTTGGTTGGAGGTCTCCAATCTTGTATTTCAATGGAGCTATTGAGTGTCTCAGTAATAATGCATCAATCAAAGCTACATGCACACTCAACATGAGGGACCTCTTGCTCTGGGCCCCAGAAGTGAAGGGCCCTCACCAGGCTCTCCTCCCCTCCAGTCTTTCACAGAGAGAGACTGAGACTGTGCTAATATAGAGCCAATTTTCTTCTACATCACACCCTGATACTTGGGGTCCTGAAACTACCAATTCAAATGTTCTAACCCTAACTTCCAGGGACTTGGCCCCTTCTCTGGGCTCGTTCCTCTGAGAGTAGCTACGCAGTAGGCGTTCCCCGCTCAGACACAAAGTGAGGCCAGGTTTCTGCTGCTGGGAGGCGGGATGGCATGTGAATGTGTGTGAAGTGTCTGTATATGTGTTCAGGAGAACTTGTGTGGTGTGGAAAAAGCAAGAGATGGGGTAATGGCAGTAAAGTCCCAATTGCAACCCTAAAGCACGACCTGCTATCCTCACACTACCAGGTGCTGGTGAAGAACCTTGAGGAGCGAAAAATATTTAAATTCAGACGTAGGCTTCCAGATATTCAACCTGTAGCCAAAAGAGATTAGAATGGACTAGGTTTACACTCCTCTCTGGATTAACTAAAACACAGGACACAATACATGAGGCAAATGTTTTCAAGAAATTGGACATTAGAAATTAAGGATATTGAGCCCAGAAGATTTTAAACCAAAGGAGATGAAATTTGGAACGATCCATCTGAGACCCTGAGGAGAGTTGCCAGAGCATTGTGTAGTGAAAGGAAATCCATGAGGTGCCTGGGAGTGTCCCTGAAGAGAGGAAAAAGAATTGGAGGTCCAGAAAGACAGAGAAACAGAGGAGGGAGTTCAGAGAGAGCCCAGGCTATCCCCAGATGCCTCCCTCAGTATTCCACAGAGCACTGATGAGTACATGCACGTGGAGACCCTACCTAAGGCTGCAGAAAGACTGGCTGAAGGATTACAGGAAGATTCCTCAGTCTCCTCTTTTCATGTCATGAGACACTGCAGATGACTGAGAACCCGGTGGCTCCCCTGAGCTTATTTGTCATGCACTTTTGATGACATGAAGGTTATTCATGTTGGCCTTCTCTAGTAGATTCACCTGGAAAGCATTAAATTTAGCAGGAAAAAAGGGGGCAACCATGCCCTCAATGTGGAGTGGTCATTAGTATTGGTTACAAATGTGAACTGCACTAAGCATAAAGGGATTCATTATGGGATATTAAATAGCTCAAAAATTGTTGGAAAGCCTTAACAACAGGCTCCAGGCAAAACCTCTGGAACAATCTCACAAACTGTACTGCCGATTCAGGCTGCGGAGGAGTCCTTACTGCCTGAGACCCCATATTCAGACTGCCTCCTGCAGAGAAGACAGCTGTTCCTCTCACTACGGCCCACAGAAGGACAGCATCCCTGCCAGCAGCTACCAGAGATCTGACTCCTATCCTGCAGCTCTCCCTGTGTTGATAATATCCCTAAATTCAGTCCCGTTCACATTCATCGTTTTTCATGACTACATATCTTTTTCTATCTCCATCCACCCTTGTGGCTTGACATCACCAATACACACTTTCCCACACTTGAATTCCTTTTTCACACATTAAAAGCAATGTATTAACACCTAACATATTGCAAACGTTGTCTTTACAAGTAACATCAGGATCACTTCTACCTAAAGAATGGGGACACCCAAGACTGAACCAGGAAGAAGTTGAATCCCTGAATAGACCAATAACAAGTTCTGAAATCGAGGCAGTAATAAAAAGCCTATCAACTAAAAAAAGCCCAGGACCAGATGGATTTACAGTTCAATTCTACCAGAGGTACAAAGAGGAGCTGGTACCACTCCTTCTGAAACAATTCCAAACACTTGAAAAGGAGAGACTCCTGTCTAACTTATTTTAAGAGGCCAGAATCATCTTGATACCAAAACCTGGCAGAGATTAAAAAAAAAAAAAAAAGGAGAAAACCTTCAGGCCAATATCCCTAATGAACATTGATGCAAAAATCCTCAATAAAATACTGGCAAACCATATCCAGCCACACATCAAAAAGTTTATCCACCACGATGAAGTTGGCTTCATCCCCGGATGCAAGGCTGGTTCAATATACACATAATTCATCACATAAAGGGAACTAGAGACAAAACCCACATGATTATCTCAGTAGATGGAGAAAAGGTCTTCGATAAAATTCAACATCACTTCATTTCAATAAACTACGTATTGAAGAAATATACTTCAAAATAATAAGAGCCATTTATGACAAACCCACAGTCAATATCATACTGAATGGACAAAAGCTGGAAGCATTCCCCTTGAAAACCATTACAAGACAAGGATACCCCTCTGTCACCACTCTTATTCAACATAGTATTGGAAGTTCTGACCAGGGCAATCAGGGAAGAGAAAGAAATAAAGGGTATTCGAATAGGAAGAGAGAAATTCAAATTATCTTTGTTTGCAGATGACATGATTCTGTATCTAGAAAATGCCATTGACTCAGCCCAAAAGCTTCTTAAGCTGATAAGTAACTTCAGCAAAGCCTCTGAATACAAAATCAATGTGCACAATTGACAAGCATCTACACACCAACAACAGACAAATAGCCAAATTAAGAATGAACTCCTATTCACAATTGCAACAAAGAGAATAAAATACCTAGGATAACAGCTAACGAGGAAAGTGGAAGACCTCTTCAAGGAGAATTACAAACCACTGTTCAAGAAAATCAGAGAGGACACAAACAGATAGAAAAACATTCCATGCTGGTGGATAGGAAGAATCAATATCGCAAAAATGGCCACACTCCCCAAAGCAATTTATAGATTCAATCCTATTCCCAATAAACTACCATGACATTCATCACAGAATTAGAAGAAACAATTTGGCCGGGCGTGGTGGCTCACGTCTGTAGTCCCAGCACTTTGGGAGGCCAAGGCGGGCGGATCACGAGATCAGGAGATCGAGACCATCCTGGCTAACACGGTGAAAGCCCATCTCTACTAAAAATACAAAAAATGAGCCAGGAGTGGTGGCAGGCACCTATATTTCCAGCTACCCGGGAGGCTGAGACAGGAGAATGGCGTGAACCCAGGAGGCGGAGCTTGCAGTGGGCCGAGATGGCACCACTGCACTCCAGCCTGGGTGACAAGGCGAGACTCCGTCAAAAAAAAAAAAAAAAAATTAAAATTCATATAGAACCAACAAAGGTTGTGTAGCCAGGACAAGCCTAAGCAAAAAGAACAAAACTGGAGGCATCATACTACTCAACTTCAAACTATGCTACAAGGATACACTAAGCAAAACAACATGCTACCAGTACAAAAACAGACACATAGACCAACGGAACAGAATAGAGAATTCAGAAATAAAACCACACATCTACAGCCATCTGATCTTCAACAAACCTGATAAAAAGAACAAAAACAAAAACAAAAACAAAAACACAAGCAATGAGGGAAGTACTCCCTATTTAATAAATGGTGCAGGGAGAATTGGCTAGCCATATGCAGAAAATTGAAACTGGACCCCTTCCTTATGCCTTATACAAAAATGAAGGCAAGATGGATTAAAGACTTAATATAAAACCCCAAACTATTAAAACCCAAACTACTTAAAGTATAATTAAAAAAAAAAAAAAACACCAAACTACAAAAATCTAGGCAATACTATTTAGGACATAGACACAGGAAGAGATTTTATGACAAAAATGCCTACAGCATTTGCAACAAAGCAAAAATTGGCAAATGAGATCTAATTAAACTAAAGAGCCTCTGAACAGCAAAAGAAACTATCATCATAGTGAACAGACAACCTACAGAATGGGAGAAAATTTTTGCAATTTATTCATCTGACAAAGTTATAATATCCAGAATTTACAAGAAATTTAAACAAATTTACAAAAATAAAAATAAAAAAAATTAAAAGGTGGACAAAGGACATGAACAGGCGCTTCTCAAAAGAAGACATACATGCGGCCAAGAAACATGAAAAAAGCTCAACATCAATGATCATCAGTGAAATGCAAACCAAAATCACAATGAGACACCATATCACTCCAGTCAGAATGGTGATTATTAAAAAATCAAGAAACAACAGATGCTGTCGAGGTTGCAGGGAAATAGAAACACTTCTAAACTGTTGGTGGGAATGTAAATTAGTTCAACCATTCTGGAAGACAGTGTGGCGATTACTCAAAGATTTAGAACTGGAAATACCATTTGACTCAGCAGTCACATTACTGGGTATATACCCAAAGGAATATAAATCATTCTACTATAAAGATACATGCATGTGTATGTTCATTGCAGCACGATTCACAATAGCAAAGACATGGAATCAACCCAAATGCCCATCAATGATAGAATGGATAAATAAAATGTTTTATATATACACCATGGAATACTATGCAGCCATAAAAAGGAATGAGATCATGTCCTTTGCAGGGACGTGGTTGAAACTAGAAACCACTATCCTCAGAAAACTAACACAGGAACAGGAAACCAGACACCAGATGTTCTCACTTAGAGGTGGAGCTGAACAGTGAGCACACATGGACACAAGGAGGGGAATGACACACACTGGGGCCTTTCAGGGGAGGGTGGGTAGGAGAAGAGCACCAGGAAAAATAGCTAATGGATGCTGGGCTTAATACCTAGGTGATGGGTTGATAGGTGCAGCAAATCACCATAGCACCTGTTTACCAATGTAACAAACCTGCACATCCTGCACATGTATCCTGGAACATAAAATAAAATGAATGGCAAAATCCAAAAACCTTCAGTCCAGAATCCAGCATTCCTCATGGGTCACAAATTTAACCTAAGGTCTAAATTACAAAGGAGACCAGACAACAACACTTTATAAAACTTTAAAGAAAATGGTGACTGTAAAAAGAAAATTTTTCAACAAAATGTATGCATGCCTCACATGATGTTTTGATATCTGTTTTATTAAAATTCTTCCATCCTCTGAGTACTGTCTGTAACCTAGGGTCTAGAAGGGCCAAAATACATTTCCTTGGCACTGTGATAATTTTGTATATGTGCTTGTAGCTTGTGTGTATGTGAGTATATACACACATATGTGGTCATACAACTTTGTTAAAACATAACTGTTTATATAAGTTTATGCAGAAAGCAATGTCTAAATATATATGCAAATGCATATATCATATATAAAAAGATAAATGCACATATGCACACATATATGTATAAACATATGTTTTATTCCTGGAATGTCAACCTAATGATTTTCAACAATCTGTAGTGTATATGTAAAGTTCCATTTTGATTATTCTGTTGAGTATTGCTACATATGTGTATCCTCAATACTAACTATTCCTGTTAGATGTTTCCATAAATGAGCTAAGTTGTATTTTATTTCTTCTGATTTAAGTATTATTTCTTCTATGTTTTTGTTTCTTTATGATTTTCTAAGTATTCATATTTATGCAGTCAATTTTCATTAAATGCATCTATATATGTGGATGTTTAATAATGTATTAGCTTTTCAACAATAATAGTTTGTAACAAACCACTCAAAATGCAGAGGCTTACAATACTAGTATTTATTTTCATGTTTACGGATGTTCATATTAACAATAATTTAGCTGATCTAGACAGGGCTCAGCTGCGTGGTTGTGCTGTAGGTTGCTGAGCTTATCTCTAATATATGGATTTTTTTTTAATTGGGGTCAAGACTGAAGGAGCAGTGATCAGCCAGGGCAGTTAACAACATCCTGAGGTCAAGCTACACAAGCAAATTTAAGTCCCATCAGCTGCAACACACGTATACAATATGTGGGTTTCTTCTTTTGCTTTAGCAATTACTCAAGGTTCTAAAACCTTTTCTCCAATTAAGTTTCAAGTTATGTGATCATGTCACTGACAAATAATTAAGTATTTCAACCTTCAGCATTAAAAAAGCAAATTTATTCTTAAATTAATTAAAGTTAAATCAAATTGAGTAAAAAAAATTGGATGTGTTTTCAACATGTGACTTTAATCAGATTTTCTTAAATTGACATGTTGGATAAAAACAACAAAAATTTCTTAGCTGAAGTAAACATTCCCTAAAACATAGCTTCTTAAACCTTCAATGGATCATCTGTTATCTTATGAAAATACAGATTCCCATTCAATTGATCTAAGGTGGTTTTGCTGTTTTGAATTGGTAACATGCTCTTAGTGTTGCTACTGGGTTCTGGACAAATTTTGAGTAGCAAGGTTTTTATATTAAAAAAATAATAAGAATGTTACATCTGTGTGTATACACACACACACACATATATATATACAAACATATAAGCAAATGTACACATATATATGTATGAACACATGTTATTTATGGAATGTGAACTTAATGATTTTCAATAAATCTATATTATACTATAAAATCCTGTTCTGATTACCTATATATATGCATACACACACAGACACACACACACATATTTTATATATATAATACATATTATATATTATGATATTATATATTGTATATATTATATATGTATATAATATACTATTATATATTATATATGTATATAATTTTATTAATATATATATTATATTATATTATATATTATATTATATTATATTATATATATAATATTAATATTATATATTATTATATATTATATTATATTAATATTATATATATATAATATATATAATATATATAATAGTATTATATATAATATATATAATAGTATTATATATTATATATATATAATACTATTATATATATTATATATAATAGTATTATATATATTATATATATAATACTATTATATATAATATATATATTATATAATATACTATTATATATAATATATAATAGTATATTATATAATATATATATTATATATAATTATATTAATATATAATAGTATCATATATAATAATAGTATATATAATATATAATATATATATTATATATATTATAATAGTATATATAACATATAATATAGTATATATATTATATATTATATATAAAATATTTATGTGTGGGTGTTTGTGTATATATAGGTGTGTGTCTGTGTTTGTATGCATATATATAGGTAATCAGATTATATATATATGTGTATGTATATATACACACACACATACACATACAGGTATTCAACAAAGGTTTTTTTTGGTCCAATGATTGCTATATTATTTAGTGCAATTTCTATTTTTTTTTTTAATATGCAGCTTTTTATTCCTCACCCCCCCCACCCTCTCCACTTCTGTCTCCAATGTTCATTAGATCACTCTGTATGCCTCTGTGTACTTGTAGCTTAGCTCTCACTTATAAGTGTGGACATAAGGTATTTGGTTTTCCATTCCTGAGTTACTTCACTTTGAATAACGGCCTCCACCTCCATGCAAGTTGCCGGGAAAGATATTATTAAATTTATTTTTATGGCTAAGTCATATACATATACATATATATATATATATGAGTCAACCATATACATATATATATATATATATATATATGAGTCAACCATACACATATATATATATAATGTTTATATATATAATGTATATATATAATGTTTATATATAATGTATATATATAATGTTTATATATATAATGTATATATATAATGTTTATATATATAATGTATATATATAATGTTTATATATATAATGTGTATATATAATGTTTATATATATAATGTGTATATATAATGTTTATATATATAAGTGTATATATATAATGTTTATATATATAATGTGTATATATATAATGTTTATATATATATGTAATGGTTTTTCTTCCTCAACTTTTACTTTAAGGTCCAGGGCACATGTGCAGGTTTGTTACATAGGTAGACGTGTGCTGTGGTGGTTCACTGCACAGATCATCCCATCACTTCAGTATTAAGCCCAGCATCCATTAGCTATTCTTCCTAATACGCTCCCTCTCTTCCTCCTTCTCCCTCCACCACAGACCTCAGTGTGTCGTTTCCTCCCGTGTCCATGTACTCTCATTGTTAGGCTCCCACTTATATGTGAGAACATGCAGTGTTTGGTTTTCTGTTCCTGCCTTAGTTTACTGAGGATAATGGCTTCCAGCTCCATCCATGTCCCTGAAAAGGGCATGATCTCATTCCTTTTTATGGCTGCATAGTATTCCGTGGTGCATATGTACCATATTTTCTTTATCTGTTCTATCATTGATGGGCATTTGAGTTGATTCCATGTCTTTGCTATTGTAAATAGTGCTGCAATGAACATACTCATGCATGTATCTTTATAGTAGAATGATTTATATTCCTTTGGGTATATATCCAGTAATGGGACTGCTGAATCAAATGGTATTTCCAGTTCTAAATCTTTGAAGAATCACCACACTGTCTTCCAGAATGGTTGAAGTAATTTACATTCTCATTAACAGTGTAGAAGTTTTCCTATTTCTCCACAACCTCCGCAGCATCTGTCGTTTTTTGATTTTTTTTTTAATCTGAGAAGGAATATCATTCTGTCACCCAGGCTTGAGTGCAGTGGCATGATCTCAGCTCACTGCAACCTCTGTCTTCCAGGTTCAAGCGATTCTTGTGCCTCAGCCCCTCAAGGAACAGGGATTTCAGGCATCCACCACCACCTCCAGCTAATTTTTGCATTTTTAGTAGAGATGAGATTTCGCCATATTGGCCAGGCTAGTCTTGAACTCCTGACCTCAAGTGATCCACTTACCTCGGCTTCCCAAAGGGCTAGGATTACAGGTGTGAGTCACGTTGCCTAACTTATTGTTTTTTGACTTTTTAATAATCGCCATTCTCACTGGTGTGAGATAGTATCTCATTGTGTTTCTGATTTGCATTTCTTCAATGATTAGTAATGTTGATCTTTTTTTCATATGATTATTGGCCTCATGTATGTCCTCTTTTAAGTGTCTGTTCATGTCCTTTGCCAACCTTTTAATGGGGTTGTTTTTTTTTCTTGTAAATTTGTTTAAGTTCCTTATAGACTCCGGATATTAGACCTTTGTCAGATGAATAAATTGCAAAATTTTTCTCCCATTCTTAATGTTGTCTGTTCACTCTGATGATAGTTTCTTCAGCTGTGCAGAGGCTTTTTAGTTTAATTAGATCACATTTGTCAATTTTTGCTTTTGTTGCAATGCTTTGGGCATTCTTGTCATGAAATCTCTGCCCGTGTCTATGTCCTAAATGGTATTGCCTAGATTTTCTTCTAGGGTTTTTATAGTTTGGGGTTTTACACTTAAGTCTTCAATCCATCTTGAGTTCATTTTTGTGTAAGGTATAAGGAAGGGGTCCAGTTTCAATTTTTGGCATATGGCTAGCCAGTTCTCCCAGCATTATCTATTAAATAGGGAGTACTTTCCCCATTGCTTGTTTTTGTCAGGGTTGTTGAAGATCAGATGGTTGTAGGTCTCCAGCATTATTTCTGAGTTCCCTATTCTGTTCCATTTGTCTGTGTATCTTTTTGTACCAGCACTATGCTATTTTGATTAATGTAGCCATGTAGTTCTATTTATCATATGACTAAATATCATTTTCATGCTATGATTTCAAACTTACTCATAGTATATGGAAGTACATCCAAGTGTATTCTGAGGCCATCACTTCACTGAAAAAATCCTGAGAGTCGAGATACATGACCACACTACGATGTCAGCTGTCACTTCCCCATCATCACTATCATTCTGGAAGCACATTTGCCAGAAACCCTATGCCTTCTCTGGTTTTTGGTGGAGTTGCCCAGTGTGGGGCCTGCCCTGAGATTGAGAAGTAAGAAGAGGAGGATTCAATACTATCCATCAACACCTGCAGCAAGACATATGGACCGAGGTGAGGACTGCAGAAGCACCTGATGAAGTCCTCTAGGCAGCTGAGAGCATCTGCACCCCCACCCATGGGCTTCTCAGAAAGGTCTGAGGACCACATGATTGGCAGTTGTACCTTCTCTATCAGATGCATTCTGGATTCCGGAAGAGAATTCCTCTTCTCTAGTATTTGCGTCTTTGACTACTATACTTGCAAACCTTTAAAAGGCTGTAGTTTAGATTCTCACATCTTATATTTAAAAAAAATCCTACTTGGAATACCTAGAGTGGCTCACTATTGCTACATGAATTCCAACTGATGCTACAACTCAGACCCCTCAGGTGTAACCATTTCTTCTCAATGAAATCAGGAGAGGCATTGCCCTGTCTATGATACTGGGGATTAGGACAAGGAAAGACAGCTACGATGAAGTGGGCCTTCATGGCCCTTTTACAAAAACTCTCCAGTGAACTTCAAAGTGTGACTGCAATTTGAGAAACATTCTCAGCAGGCGAAGGCACCAGAAGGGGCATCTGGGACAGCTGAGCCTCACGCATCTGCTCCCCTGGGTGATTTATGTTATGACTTGTTACACTGTGGGAGGGAGATTATCATACTGTTGACAGTAATATGTTGCAATATCTTCAGGCTGCAGGCTGCTGATGGTGAAAGTAAAATCTGTCCCAGATCCACTTCCACTGAACCTTGATGGGACCCCTGTTTCCAAATTGGATGCATCGTAGATCAGGAGCTTAGGGGCTTTCCCTGGTTTCTGCTGATACCAATTTAAATAGTTGCTAATGTCCTGACTCGCCTGGCAAGTGATGGTGACTCTGTCTCCTACAGATGCAGACAGGGAGGATGGAGACTGGGTCATCTGGATGTCACATCTGGCACCTGCGATTAGAAACATAAACACAAATATTCATACTATTAGTCATATTATAGGAAGGCTTCCATCAAGAGCCAGGCTGTACTGAGCACACTGGCTGAGAAAATTCCTAGTGTTATCCTTCCTTACCTGAGAGCCAGAGCAGCAGGAGCCCCAGGAGCTGAGCAGGGACCCTCATGTCCATGCTGTGTCCTGGTTGGGACTGACTCCTGCACAGGGTGCGACCAGCCTATTAATAAGTCTTCAGGGCAGGGGGCTGTGCTCTGCGAACATGCAAATCAGCAGGGGATAGGGCAGGCTGGGCACAGCTGCAGGGCTGGCTCTTCTCAGTAACTCAGCATAGGAGCAATGTCCCCAGTGTCCCAGGTCGGACCAGGGCATCACAGATTTGTCCGTAAATAAGTGTTTCTTCCTGGAGACTGTTTGGTTACAAAGAACTTTTTTGAGTTAATTGTCAAAATTCGAAATATTCCTGAGGACTAGATGGAGTAATGTATTTTATTCGTGTATGGAGATGGAGATTATTTTTTAAAAAATACAATATGCACTTAATTGGAAGAAAGCACTTTGTGCTGTACTTACAACACTTCTGTTAGCATGAAATTATTCTGTTTTTAGAAAGGAAACTAAATAGAAAATATATCAAGATTGCAATCCCTGTCTACAGGCTATGCCTTTCCCTTTCGCTGTACTGCTGCTGACTTCCAATGGCCATCTATGCCCCTCATTGCTCTTTCTGAACCTGGAGAAGGCAGCTCTGCCTGCATGCATAGCAGACCACAGGGGCTCGAATGGCCCTCTCTTTGGGCAGTGTTATGGTTTCACTGTGTCCTTCAAAACCCATCTGTTTTTAAATTTATCTCAAAGCAACAGAATTGGGAGGTGGGGCCTAATGGGAAGTGTTGAAGTCATGAGAGCTCTGCCCTCATGAGTGGATAAATGCCACTATAAAAAGAGCTTGTGCTGTGGAACCGAACTGGAGTCCACTCACTCAGCTCAGTCAGATCAGATATTCACACTGAGTTTGCAGCAGGAGAAAGTAAAGGTTTGTTTGTTTGTTTGTTTGTTTTTTTGTAGGGCATCAGGTAAAGAGAATCAGGCAGCTAAGATTCAAATCCTGGCCTCACTGATGGCTTGCAGGTAAGGGTTTTTTAAGGCAGGAGTAAATTTCAGGAAAGCAGAAGTTACAGGTCAAATTGAAAATTAATACATGGAGGTCACATATTGGTTTTGGCCTAAAAGGGCAGGATATCTTGAAACAGGGGCTTACAGATCAAGGGTGGATTACAAGACTTCTAATTTACAATTGGCTAAGGAAGAAAAGCTTTGTTTAAACATTTGGGTTCAGCAGAAGAGACGAATTAGCTCAGGTTTATGGATATGACTTTTACCAGACCCCTCTGTAAGATATTTAGAACAAAGTACCATGGTCAGAGCTCAGTCCCCAGTTCTCCCTTTTGTGAGATCTGTGTGCTGGCAGATTCATTTGGAGGGGGTCTTGTTTCCTCAAAAACACCTCAGAGACATATACTAAAATGTCACCTTCAGTTTCTATAGGGGAACCCACCATCTTCTGAGTCTAGCTTATTTGGCCATTTTAGGCTGTTTTTACTTCCTTGCTTATCATGTTACTTACTTACGTCTTAAGGCTAGGTAGGTGCTTGGAATTTCCTTTGAAGAGAGTCAAGATTTTCTATTCTTTCCATGCTTGGGGTGTGGGGGTTGCAGGCTCCTGAGAGTGAGTCCTTGCTCTTTCCCATTTGTGGGAGTAGGGTTTCTCTCTCTCTCTTTTCTGCTCTTCAGTCATGCTAGGACATGGACTTCCTTCCTTCTGGAGGACTCGGGAGTCATAGTGTCATCTTGAAAGTAGATAAACTGATTCCTAATCTGACAGTTCCTTGATCTTAGACTTCCCATCCTCCAGAAGTGTGAGAGAATAATTGTCTGCTCTTTATCAATTACAATTTCAGGCATTCTGTTATACCAAGACACAACAGACTAAGAGAGACACTATCAGTAGATGATAACAGGAGTATGATAACATACCCCAGCTCTCTCCCCTCAGATGGAATAGCCCAGAGGCATTGTCCCCATGTTTCCACATGGGATGAAGCTTCAGTCATCCTAAGAGTTAGGTGGCTTTTAGGGGAGACTTTTGCCACCCATCTTCTATTTCCTGCTACACTTTCCTTCTTCCTTCCCAGTGTAAATAGGCTGCATGCACATAGTTCCTTCTTGCTGGTCAGCCCAGTTCAATGTGGAACAAATCCTTCAGGAACCCTTCAGCCAGGGTAAAAGTCTGAGAGACCAAAGCCGTAGCGCAGGGCCTGGGATCCTAGGTCGACTTTCCTCAGTTCTGTCCTCACTGGTCCTGAGTGGCCAGGACCCTACTAGTGCCAAAGAGGGAGGGTCATCAAATGTCTCCAGAGTCTTTACTCAGCCAGACTCTGTTATAGTTAGAAGAAAAAGAAGCACATGCTAAATAAATAAACATAAGTTATTTGTATATGCATATATGTAATTGTAACACACTTTACAAATTAAATATATTTCTATGCTATTTCAGATGTAATTTGTATTAATATATGTGTATATCTTATACATATATAACACATATAATATGCACTTTTCATGTAAATAAATATAATATGAATTGTTGTTATAAGGCATGGTTTTAAACTTTGGTAAATTGAGCATGAACAAGAAAATCCAGCAATAGTGCCCCACCCCATGGCCACTTTCCCACTACAGAGCCCAAGGGTCAGAGGCTCAGGACTCACTTCATTTCCTTTCTGGGTCAAGCCCTGACTCATAGATTGCTAAGGATGCTGAGGATTGCTGAGGATTGCTAAGATTGCTAAGGGTCTGGGGAACACAAAGCAGCAGGTGCCGAGGAGGCAGGGAGTGGGCCTCGGCTCCTGGTAGAAGGATGTTTTGTGCCCAGAGCTCAGCATGGGCATTTTGTCCCCTGGGGGTCCCTGTAGGACAGAGCAGCACATGTGGCTCATAGAATTAGGCTACATGTGGCTTATAAGAAAGGCTTACAGGTGTGGTCACAAGACAAAAGCCCTCCATGGCTCGTTGGCAGCCTCCCCTCTAACTGGAGCCATATGGGATCTCTCTGCCCAGCTTCTATGGCACACACAGCTGCTGGAACTCTGTTCACAATGAAACATTTCTCCCCCTTGCAAAACCTTCTGAATATTTGTTATTTTTATTGTGTGTTATTCAAGGACGACAACTTGTTGACCATAATATTTCCAAAAGGATTCATGGAGTGAAGTCAAAACTAGGTTGTCAACACTGTGACAGGATGTGAGAGAAACAAGGATCACATCCCTGAAGACAAGGGCAGCTCATGTGTGAGGTGAGGATAAATTGGCCTCATAAATTCAGAGCAGGATGTGGGAGAAAACACATTGACATTCTCTACTCTGTGATGCTCATCAGATGCTCAGGAGGTGCCCATACGGAAGGTGGGAAGCTAGTGGGAGGAGAAGGGGGTTTAAGATTTCAGAGCTGCCTCCCATTCTGCTCCACTGAGAAGGCCCCAGATCTTCAGCAGCACTCCAGGCAGAGCAGGAACTGGGGCGAGGTTTGTGCACCAGTAATGACGGGAGGTGGGGGCATGTGCCCCTGAAGGCAGCTTGGATGCTGATAGTCAGAATGACATCTGTCCAAGCCCATGGCCCTTAACCAGGGCAGGCATGGTGTCCAGGGGATAGCAGGAGCTCAGAGCCAGGCCTGGGTTCCGTTGGAACTGAGCTAGGATGCTGTTCATACTCTGGTCAGCCCTGCTGGTGAAAGTGACCCTCTCACTTGGGACGCCGGGATAGGGGCTGGATACAGGGTCCACACGATGTTGCCACTGGCATCTAAGTGGGAAACAAACATGAACATTCCCAAATATTAATACCAAAGAAGTAGTTCATTCAGTTTGATTAAGTTTCAATCAGAAAGCAAAACAGGCTGAAAACAAGTAAATCTTTCTGCTTAATGCAAACGAACTGAGGATGAAGCCGCAGTCCTCCCTCCTCATCAGAGTCAGAACAGCAGCAGGAAGAGGAGCAAAGGCGGGCCCCATGTCCACGAGGGCTTCCTGATACTGATCCTACTCAGAGAGGGTAGGTAGGGTGGAGTGTTTGCAGGGATTGTGACACCAAAATGGATGTGACTGGATGGCTTAAACCACAGAAATGTTATTTCTAACAGTTTAGGAGCCTGGAAAGGCAAAGCTCAAAGTCCAGAAAGGTTTTCTTGCTGGTGAGGACTCTCTTTTTAATTTGCAGATGTTACCTTTTGGCCATGTCCCCACATGACCATCCCTCAGGGCACGCAGGGAGGGTGGGGGAGGGAGAAAGCTCTATAGTGTCTCTCTTTATAAGGACAGTAATCCCGTGGTGTCAGGATCCTGCCCTGATCACCTCTTTAACCCTAGTTACCTCCTAGCAGGCTCTCTCTCCATCTGCAGCCATATTGGAGGTAAGAGATTCCAAATAGGAATTTGTGAAACATAGTTCCTTCCGTAAGAAGAGGGCTTTGGGGACACAGCCAAGGCAGTAGGGAGGGGCAAGATGAGGCTTCCGGTCTCAGAGCACAGGGGATTTTCCCATCACTAAGCACACTGGCAGCTCCTCCCAGGCGAACCATGTCAGACAGGAGACCCCAGTCCCGCCTTAGGGCCTCCCTGTCCATAAGGGGACATGATCACTTTTACTTCCTCATTACTTCTAAGATCAGACGTCTATCTTTTGTTTATTACGGTGTTTGTCTGCCATCTATTGGCCAGTTTCTAACATAGCATCTTACAGGATGTTAGATACTAGGGTCCAGTGAGCGTTGACTATGGATGAAATCTTTTCATGGGTATTCATGGAGTTGATCTTATGACATCCATCACTAGGACAGATTTTGTAGAAAACACGAAATGGCCCCTCCCCTCAATAAACCAGTCATCTAGTTGAGGACAAACGGTATGCAGGAAAAATATTTGTCACAAAACAATTAGGGTGGCTAGATTCTGGGATCCATGTGACATGCCAAAGATGTGGTTTTGGAAAAAAGAGAGGGCTGTAAAGGACCCTGTAGGGCATAATGGCAGGGACTGGGGTGAGAAGCTGACGGCCCCTGGTTTGGATCTGTCAACCCAGCCTCATTCCTCCCATCCCAGAAACACTTCCAGAGCAGCTCTGAGAACCACAGTAGCTTTCCGAGCTGAGGAAGCATCCGGGGACACCTGATCTTCTAAAAGAACAACTGCTGAGGTTTGTGTTCTCAGCTATAGCACTGCGAGTAATCAGATGTTATCATTTACATCTGTGCTAAGCAAAGTCATTTTCTAAGATGATGAAAATGTCTGTATGTATGAAGTGCAATAGGCTAGTCATCAGTCATATGTGGCTGCTGAGTACATGAAATGTACCTGATGTAACTGTGAAGCTACTTTTCTAATTTTAAGTATTTCTAATTGACACATCTGTGGCTATCACTGCTAGTGTTTCCCACGTGGAACAGCACAGTTGTAGACAGTAATAACCAGTAATGTCACTGGGACACCCAAGCTTCTAACTGTTAAGCAAAGGTGTGTCCCAGGACCACTGTACCAAGCTGGGGTGGACCATGGCCAAGGTAGACAGAGCACATGGGTGGATCTCAGGAACCTTCCCTGGATGCTTCCAGGCTGGTGATGGAAACTGTCCCTCTTGGAGACACTGATTGGGAAGCTGGAGACTGGGGCCCACATAGTTGCCTGTAGAATCTGAGGTGGAAACAAAACACAGATCTTCCCCAGTTAATGATGTCCCTCTCCATAGGCTTCCCAGCAGAGTCCTGCTGGCTGATCAAGTGGGAGGTGAATGCTGGGCTCCCTGAACAATGGCCTCAATCTGAGCCATTGTCCTATGGGACATATGAACTCTGTCATGTGGAGCCCCCTTAGCTGAAACCAGGGAACTAGAACCCAGAGGGCCAGAGCCCCATGTCCAGTGTCTAGTGCTGCCCCTGCCTATGGTGATCCCAACTCAAAGACAGAGACTGACCCAGTGATAAGGGCTTGAGTGGCAGGGAAGGGCTCTGGGGAGCCTGCAAACTGTCAACAAAGGAAAGACCTGGGCTTCCAACTTCTGAACCAGGGAACATTCTATGCCATGGGAGTGACCCAGACCAAGGTGTATGATGTAAGATATTACAGTAAGTTTTATCTTTACGGGAATAAAAATCAGAGAAGGCATCTGATTAGTTTAGCACTTGCTGACTTTTTCAGTACACACTGGTCCCTGCCCTTCCCATAATGATCCCGTGGTCTTTGCTGTTTTTGTGGTCACCTGGCTGCCTCCTCACCACTCAGATGAATCTTCAGTATGACCCTGGGGCCTTCCCTGATCAGCACAAATATATGGCCTCAGCCTCCAGATACCACAGACCATTCCTGCTTTTTACACAATTTGTCAACTACAGAAATTATTCTACGCACTTTTATTGTGTGGTTATTCTTCCTTCATGGCTCTTTCCCCTACTGAATTGGGACCCAAAATTGTCTTATTTACTCACGTGCACCTAACCTTCACTCGGTGGCCTTTACTTGTTCGTGAAAATGCTGCCATTAAGTGAAAATTTATTAAATGAAAAGCTATGTTTGTTCTACTCTATTGGAAAAAAAAAGAGTGAGCCACTGTGCCCAGCGGCACCTGTGTCTTTAAAGGCATCCATGCAGGTGAGTCTGTCTGAAGGCCTTGCAGTAAAATTGATTCAAAACCTAACTCTGTAAATAAGTCTGAGAAAAATACAGACATTGGAGTCACCATCTTGACAACGAGTTACTTTTCAGAATTTCAAAATTTCCAAATAGAGGCACAGTTGCTAAAACTGAGCAGCCATCATAGCTGCAGCCCATAAAGCTGCTGGTTTTAGAAAAAAAAAATCAATGGTTTTGTGAAAGTTTTTGTTTCATGTTGAATTACTGTGGGACACCCACTGCTGTACTGATGAGGGTAATAAAATTGTGACATCTTCAGGGTCTAGGCTGTTGATGGTTGGGGTAAAGTCTGCCTCAGGCCCACCACCACTGAACCGGGCTGGGATGCTGGTAGCCTTGGTAGATGCCCTATAAATAAGGAGCCTGGGAACCAGAACAGGTTTCTACTGGTCCCAGGCTGAATAGTTGTCAATGATCTGACTGGCCTTTCAGGTGAGGGTGGCTCCTTCCCCTGGGGACAAACACAGGGTGATTGGGGACCATGTCAGCACAACTTCTCCAGTGGTATCTGAGATTGGAATAAAACAGGAAAGTCAATTGTGCAATCTAGATCAAATCCACTGTCTTCCCAGTACAGCTGGGATCATTGATGTACATTGAATATTAATTATTGTTCTTGCTGAGCAGGTCACAGGACCCAATAACATTGACAGAGTTTCATTGGCATGCAGAATCATCCCGTGTTCCCCTCACCTGGGAGCCAGAGTACCAGAAAGGAGAGGAGCTGAGCTGGAACTTCCATGGTTCCCTCTGGGTCCTAACCGAGCAGCTCTTCCCGAGAGCTCTGACCCAGGCATTGATATGGGCTCTGGACAGCAGAGTGGCTGGAAGGATATGCAAAGTAGTTGGAGTGGGTGCTGGGCTTCCAGCTGCAGAGACCCCCTGCCTCCTCCTCTCTGCACTCAGCAGCCCCTGCCCAGGTGGTCAGGCCAGAAAAGTCCATTGGCTCAGCCTGATGGTAGAACTTCTTCCCTGTGGTCACAGACTATAGCCCCTGTTTCTTCCCGTCTCACTAGTCACCTAGACCCAGCCAGATGGTATTTAGTACAAACCTGTTGGGAATAAAATAGAAGCCTGTGGTTCTTTTCCTCTCCTTATTTCTCCAAAGAACCGAGTCATCTCCATTGGTGCATGAATGTACCTGGCTGAAAACTAGTTCATCAGAAGTTCATCTTCCACACACACTTTTCCTTTGCAGCTTAGCCATCTTTCCTATGAGCCCTGAAGCCTCCTCATTCTTTGTAAAAACTATTAAAGGGCAACACGCAATTAGGCCCAGCACTGTGGGTGTGATGATCATCACGGCTGCACAGATGAGCAGGCCCCGGGCTCAGACCCTTCAGTGTGTGTAATTCCATTCCCTGCAAACAGACGACAATGCTGTCCAGCAGGCCAGGAACAATTCCTTGGGTGATGCCCTACTTTCTATGCCACCCCATCCTGCACAACACATCCATTCAATCAGACTCAGGCCTTTCTCACTTTAATAATTTTGGAAACCTCTGCTCATGTTTCTGATCTAAACAATAATTCAATTTGGGGTTTCCTTGTGTTCCTTAAAATTGTGAGCATTTGGTGGTAAGTGACAGTTCACTGGACAGGCTGAGAAGCTCTTTGGGTTACATTCCATCTGAGTTCATTAATAGACATTGCAGAAATTTGTTTTCTCTCTTCTCTAAGTACTCACATAATATATTCAATTTTGCATCTTGCCTCACCAAACCTAAATATTTATTATCTGACTCCTGAGATAATCTGATAATACTGTCTTTTAACTAAAGAGTCAATAAATTTACTATAGTTGTGATTAATATGTGTTATTATATATCATATTCTATACAAAATTTGATAAATTAGAATACAATAATTATTATATGCTCTTGGGAAATACTACCAAATTATAACTCGAGACAAAGTACAAAAACAAAGCTCTGAGAATTATGATTTTTATTTTATTTTCTGAAGGCTGAGGATGAAACAGGAATAAAAGAAAAGAGAACGTTGTCAATAAAACAAGCTGCTTAATCCACTACTTAGTTCAACCATTGTGGAAGACAGTGTGGCAATTCCTCAAGGATCTAGAACTAGAAATACCATTTGACCCAGCCATCCCATTACTGGGCATATACCCAAAGGATTATAAATCATGCTGCTATAAAGACACATGCACACATATGTTTATTGTGGCACTATTCACAATAGCAAAGACTTGGACCCAACCCAAATGTCCATCAATGATAGACTGGATTAAGAAAATGTGGCACATATACACCATGGAATACTATGCAGTCATAAAAAAGGATGAGTTTATGTCCTTTGTAGCGACATGGATGAAGCTGGAAACCACCATTCTGAGCAAACTATCACAAGGACAGAAAACTAAAGACCACATGTTCTCATTCATAGGTGGGAATAGAACAATGAGAACACTTGGACACAGGGTGGGGAACATCACACACTGGGGTCTGTCGTGGGGGCGGGGGAGGGAGGAGGGATAGCATTAGGAGATATACCTAATGTAAATGACGAGTTAACGGGTGCAGCACACAACATGGCGCATGTATACAAATGTAACAAACCTGCCCGTTGTGCACATGTACCCTAGAACTTAAAGTATAATTAAAAAAAAAAAAAAGACAGATGGAAGAAGTGGGTGGGAGCTGAGGCCAGGGGAGGGGCAGATGAGCCAACACTTGATTTTTTTGTCCCAAATTGTGAAGACAGTTAGAGATTAACCCTGAATTAGGGTTTATCCCACCTACTGAGTCAAGATATGACTAAAAAATGATTTTCATATGACACCTTGCAAAACATTTCAAAATATCCCATAAATTTAATTGAGAAAAATACAAACAAAATTATAAAATACAGCTATTTGTATACTTTGGCCTATTTTGTCACCTCACTCAGCCCACAGCAAATATACTTCCTTGGTGAGTGCAAAGAGTAAAATGAGAGGCCAAGGTGGACCACCGGGGGCCAGACAAACCCTCCATGAGGGCTGAGGACCACAGATCCCCGAGGACAATCAGACATCCAGAGGGAGGGCTGAGGACCACAGGCCCCTGAAGACAATCACAGGTCTGGAGGGTCTTAGCCCATGACTTTCCTCTGTAGAGACAGATTCTCCCAGATGGTTGAGGGCTGTCTGTGGCTGTGTCCTTCCTTCCGCATGATAATGGGGGCAGAGCAGGTCTCTAAGCAAACCCTGAGCAAGGCCTTCCCCTGTGTGCTGCTCTGACCTGGCCATAGGTGGAACTGGATTTACTTAAGGAAGTGATTTTTGATCATGAGGAAAGGAGAGAGAATGGGGAGAAAGAGAGAGATAAATTGTGTATGTATGCACAGAAAGATTGGATACTTTAATAAGTTAGTTCCTTGATACCTGTGAGTGTTACCTAAATTGAGCAAAAAGACTTCACAGATGTCAATTAATAATATTAAGATGGGGAGACTATCTGGATTAACCATAATGGCTCTAAATGCAATCACAAATGTCCTTGTAAGAGAGGATGTGAGAAGTTTAACACAGACAGAAGAGAAGGCAGTGTGACCACAGAGAAAGAGACGGGAGTGATGTGACCGCAGCCAAGGAAAGCTGCAGCCACCAGAAGCTGAAAGAGGCAAGAACAGAGAGGCAAATGCCATTCTCTCCCTGTGTGTGTTTCCTGTAGCTCCTCTATCAAATCTCCACATCCTTGCTGGCTTCAAACAGCATCAGTTTATTCTTTTACAGTTCTGGAAGGGAGAAATCTCACACAGGTCTCACTGGGATAAATGAAGCTCTCACTGGGCTAAAAGTAAGCTTCCCTATGGATGCTGGGGGAAAGAACTTTTTCTCTGGCCTTTTCCAGCTTTTAGAAGCTGCTGTCTTTCCAGGCCCCTGGCCTTTCTCTTACATCACTCAGCGTCTTTCTTCCTTGCCAAATCTCCTCCCCAAATCTGATCCTCCTGCCTCAGTTTTGTAAGGACACTGGTGATTACATGTGACCCATCTAGATAATCTTCTCATCTCAAGATCTTTAGCTTAATCACATCTGCCAAGTTTCTTTTGCCATATAAGGCAACATTCATAGGTTCCACAGATTAGGCACAAACATCTTTTTTTTTTTTTTTTTTTTTTTTTTTTTTTGAGAAGAGATGGGGAGTGCTTTACTCACACTACCAATCATTCTTATTGGCCCCAAACTGTCCTTCTCTAAACAAGAATCCAAAATCACATAGCTGGAAGAAGGATAGAATGTGGGCAACCAACATCTTTATAAAGCAAGAGAGCTGGAGAGATCTGAGTCAGGGTCCTCTGGTCTGGGGTTTCCCTGGGCTGGAGGATTCTGCTGCTGCTGCTGCTGCTGCTCCAATGTGGACCTCACATGTGTAGCTATTTGTTAGAGACTATTCTGATTTTGGGACCCAGAAGAAAAGAATTGCTACTTAATTGCAATCTAAGAGAGATTGGTAAAGGAAAATTAAATGTTTCCCTAACTTTCTGAATTTTTCTACCCATAAAAAAAGAAATCCCTAGAATTTAGATAAAGATACCTCTACACATGAGAATTTGCCTATTGTCTTAAGGTGGGTCTTACAATGACAAGAATTCCCATGCTGACAACATATTTACAAAGCACAGAAAACCCTGGGAGAGAAGGGGGAAAGTGAGGCAGGGAAGACATGGCCAGTGAAAAGCTCATCAATAAGCAGCTGCTCATGAGGACCATGAGGACCACTAAAGCTCATGCCAATGTAAAAACACAAGAACCTCTGGGCTATTCTACCTGAGAGATGAGGGAGCTGTGGTATGTATACACCTCCTTTAGTCACCACAGATTGAGGGCTGTCCTAGGGGATGCTCATTCCAGGCTCTGAGGTCTACCATGCATGAAGTCAGAGGTGCCTTCTGTAGTTTCAGGGAGAGCAGCGAGGGGCAGATATCACCATGAGAAGTCAGCAGAAATGCAGAAAAGAATTAGGACAACTACTGCTACATCCACTCAAAAAAGATGTGTATGTGAAATCTGGAGGGTCCATGTGGGCCACATCTCTCTGGAATGCAAGAATGTGCCCTAGAAATTCAGGCTGCATGACAGGCAGCAGGGATTCTGTGCCCACACTGCACCACCATTGCTTGGCTACCCATAGTCAAGCATGCAGTTATACTCCCCGTAGTCCCCAGGCTCCAGGGCATTGATAGTGAAGGCATAGCTGGTTCCAGTTCTGCTGCCACTATACTGGGCTGGGATGCCTAGGACCAAGGTAGTGACATGAGATGTAAGGGGTTCAAGTCTTTGTCCAAGTTTTTTACTGATTCAAGATATTTCTCCATGTACATTGTTGCTGGCTTAGCAGGAGACAAAAACTCTCTTTCCTGAATGTACTGACAAGCAAGCAGTCTCCTGTGTTGGGATGATTTCCCCACTCACTGCAAAGAGTAAAAGAAGAAAGTGGCATTGATGGTGAACAGCAGGAATATGCACCCAGTTTTAGCTGCCCTCACTGAGGAGAGAGGGTTCACTCACTTAGCCTTTCCCCAGGTACTCCCCCTCAACTGCTCTCCAAAAAGCCAGGCCCCAGGGGAGCTGCTTCTGAGCCACCAGGAACATGCTGGTGAGGAGTGCTCAGAGCCTGGGTAGCGCTTGAGGCATCAGACTTTATAGAGACTTAGGTTCAGGGAAAGGCATAAGGCAGGTGCACACTAAAAAGAGGCACCGAGGGAAGGACTCACTAGACCTATGCAGTTGCTGGGTTTTGACCTAAGACTGGGGCCAGTACGCTTGTATGGAAATGAGCAATATTTAGTGGAAAACTTTCCTCTTTTGACAATGACCAGAAGGAAAATGATGCCTCTACCTGGAGGGAAAGGCAAGAAGAAGCACATCTCTTGTGATACTTAAGTTCATGGTCAGCCTAGAATCAGACAAGGCATTAGTTCAACATGCAGAGGAGACTGACTGTCAGGAAGTTGGGGAATCCTTGACATTAGGAAGGATGTTAGTAAAATTGGTATAAACTTCAGTAATTACTGTTTTTTCCTTCAGGCCATGGACTCTGGTGTCTCACTTTTGAGGCTACCCTCATACTTCTTGTGATGAAGCTTGCTTCATGTAGACTGGTTCAGGGCCTGACAGCCATTGCTTTGAGGGTTATGTGGAGCCATCACTGAAGGTGAATCTCAACTTGAATGACAGATGGTGGTGGCCACTGATGAGATGGGGCTTCCTATCTAAGAATCAACTCAGGTTTCTTGGCTCTTTGATAAATGGTTCCCATGCTTGGATCTTAAGGTGGAGGCCACAGGTCTGAGTTCTAAGTCTTTTCTTTCCACACCAACAGCCTTTCCCAGGAATCACCCTGGCCTCCTCCATGCTGGGAATCTAGACCCAACCCTCCTGCTACCTTCCCCAGCATCCAACAGTAACTGTCTGGAAGCTTTTATTTGTAAACCCTCCAAATGCAACCTCTGCCGGCAACATGGCTGGAGCAGTCAGCATCCTCCCATCAAAAAACACTGAGAAGGAGGGGAAACCTGCAAACACCACGGTGGTGTGGAGGAGATGCATGTAATCCTTAGATTTTATGTGTTTTCAAACTTTTTTGTCTGTTTCTTAACCATGGTTCTATTTTCACAATCTTGCAGAGGGAAGAATTGAAGATAAGAAGGGTTCTTTTATATTTAGAATATGAAAATAGAAATGACGACAGCAGGAGAATGGAATTTATAAACTCTTCGAAGCGGTTTGGGTTTCTCTAGCCAGGGACACAGCAGGACCAAGATGCCAGGAGAGGATATCACTTATTTTGGTTCCTGCCCTTCATGCTTCAGACTCCCACAAATGCACACATATGATAATGCCTGTCTTCTTCTAAAGAGCAGGTCTAAGGCCCAGCCGTGGTCTTTCACTGAGTATCTTTTCTGTCTAAATGAAAATAATTTTGGAAGTAGTGGAAACAAATGATAGCAATGGCTTAAGCAAAGAGGTCCAAAGGTTGGAGCTTTTCGAGTTGGTGAAGCATCTTGGCAACAGCAGAAAGGCCCCAGGTTCTTTCTCTATTTCTACTTTGCACCCCACCACATTGGCTTTGCAGACGTAGGCTCACTGCCTCATGGTCTTAAGATGGCTGCAGCGGCTCTAAGAATCAGTTCCTCTCATCATGATTACTGGAAAGAATGCAGGCCAAAATTCTTCACCACCTTCTTCTTTTTTTTTTTTTTTGAGATGGAGTCTCACTCTGTCGCCCAGGCTGGAGTGCAGTGGCACAATCTCGGCTCACTGCAAGCTCCGCCTCCCGAGTTCACGCCATTCTCCTGCCTCAGCCTCCTGAGTAGCTGGGACTACAGGCGCCCGCCACCTCGCCCGGCTAATTTTTTGTATTTTAAGTAGAGACGGGGTTTCACCGTGTTAGCCAGGATGGTCTCGATCTCCTGACCTCGTGATCCACCCGCCTCAGCCTCCCAAAGTGCTGGGATTACAAGCATAAGTCACCGCGCCCGGCCCCACCTTCTTCTTTTTATAAGGGATGAAAATTCTTCCCAGAATCTCTGCTCATCCCTCACTCCCTGACATCTTATTGTGGAACCAAACTCATGTCCCCCTAATTTCTGTTCCTGTCCTGGGCTGAGAGAAACTTTCTGTCCTCCCCATGCACAGCAGGACAGAGTTGGTGCCCAAGAAACCAAAGGAGGAAGATGGCTGCTAGGCAGGAGGCCAAAGCCTCGACACATTTAAATTTCACCTTGTGTCTAAGCCAACCTGGATGAAGCAGAAAGATCCCAACATTCTCTGAATCTGGTGGGGTTGGAACAAGCCAGGCCTTGAGGATGACAATGAAGTCAAATTTCTAATTTTCCACATGACAATGTTAGCTTCAGCAGTTGAGGAAATGTAGCCTGGGAATTTAAGGCCGGGACATACTTCCAAGTACTGGAATAAATGAGGGAGAGATCTGCAATAGGGACATGGGGGAGCAGTGGCTATGGAAGAAGGAGGAAAGCTGTGTGCTAAGGTTGGTGGTGCCACCTGCCCACCTGAGTGCAGCCCTCCCTGTGCTGGTTGCATCCCCATTTCAGTCTCATGCAGACCCCTCTGTTTACATGACTCCAGGTGCTATTTCTGCTCCCATCCACCCTGTGGCTTTCTGTCATGAGTACATATCTTCTTACACTTGAACCCTCTGGTATTCATGATATCAACAGCAATGTGATAACACCTAACAGAATGCAGACATTCCCTTTGCATATAGCAGCATGCTCACCTCTACCCAAAAGGTGAAAAAACTCAAATCTGTTCAGTCCAACACCATCTAGGAAAAACTGACCTTCCCTCATGAGTCACAAGTCAATCTGGATATCATTTAATCTGTGGTATGAATTATATAGGTGACCAAAACAGCACTTTGTATTAAAAGAATTTTAATAAAGGGACAGTTGAGAAAAAAATATTTAACATATGTAAATGTGTGCGTGACTCATTCAGATTTCATGAGTTGGTTTTCTCTGTATTCTTTTTATCCCCTGGCCTCCAGCACGATCTTTATGGTCGTTTCTGGTGAGGCTAACCTTCATGTCTCTGGCATTCAGGGTCCCAGATGTGATTAAGGCTCTGCACATGAGATATGCCCCTGCAGAGTGGTTTTCAGAAGTTAATAAGGGAAGGGGAGATGCCTTCCAGAGGGGCTCATTCTCCTGGTCTGGGTCCTGGCCAGGCAGCACTGTCCTGTGGGCACAGCATCCTGCCTCACAAGTTTCCTGTCACAATCAGAGGATTTTTCTGCATAGAAACGCAGGAAGAAACAGGGAAGTGAAATGAATGCCTGAGCCCACTCCTCTGCTCTTTCCATCTGGCTTAGTTCACCTAATCCATGACAATAAACGCGAGTTTGCTTCACCAGCCATAATGGCTTCTCTTGTATCTGACTGCTTCGATGACAGAAGAAGGAAGAAGGAATGAGTGGACTGGCTCCTGTACTTCTCTACTATGAAGCTGACCTAGAGGCTGTAGCTGGTGTTCACATCTCCTAAGTTCACTGTGCGTTTCATCTCCCCTCTGCTGCACTAGTGTCTAAGTACATGTGATGCTTCAGCTGTGTTACTTAAAGCTTCACTCTGGAGTCTGTAGAAGTTTCTCTTCACTTTTACCAGTGGAAATGGTGGTAAATGGAAACATTCCCAGCTGGGCACAATGGCTCATGCCTGTAATCCCAGCACTTTGGGAAGCCAAGCCAGGTGGATCACCTGAGGTCAGGAGTTTGAGGCCAGCCCGGGCAACATGGTAAAACCCTGTCTCTACTAAAAATACAAAAAAAAAAAATTAGCCAGACGTGGTGGCAGGTGCCTGTAACCCTAATCCCAGCTACTCAGGAGGCTGAGGCAGGAGAATTGCTTGAACCCGGGAGGTGGAGGTTTCAGTGAGCTGAGATCGTGCCATTGCACTCCAGTCTGGACAACAAATGTGAAACTCTGTCTAAAAAAAAAAAAAAAAAAAATCCTGAATTTCCTCTGGGTTCCACATATTCTCTACTTCCTCTCTAAAATATGTAGAAGGAAACCTATACCTATGACTCCAGCCCACACCATGAGACCCTTTATTGACAGTTTATCTTACATCATAATGAGAACTAAATGGCCGCATGTTCATTGTTTCTTCCAATTTATTAATGATTTATCATGCTAACCCATTGGATCAAGAACTGTCAACCAGAAAACCCCGGACCTGAGTGAACAGAAAGAGAACTTTTCAATCTGCTCTGTAGGCATAATAAATAGTGATGGGCTCACCCCCCATGTCTCAGATACCACTATTCTCTTGATGGGAGTAACAATACCATACACCTTGGTGTTTTGGGGCCTCCGCCACATCTGGCAAGACAGTGATTTGACATTACAAGGGTTTGTGTGCTCACTTCACCTGCCTAGTAATGGGGTTTCTCCTGTCTGTAGGGATAGCTGCCTCTGTACACATGACAGCATCATGAACCTACTTTGCCTTACTTTTTTTTGCTATAATAAAGTTACTTTTTCCAATGATAAATTATGTAAGGGTTTCTTGACTTGAAAGCACTTGAAAAACTTTCAAGTAATTATTCTAGCAGAAACATGGCTGATAAGAAAGGCAAATGTACATATAGGAAAATAACCACCCCCGCCCCAATGTGTTGGGTTAGGTCCAATGTACTCACCTGATACCAGCTGTTAGTCTGATCTCAGATGTGTAGTACAATGTTAGGGTTTCAGGAAGGGTCATGGTTTTTGGCAAGTCAGATACTCAGACGTGCCATTAGCCTTGTGAGCCTCATCAAATGAAATTCAGATGCATAAATCTCCATGGCTTAGGTTCATGAGACTCCCTGGGAAAGGTGACTGACTGAAGTCCATGTGTTGGATCACCTTAATTATTAAGAGTTCCCTGCTAGGCAATGGCATTTAGATGAGTATTCACTTGGGTAGCATTTATTTTTGATCTTGGCCCATTTTGAAAGATCCAGTCACAGCTCTTCTAAACCAATTTTGTCCTTAAGTTTTGTTTCTTCTGAGACCTAATGACCTGTGCAAATTAATAATCAATGTCATTGCATTACCAGCCTCTCTTTGCAAAGTAGCCAATGATATACCCTTGTAGTTAACCCACTATTGTGATTTCTAGTCTTCCAGGGCATCCTTGACGATGGCAGGGGTGTGGCTTTGGTCCAGCACCCAATTTAGAACTCTGCCCAGCAGGCATCACTGTGAAATTTTAACATTTTGCCTAATTTTAACATTAGGCAAAATTACCTTTCTTCATATCCTTTACCCCTCCACTAAAAGATATTTTCAGGTGCACATACCCATTTGGTGAGTGTTAGAAATAAAGATTACAAAGGAAATCCCTGTAGCCAGAGCAGGTAACATATATAGTCCTGGACATCAGTTTTTTTCATGGGAGTAACTGGAATTATCTTAACAGATTTAATTTATACAATAATTTCATACGTATGCATGTGTTGCTTATATATATATATATAAACATATTTAAATAATCTTATCTACACATGAATATGTGTACTTAGTATTTATAGCTAACAAGTTATCAAATAAATATATATGGATTAATATGTATGTTATATACACTCAAATATGTGCATTTTTCATAAATGACACAAATTTTACTGTTTTTATAGATATATGATGCAATATATTTGATACAGTGACAACATTTTTAAGTTTTATCTTAGTATCTTTAAAAACAGATCAATAAATATTTATATTTTTGCATCAGAGAACCCCATCTCTAGTATCTGCTTCATGAATAACATATGCCAGGCTTTCAAAGGCTATAGTTTAGATTCTAATTCACTCAGTTAAAACAATTCCTGCTTGGAATGTGTGGCTTCCATTTTACTGTAAGAATTTCAATTACCCCATAACACAGACTCCTCAGGTAGACTAATCTCCTTTCTTTACTAAATTCGAAGAGACATTGCCATGAGAGGAAAGAGACTTAGGGTGGAGAGACACCTTCATGGCCCCCTCTTCCGTAATCTCCCAATAACCCTCAAAACTCAGGCTGAGTCTGAGAAGTGTTGTCACCAGATGGCTGCACAAAGAAGAGCAGGTGGGGCAGCCCAGCGTCACATGTCTGCTTTCCTGGGGGGGGTTTGTTATGGTTTGTAACACTGTGATAGGGTAATTTTTATACTGTTGACAGTAATAAGTTGCAACATCTTTAGGCTGCAGGATTCTGATGGTGAGAGTAAAATCTGTCCCAGATCCACTGCCACCGAACCGCGAAGGAGCCCCAGATTGCAAACTGGATGCAGCATAGATCAGGCCCTTAGGGGCCTTCCCTGGTTTCTGCTGATACCAGTCTAAATTACTACCAATGCTCTGACTCGCCCGGCAAGTGATGGTGACACTGTCTCCTTACAGATGCAGACAGTGTGGATGGAGACTGGGTGACTGGATGTCACTTCTGGTCCCTGAAATTGCAAACAGAAAAACAAATATCCACACAATTAATCATGTTATAAGAAGACTTCCCTGAATGGCCAGGCAGTACCTAGCACACTGGCTGAGTAAGAGGCTAGTAATTTCTTTTCTTAACTGGAAACCAGGATGGCAGAAGTCCCGGGAGCTGAATGAGGGTCTTCATGTCCATGCTGTGTCCAGACAAAAACTGACTCCTGCACGGGGTGTGACCAGCCAATTAATAAGTCTTCAGGAAGGGAGCTGTGCTCTGGGACATGCAAATCAGCAGAGGATGGGGAAGGCTGGGCACAGCTGCAAGGCTGGCTCATCTCAGTAACTCAGCACAGGGGCAGTGTCCCCAGGGTCCCAGATCAGAGCAGGGTAGCATCAACTTACCTGCAGATAATACATTTCTCTTTGGTGGCCATACTATTACAAAACGTATTTTTGGGACAATTTCCAAAATTTTAAACGAACCTAAGGACTACATTGAGTAATGCATTTTATAGTTGTATTGGCAGTATGTAGGAGACTATCCTTGTTTGCAGGGAATGCATAATAAAATCTTAGAAAGTAGAGCTCTTGGGTCTTCAAGTTACTGGCAAATGTATTTGGTGAGTGTAAAAATATTTTGTGTTGTGTTAACAATATTTCTGTCAGTGAGGAATTGTCTTTTTTAAAATGAAAATAAGACTTTATCAGAAGCATTTTTAACAATATTCAAAAATAGTTTGTCATAACTTTAAGCCATTGTTGTTACTGGTATAAGGACAAGGAATTGACTGCAGTTTCACAAAGATAATACCATGATTTCTCATGCATGTACCACGCACAGACCCTCCATTTTCCAGAGCTATCGGTCACTTTAATACCCAAGGATTAAATGGATAGCACCTTATTCTTGCCTTGGGGAGAATATTCTACCACCTTTTCTGTCACTGTGTAATATTTCTTACAGATCATCGCATAAAGGGCTGGCTAGTGATGCCAGATCTGATTAGTTCAACAAGATTCTCTGTTTCTTCATTGAACTATAGGAGCCTTGATTAGGATAAACTTGAAACCCTGTATCAATCCAGACTCTTATAATCAAATGTGTCCAAAGTAGGAAGACAAAGATCATATCCCCTGGGTAATGCTCCAAGCTGTGCTCCCTACCAGCATGTTCCTAGTGTCTCAGGTGCAGCTCCCCCGAAGCCTGGCTTTCTGAAGGGCAGGTGAAGGGGAGGACCTGGGGAAAGACAAAGTCAGTGAACTCTCTCTTCTGGTGGGGGTGGCTGCTGCTCGGTACATGTCCTTGCCTTGAACCATCAATGTCATTTGCTTCTTTTACTCTTTTGCAGTGAGTGGGGACATCACCCTGACCCAGATGTCAGCCTCACTGTCTCACAGCCAGGACACAGGGTCTCCATCCCTGGCCAAGTCATTGCTGATGTATACAGAGATATATCTGAAAATGGATAAAACTTGGAAACAAATTTGAACCTCTGTACCTCATACCTCTGCCTATGCTGAGGGCATCCCAACCTGATTCAGCAGCAGGGGAATTGGAACCAACTACATCAGCATCAGTGGGCTGGAGCCCGGGTACTCCAGGCAGTATTACTCATTCATGATCACGCATGGTCCCACCACAGTGGTGCAGTCTGTGCACAAACCTTCTGCTGCTTTTCCGGGGGCTTGGATTTCAAGAGAACTGGCCAGTAAACAGCCTACTAATATCCAGGTTCAAGACATAGGGCTCTAGATTGAAATACACATCTTTTTTTTCTGAATGTAGCCGTCTCTCTTGCTACCCTTGGCCTTTCCCCTTCACTGTACTTCTGCTGACTCCATGGTCATGCTGCTGTCTCTGAGCTGGGCAGACTCCATGGTCATGCTGCTGCTCTCTCTGAGATGGGCAGACTCCATGGTCATGCTGCTGCTCTTTCTGAGCTGGGGAAGGCAGCTCTGCCTGCATGCATGCCAGACCACAGTGTCTGGAATAGCATCCCCTAGGACAGCCCTCAATCGGTAAGGACAGGGGAGGTGTATACATACATGTGGCCATGTGGAAGGAACATATATAAGTTCTGACAGACCTGGGTTCCAATCTCAGTCCCTACTTCTGCTGACCATGTGACTTTGGGAAATCACCCCTGCACTCTGATGGGCAGTTTTCTTACCTGTAAAATGAAGTACTGTGGATATCAAGCAGTGTCTTGAGGGCTTCACCAGATCATGACCCATGAAGAGAGAAAGAGAGAGAGAGAGAGTACCCGGTGTCCATTTCATGCATCCTTGACTGTCTTAGAATGAAGACGTTATGTAAGATATTACTAGTCAGATGTCACTTTCAACTAAAAATTATCAATATTTATTCTAACTAATAGATCTCTCTCTCTCTATACAGTGAAGTTTCACGTAAATGTTTTCCCACCATATCCTTTCCCATCAATCTATTTATGTGTAGCAGTAGAAAGTTGAACAAGAAGACTGAAAACCACCAGAGCACGTTTCATCTGCACTTTCCCTGCACTTCATTCTTATTAGTGTCCTTGGGCTGCTGTAACACAGTTCCAAAAATCTGATGGCTTAAAACAGTTTACTCTCTCATACTTTTGTAGGCCAGAAATCTAGAATCAGTATCTCTGGGCCAAGATCATGGCCTTGGCGGCCAGGCTCCTTCAGAGGCTCCAGGAGGGAGTCTATTCTTGTCTCCCCCAGCTCCTAATGGCTGCATCTTTCCTTGACTGTGGCCATACCCCTCCAGTCTTTGTCTCTGTGGCCACATTGCCTTCTCTTCTGTCTGTGTTAAATCTCAATCTATCTCACTCTTAGGAGGATACTTGTGATTGCATTTAGGGTCCACTTGGTCAATCCAGGATAATCTCCCTGTTTCTAGATTCTTAATTTATACCTGCAAAGGTCTTTTTCCCATACCAGTTACATTAATTGGCTCCATGGAAAAGAACCTGATAATGTGGGGGTGATACTCAGTGCTAAACCATTACAGGACCCAGTTTCAGTGTCGGTACTGTACACACGTTACATTCTCTCTCTATGTCTTTCGCTCACTCTCTCCCCCTTCTTCCCTCCCTTTCTTATGATCACAAATCATTCCACTTCCCTAAGTGTATCCACTGCCACCTAGGTTCAGAGTTCAGAGAGGAACACACAGGAAGGTCTTGCTCGGGTTTGCATAGAGATCTGCCCAGTCCCCGCTATCATGTACAAGAAAGGACATAGCCACAGACAGCCCTCAGCCATCTGGGAAGAAGCTGTCTCTACAGAGGACAGTCATGAGCTATGACTCTCTCGACCTCTTATTGTCTTCAGAGGCTTTTGGCCCTCATGGAGGGTGTGGGTGGCCCCTGACTACAGGATTTGGTCTTCATGGAGGGTGTAGGTGGCCCCTGGCTACAGGATTCACCAGGACTTTCATCAGAATATCTGATTCACAGAAGGCAGTCAGTGATAGGGCCACACAGAGGGACTCTGCAGGGCCGGCTGCACAGAGCACTCTGGAACAGCCTGCCTCCTCATATTTCTTCCTGAACACACATATTTGGATCTCCTAATACCATTTTGCTAGTCCATTACTTGCTCTGAAGGTAATAGGTAGGATTAACTAAGACAGAATTTTTAATAGTTACAAATCAGAAGAAAAAAAGTAATTTTTTAAATTGCTAAGCTGATAAAGAAGAAGATAACATGACGGCAAAAAACAAAAACTCTAGACTGAGGGCTTTGGGTAAGAGCTTGAGACTCTCAGTAGTGGAGCACCTGGGCCATCGCCTTTCAGAAGAGAGGGACAATCAGGAAAGAAAGCGTGCAGTAGAGGCAAAAATCTTGCTTACTCAGACAAAGCCTCAGAAGAAAGGAGACACCTTCTTCCTGAGCACCAGCAATCAGAGAAATTCTCAATAAAAATAAATCATAATGAAAAATAAATAAATAATAATGAAAAAATCGAGAATAGTTATAAGCGCTGCATGCACTGCTCATTGCACCAAGTGCCTTGTAATGAACGAAGTGCAGACAATAATCATAGACCCCAAATGTGTCCCAAACCTGACCACTCCCCCGACTTCTACCCCACCACTCCACCCCAATGCAAACCTCCATTATCTTCCACCTGCAAGATAATCCCTCAAATATTACCCAACTTCTTCTTTGCTCCTTGTTCCTTGATAAGTGGTCCCCACTCTCAGGGTCCTAAGGCTGTGGCCACAGGTCTGAGTTCTAAGGTCTTTCTTCTCACACCCACAGCCTTTCTCACTCTGGCCTCCTCCATTTTGAGAATCCAGACCCAATGTCCTGCCACCCTCCCTGGAATCAGGCACTAATTGCCAGTAGCTTTTCTTTGTAAACCCTCCAAATGCAACCTCTAACAGGAACCTGGCTGGAGCAGTCAGCATCTTCCTGTTACGGGCAGTTAGACAGGCATGAGATGGGCAGGAGAGGTCTCTTTCCCCACCCACTAGGAATGTGGGGTGATGGTTCAGCAATGATCACATTGCCTCTCTAAAAGTGATAAGTTGGCAGCTGGCACTAGAGGGAGGCCATTTCCTGATGGTCCACACCTTTTGCACTAAGGTGTTAATTGAATGCAAGCACCAGGGAAATGCAACTTCCCAGGCATGTTAAAATAAATAATACAATAAATATAAATACAAAAATAAAAATAAAATGTTTATATTTATAAATAAATTTATATTTTGTATTCACATTTATACTTTATGTATATTTATATATTTGTATATTTATATGTATGTATTCATATTTATATTTATGTATAAATATAATTTATATATACATAAATTTATATTTATACATAAATATAAATACAAAACAGTGAAGTATGACCTTCCAGGGGCACACCACCAGAAAAGGGAAGGAAGCCTCAGATAGGCATGTGTACAACTTTCTGAACACACTGAGCATGCTCACCTCCCAAGGGTAAGAAGGGCACTGCGCATGCGGGCAGCCCACCCTAAGAGAAGAATCATGGGAAAGAGACCTGCCTATAAAGTACTAGAATCAAGGTTAAACACCGGACTTCTTCTTCAAGTCGCCCACTTTGGTCTCTTTCAAGTGTACTTTCCTTTCTCCCCTGTTCTAAAGCTTTTCAATAAACTTTCACTTCTGCTCTGAAATTTACCTTGGTCTCTTTTTCTCCCTTATGCCCCTCAGTCGCATTCTTTCTTCTGAGGAGGCAAGAATTGAGGTTGCCGCAGGCCAAGGATTGAGGTTGCTGCAGACTCATACGGATTTGCCACTAGCAACTAGAATATCTTTAACCAGTAACATTCCCAGCAAAAAGTGCTAAGAAGAAAGAGAAACCTGCAAACACACTTTGTTGTTAATGAAATGCATAAAATCCCCTGTTTCTATGTCTTCTCCAACTATTTTTGTTTCTTAACCACAATTATATATGTATGATCTTGGAGCAGGGAGGAATTAAGAACAGGCATTTATTTCATGCTTAGGATATAAAAAGAGGAATGGAGAGGGAAAGACAGCAGAATTTATAAGTTCTTCAAAGTGATTTGAGTTTTTCTAGCCATGGGCATAGAATGACCAAGATCTCAGGGGAGCACTGCACTTACAATTCCTGCCCTTCACGCCTCAGACTCCCATGAACACACACACACATAAAAATGCCTGTCTTCTCCTAAAGAGCAAATTTAAGGCTCTGTTTCTTCCCTTGAGTACCTTTTCTCATAAATGAAATAAAATAAATGAAAGTAACTTTAGAAGCAATGGAAAGAAACAATAGCAAAAGCTTAAGCAAAGATCAGAAGTCTGAAGGTTGGAGTATTAGGGTTGGTGCAGCAGCTTGGGGGCAGCATGAGGAAACCAGGTTCACCTTCCCCACATTGGATTTTCAGTCTTGGACTCAAGTCCTCATGATCTCCAGAGGACTGCAACAGCTCTAAGCTAAGGACATTAGTGTCATATCCACTAAAAACTCTTCCAGGAAAAAATGTGGGGCAAAATTCTTCACCTTCCTTCTATTTATGAGGAATCAAATTCTCCCCAGAAGCCCTGCCCACCTACTCCCCTACCATCTCATGGTGGAGGTGACCACACATGCTCTTAATCCTCACTCCAGCCCTAAATTGAGAGAGGTTCACTGTCCTCACCAGGCATGGCAGAAAGGAGCTGGTGCCCTCTACACCAAAGGAGAAGGGGGATGGCTGCTCAGAGAGTGTCAAGAGCTTGGCAACATTTAAACCTCACTATGCTTCTAAATTAAGTTGTGTGGGGAGGAGAGATCTCAAGAGCCTCTTGGTCTGGTGGAGTTGGAACAAGCCAGGCCCTGAGGATGACAGTGAAGTCAAATTTTTAATATTCTAGATGGCAATGTTAGCTTCAGCAGTTTTGGAAATGTGGCTTATGCAATTAAGATCAGGACAGACTTTCAGGTACTGGAATAAAAGAGAAGAGATTAGAAATAAAGTCCTCAAACCAGGGCTAAGGTCAGGCCTGCACTGACCGAGAGCTGCTGGGCTCTGGCCCTGGGCTGTGAAAGAAACAGCTGCTTTCTTGAACTATGAGGCTGAGGACCTGGGAGGAACCACAGGCCCTGTCCATGGGGCTGCCTGGCAAAGGATTCAAGAAAGAAAGCTGCTCACACACTCATGGGCGCGGCACCAAGCCCGAGCCTGGGGCCATGGTGAAAGCCTCAGAAACCAGGACCTTAGAGCTGGGCCTGGGCTCCTGGAGTAGGCTGCTCTCAGCTCTGTTCTCATTGTATATAAGCAGTCAGGACCTTCTTGGAAGCAAAGGGAGAGGGTGAGCAAATGTCCCCAGGGCTCTTGCTGAGCCAGATTCTGTTCTGATGACAAAGAAATAGAGCACATGCTCAACAAATAATATATGCATACATATTATGTAAACTTTATTAAATACATATAATATTTTGAATATTAATTATATATTGAGATAGATGTATACGCTATGTTTCTACATTTCACATTAAAATAATATGTACAATTGTATAGAAATTGATATACTTTTGTTGAAATTGTATCACCTGGCCCTGCAGGTGACAGAAAGATAAACAAACTATAACTTCATTATCAAGGAAATGTTCATGTTTAATACAAACTATCTGAAGCCGAAGTCTGAGTTCTTCTTCCTCATCAGAGAGTCAGAAAAGCAGGAGGAAGAGGGGCAAAGCTGGGCACCCATGTCCATGAGGGCCTCCTGAGGCTGATCCTGCTCAGAGAGGGTGGGGACAGTGGATGGGCCTTCTTGCACTGCTACACCAAAATACCCTGGGCTGGGTAGATTAAACCAGAGAAATTTATTCTCATAGTTCACAAGCCTGGAAAGTCCAAGATCAAGTTCCAGCAAGGTTCACTTTCTGGTTAGAACCTTCTTCCTAGTTTACAGGTAGTCACCTTCTCACCATGTCTTCTCATGGCCTTTCCATAGGGAAGCAGTGAGTTAGAGAAATAAAGGAAAAGAGAAGAGTTCTCTGGTTTCTGTCCTTATAAGGACACTAATCCTATTGGATCAGAGCCCCACCCTTATGACTTCATTTAACCGTAATTACCCCTTTATAACCCCAATTATCTCCTACATCCACATAGGGGAATAGGGCCAGGCTTCCAGTCTCAGAGCACAGATGGCTTTTTCCCACCATTCAGCACAGTGGCAGCTCCTCCCAGGTGCCCCAGGTAACATGTGGGACATTATTCTAGCCTTATGGGGTCCCTGTTAACAATGGGACACTATCACTCTTGCTTTTCTAGTATTTCTAAGATAATGGTACTCTCTTTTTTGTGGGGTTTGTTTGCAATCTAGAGGCAGGTTTGACATAGCAACTTACAGGATTTTTAAATTTTGTGATAGTAAAAATAAATAAATAAATAAATTTATCATAAATAATAAATTGACTTAATACATTGAATCTGTAAAAAAAAGATAAGGCCAATTGAAAAGCTTAAAAAGAGTCTGAGGGGTTTAAAAAGGCAAATTCCTTTCAATGAGAGTTAGAGAACGGATGACCGATTTTTTTTAATAGATGACGTTTCAGCAGTAATTATCAAATGGTAAACAACAACTTGAAAAAAGGTCTCACAAATATAATTTCATAGTCAAAAAACATTTCTGAGAATCATATAAATACATATTCAGATTAAAACAGACAGAAAAATGTGACCTTATCGGTAGATCTACTCAATGGAAAATTCCTCAAATATGTGCTTGAGGCAAAAGGAATATTTATCATTGATGGAAGTTCAAGTTTTCTAATAAACTCCAACATCCTTAGTCTCCGTCCTACTGACTTTCAGTGTAAACTCAGTACCTGACCCATTACCCCTGAACCTGTCTGAGAATTCGGAGGCTTGGTTGGAAACCTCATAAATCAGGAGCTGTGGAGACTGGCCTGGCTTCTGCAGGTACCAATACAAATAGGTGTTTCCATTATTATACAGGAGGCTCTAACTAGACCTGCAGGAGACAAAGGCTGGCTTTCCATTATGAACAACTTTCATGATTTCTTTTATGATATTGATTTATAGTTACATTTTTCAAGTTTTGATTCATGTCATGAAAGTAGACTTTCTAAAATAAACCCATTATTTACCAGCCAGAAGGGAACTCTTTTTTTTTTTCAAGATCTTAATCAGAGTACTGTTTATTGTTCCCTGGAGGTGAACCTTGATTATTCATAAGACAAAAATATGAATTCTTTTCCCTGGGCATAGACCATGTGACTCTATCATGTTGGAATAAATGATACTGCTCTGATGAGTAGAGGACACCAGGTTCTTTGTCTCGAGTCAAATTAGAAAAAATGACACTGACACACTTAGAATAGTTTTAAGGAGCAGGGAGTTTAATAGGCAAGAAAGAAGGGGGAAGAAAGAAGGATGAAGCTCCCCTGTACAAAGACAGAGGGAGGGGGGCTCCAAAGCCGAGGGACGAACCACTCTTTCAGGTAATATCAGCCAGCTATATTTGATGTCTGGAGGAGGCGGTGTCTGATTTGCACAGGGCTCAGGGTATTGGTTTGACCAGACATGTCATTCACGGTAGCCCTCGAAAGAACTGGCCCTCCCACCCTAGCCTTTTAATATGCAAATACAGGGCGCCATGATGTTCCACACACGTGGGGATATGTAGGGGCAACCATGCTGCCAGGCGCATGTTGGGGCAAGGGCAAGAGGACAACGGTGGAAATCACCATGTTGGGTGCATGTTGGATGGACCCAGTTTCTAACGGCTTGCATTTGCATATAAAAGGTTGCCTGCCCGGGGCTAAGACCCAGGGCTTTTATGCTAGACAACAGCTGTGAAAAGTCTCCCAAGGATCCCTTTTTTCCTCTCTATCTGCCTAAAATAATTTCTTAATAACTCCTACCTCATAAACACGTGAAGCTGTGGAGCCCACAGACTCACCTCCCACCCAGTTCTCCTTGCCCTGGCACATACATCCAGCTTCTGTGAAGAACTGGATGTGGCTAGAGACTTGGGGTCCCACGGACAAGAGTTGAGATGCAACACGGCAAGCTTTGAATAGGGGGCTGGTCAATTGTAAGCAGATGCCATAGAAAATCAGGAAGGTCCTCCAGGCAGAGCATCAACAGCCCCGAACATGGGCTTCCCAGACATGTCTGAGGACCACATGATTGGCAATTATAGCTTCTGCACCAGATGCTCTCTGGATTCTTGGGGAGATCCAGAGAATCGTTTTCTAATTATTTGCATCTTTGAGTACCATGCTCCCAAGCCTCCCAGAGGCTGTAGTTTAGACTCTCATTGCGTGTATTTAGAAAAAAAAAAATAGACTTGGAATTCCAAGAGTAGGTTTTCCTTTGTGGTATTGATTCCAACTCACACCATAGCCAAGACTCAGGTGTAATCATCTCTTTTCTTAATGAAATCAGGAACAGTATTGCCATGTTTGTGCTGCAGGGGATGAGAAGGAAAAACAGTTAAGGTATAGAGGAGTTGTAATCGCCCAAGGGGTTCACCTTGCCTGCTGCTTAGACAGAGTCGATTTATCAAGACACGGCAATAGCAGTAGTGAAAGAGTAATTCACACAGAGCTGGCTGTGTAATATCTTCCACCGTCATAATTTTCTCAGTTATGATTTTTGCAAAGGCAGTTTCAGAGTCTTCATGGCCCCTTCCATCAAAACTTTTCAGTGACTTTCAAAGCTTGACTGGAATATGAGAAACCCTCTGAGCAGCTGGAGGCAGTAGGAGGAGTATCTGGGGCAGGCCAGCCCCATACATCTGCTTCCTTGGGGGGTTTATGTTATGCCTTGTAACACTGTGGGAGGGGCATTGTAAGTCCGTTGACCGTAATAAGTTGCAACATCTTCAGGCTGCAGGCTGCTGATAGTGAGAGTGAAATCTGTCCCAGATCCACTGCCACTGAACCGAGATGGGACTCCAGATTGCAAATTGGATGCACTATAGATCAGGAGCTTAGGAACTTTCCCTGGTTTCTGCCGATACCAATTTAAATAACTGCTAATGCCCTGACTCACCCGGCAAGTGATGGTGACTCTGTCTCCTACAGATGCAGACAGGGAGGATGGAGACTGGGTCAACTGGATGTCACATCTGGCACCTGAGATTGGAAATATAAAAACAAACATCCATTCAATCCATCATGTTATAAGAAGACCTCCCTGAAGAGCCAGGCTATACTGAGCGCACCAGCTGAGTAAATTCCTAGTGTTCTCCTTCCTTACCTGGGACCCAGAGCAGTAGGAGCCCCAGGAGCTGAGCGGGGACCCTCATGTCCATGCTGTGTCCTGACTGGGACTGACTGCTGCACGGGGTGTGACCAGCCTGTTAAGAAGACTTCAGGGCAGGGGGCTGTGCTCTGGGAACATGCAAATCAGCAGGGGTTGGGGCAGGCTGGGCACAGCTGCGGGGCTGGCTCATCTCTGAGCCAGTCCCTCGTGTCCCCAGTGTCCCAAGTCAGAGGAGGGTAGCACAGATTTGTCTGTAAGAACATGTTTCCTCTTGGGGCCGTTTTGTAACAAAGAACTTTTTTTTTTAATAATTGTTAATATTTGAAATACTCTTGAGTACTCGATGAAGTAATGTTTTCTATTTGTATATGGGGATTAATTAAGGTTTTTTTTTTTTGAGACAGAGTCTCGTTCTGTCACCTAGGCTGGAGTGCAGTGGCACGATCTCACCTCACTGCAACCTCCACCTGCCAGGTACCATCGATTTCTCCTGCCTCAGCCTCCAGGGTAGGTGGGACTACAGGTACGCACCACCATGCCAGGCTAATTTTGTATTTTTAGTAGTAGAAATGGGGTTTCACCATGTTGGCCAAGCTGGTCTCAAACTCCTAACCTCAGGTGACCCCCTCGCCTCAGCCTCCCAAAGTGCTGGGATTACAGGCATGAGCCACCACGTCCAGCCAGGGGAATATTTTTATTTGTAGGAAACTCAGTAAAGTTTTAGAGGGTGGGAACATCAAGTCTTGAATATACTCTGCAAAGGAGAGGGTACTTTGTTCTATACTTATAACATTTCTGTGAGAGTGAAATGGTTCCTTCTTAAAAAAAAGAGACAATTTTACAAGATAATGCTAAATATATTTGAAAGTATTTTGTAATGACCTTAAGCCATTCTTACATGACTGTATGGTCACGCAATTCACTACAGATGCATAAAAATGAAACCACAAGTCCTCAAGGCCGGTATCACTCACAGATTCACCATTATTTAAACCTGTAAGCCACCTCAATACCCAGAGATTATATAAGCTGCATCTTATTTTTGGTTTGGTGATCTCTATATTTTACCCTCTCTTCTGCCATTGAGTATTATTTCCCCGGGGTTCTCAGCATGAAGAGCTGACTAGTGATGCCAGATCTGATTGACTTAAATAACTAGTTTCTTCCTGCATTTATCAGAGTCTGGATTAGGATAAACTTGAAATTATCCAGGGTTCAGTTGTCTCCACAAGTAGGAAGACCAAGATTGCATCCCCTGAGTAATGCTGAACTCCCCACCAGCATGTTCCTGGGTGCTCAGGTACAGCTCCTCTGAATCCTGGATTTCTGGAGAGCAGGTGATGGAGAGACTTTGGAAAAGATCAGGACAGTAAGTCCTCCCTACCAGTGAGGGCAGCTGCTGCTCAGTGCATGTCCCTGCCTTGCACTATGAATGCCACTTTCCTCTTTTACTTTTTAGCAGTGAGTGGGAACATCATTCTGATCCACATACCAGCCTCCTGTCTCACATCCAGAACAGAGTCTCCACCTCTTATCAAGCAAATTTCCATACATATGGAGAAATTAATTGGATCCTAATAAAACTGGTAATGGATTTGCACCCAATCATATCTCACATCTCTAACAGGGCCCAAGACATCTCAGCCTGCTTCAGCAGCAGCATTCAACTACATCAGTGTCTGTGGGCTGTAGCCTGGGTTCTGGAAAGTATTACTCATGCCTGACTAGGAGTGGTCAAATCACTGTGGTGTAAGCTCTGCACACACCCTCCTTCTGTCTATTCAGGGACCTGAATGTTAAGGGAACTTGCTTTTGTAGAGGGAAAAGGGGAAAGAGAAAAGCAAACCTTCTAAAGGTTTGCTGAAAATGAATAAACAAAAGACAAATTAATAGGAAAAAAAGGCAGACAAATGTATTTAACATGCGGGGTGGGGGTGTGGGGATAACACACGAGAGGGATTACCCAAATAACCCAGTGAGGTCCAGGTGCTTCTACATCCTTTATAGGGGAGAGGGAAGTAGAGAGTATAGGCAACTAAGGGAGAGTAAATAACCTAAAATAAAAGAAAAGGGTCCTGAAAAGGATAGGTAGTAGCCTGTCTGGATAAAGTCAACATCCAATCTTTTCTGGATTTAACTTCTAGTGCATGTTAATATTCCCTGGTAGATAAACATTCCCAGGGAGGGTTTTCATGACAATTGGCTTCCTTCTGGAGAAACTGCCCTTAGACAGGTAAGGGAGATTTAGGAAAAGCCCCTTTATATATTTGTTGTTTTCTAAACACCTTCAGTTTGAAGCAATCACAATACCAATGTAGCATATCTTGAGATGTTACTTCCCAGATTCCTTCATTTGCAACTGACCTGCCAGGAAACACCATTCCAGAAGGTTGCAGCTCCAGGTGGAAAGTACAGGTGCTTTTTTCTAAACGGTTGGAGCAGTCCCTGTCTGCACTGAGGACTTTCCCTTTCACCGTACTTCTGCTGATTCCCCATGGCCATCTCTGCCCTCTCTGAGAAAGGCAGCTCCGCCTACACGCATGGCAGACCACAGGGCTTGGAATGAGTCTTTCCTCAGACAGTGCTATGGTTTCACTGTATCCCCTCAATTTCATCCACTGTTAATTTAATCCATAATGCAACAGAATTGAGAGGTGGGGCCTAATGAGAAGTGTTTAAATACTGAAGGTTCTGCCCTTATGAATAGATTAATGCTACTATAAAAAGGGCTTTTATTATGGAACCAAACTGGATTCAGCTTGCTCAGTGCAGTAAAACCAGTTATCCAAACTGAGTTTGCAGTAGGAGAAAAAAGTCATTTATTTGCAGGACGTCAAGCAAAGAGGACCAGACAGCTAATGCTTAAATCTTGATCTCTCTAATGGCTTACAAATAATGGCTTTTAAAAGCCCAGGTAAGTTTCAGGGAATCAAAAGTTACAGGCAAAATTGTAAATCAATACATGGAGGTTACACATTGGCTTTGGCCTAAGAGGGCAGGATATCATGAAGCAGCAGAATATCTTACAGGTCATGAGTAGATTGAAAAATTTTCTGATGTGCAATTGATTAAGGAAGAAAAGCTTTGTTTAAAAATTGGGGTCAGCACAAAGGAATGTTGGCTCTGGCCTGTGGGTGTGACTTTCTCCAGGCCCCTCAGGTGGAAATTCAGAACAAAGAACCATGGTCAAATTTCAGTCCCCTGTTTCCCCTTATGTGAAGTCTATGTGCTGGCAGATCCATTTGTTGGAGATCTGGGTTTCTGAAAAACAACTCAGAGACATATGCTGAGATGTTCTCTTTAGTTTCTGTAGAGGAATAAAACATACTGTGATTTTTAGCTTCTTTGACTATTGTTTTAGTCTATTATCGTCTCCTTGCTTCTCATGTTGCTTGTTTACTTCTCAAGGCTTAGCTGGACACCTAACATTTCCCTTGAAAAGACCCAAGATTTTCCTTTATTTCCATGTCTGGGGAAGCTTCAAAGACCCCTAAGAAGGGGTCAGATCCCTGAACTATCTCAATTATGAGAGCGAGCTCCCAGTCTCTCACTTCTGCTATTGTCAGGCCAGGGCATGGCCTTCCTTCTCTCTGAAGGACTCAGCATTCAAATTCCATCTTGAAAGCACAGAAATTGGATCCCAAGCTGCTAGTTACTCAATCTTTGACTTCCCATCCTCCAGAAATGTGACAGAATGTTCTTTACTGATTACCCAGTCTCAGGTATTCTGTTATAGCAGCACAAAACAGACTTAGACAGACAGCCCTCAATTGGTGATGACAGAAGGACATGTATACATACCCCAGCTCCCTCCCCTCTCAGCTAGAATAGCCCAGGGACATTTTCCCCGTGTTTCCAAATGGGGTTGAGCTTCAGTTATCCTAAGAGTTAGGTGGCTTGTTGAGGTGACTTTAACCTTCAACCTCTGTTCTCTGCCTCACTTTCCTCCTTCCCTCCCATTGTAAATATGCTGCATGCATAGAAATACTTCTTGTAGGTGGACACAACCCAACACAGTGGACAAATCCCAGTTCTTGGGAGGGCTACATCTCTTGTCTCTCCTTTTTTTTTGAGACTGAGTCTTGTTTTGTTGCCCAGGCTGGAGTGCAATGGCACAATCTTGGCTCATTGCAACCTTTGGCTCCCAGGTTCAAGTGGTTCTCCTGCCTCAGCCTCCCAAGTAGCTGGGATCACAGGTGCCTGCTATCACGCCCGGCTAATTTTTGTATTTTTAGTAGTGATGGGGTTTCACCATGTTGGCCAGGCTGGTCTCGAACCCCTGACCTTAGGTGAACTGCCTGTCTCAGCTTCCCAAAGTGCTAGGATCACAGGCGTGACCCACTGCACCTGGCCTCTTGTCTTAATTCTTATTATTTCTCCTTTTTTGATGCATACAAAAATCAGAAAACACTAAATTGCTTTTTGCCCATCTATCTTAAATTTGATTTATGCAGTAATCCCTTTCTTCTGACTCACAAAATAAAAGAAGCTTCTTAAAATAGCAGCACACAGGCCGAGTGAGGTAGCTCACGCCTGTAATCCCAGCACTTTGTGAGGCCGAGGTGGGTGGATCACCTGAGGTCGGGAGTTTGAGACCAGCCAGGCAAACATGGTGAAACCCCGTCTCTACTAAAAAACAAAGATTAGCGGGGAATGGTGGCAGGCACCTGTAATCCTAGCTACTCGGGAGGCTGAGGCACGAGAATTGCTTGGACCCGGGAGGCGGAGGTTTCAGTGAGCCAAGATCGCACCACTGCACTCCAGCCTGGGAAACAGAGAGAGAGACTTTGTCTCAGTAAAAAAAAAAAAATAGCAGCACACCATGAGGTCCACATTAGAGGCAGTGGAATAACTAACCCCTACTCTTAAAACCCACAGGTCAGAGAGTCTCCAAATCACAAATTATTTCCTGCTTCCTTGCTTCATAAAACAGCCTTGTGAATTTTCATTTGACTTTAGGGGTGGGCAGTTGTGGGAATAATGGGAGTTGTTTTGGGGATAAATAAGGACCCCCCACCCTAATTATATTTATGTCCTAATATTTGGAATCTATGAATGTTACCTTATATGTCAAGAGGAACTCGGCAGATGTGATTCAGTTAAGAAATTTGACATGAGGAGAGTATCCTAGATTGCCTGTCTCAAACCAGTGTAATCACAAGGTCCTTATAATAGAAAATACAGGAGGGTCACAATCAGAGAGGAGCCCGGACAATGGAGGGGAATGCTGTTGTGGCAGAATGGGGCCAAGAAGCAAGGAATCTGAGAGATCTTGAAGATGAAAACTTAGTATCCAATTCTCTTCCTTGGAGCCTCCAGAAATAATACAGCCCTGCTCACTCTTTGATTTTAGTTCAGTGAGACTTCTGACTTTCAGAACTGTAAGATAATACATTTGTGTTGTATGAAGCCAGTGAGGTCATACTAATTTGTTCCAACAGCAATAGGATATTAATGCAAGAGGAAGAGATGGCTTTTATCTCCTCAGTGCATGGCTGTTCTTGTTCTCCCAAATATCTTCACCTTGTAATAATTTCCCGTCAATTTTGAAAAGACAGAGAACATATTATTTTGAGAGGAGGTAGCACCAGAATTCCTCTAAGGCAGAAAATGTCTTGGGTCAGATCCCTTGATTGGCTCTGGAACAATCTGGGTATCTGAGAGCCTAGAGATCAGCTGTCATAGCACGTGAGAGGAGGGGAGATTGTTTTTTGGTTTGTTTTTATATTAGGAGGGCAAATTAGACTTGCAGAACACATTCTGAGAGGGACAGACTGAGCCAGGGAAATTCGAAGAGAAAGAGGAGATGTAGAAGGGGCCAGAGAAAAGAAAGATGTGTCCTTCCTCACAAGTCCAAAATAAAGTCATTTGCAACTCACAAAGACATTGACAGAGTTGTGTTTTCTAGGGAAAACTGCAGATGGGGCTAGTTTACGATTAAGGTCAGCATGGTGTAAGACAGAGAGAGCAGGAAGCTGTGGAGTCCACACTGTCCCTACGGTGTCTTCTCCCTTATTATAGACTGTGGGCTCAACTATGGGATGAAAGTGGCTGCATGAAAGAAATATAATAAAGCCACACAGACTTGGGTTCAAATTCCAGCCCACATGTGCTGATCATGTGATTTTGCATAAACCATCCATGAGCTCTGATCATTGGTTTCTTCATCTGTGAAATGGAACACTGTGTATATCAAGGGGTCTCCTGAGGACTTAATCAGATGATGGGCCTTGAAGTATGTGTGTGTGTGTGTGTAAATATATATATATATATATATATATATATATGATCAATTGTCATCCTGTTTATCTTTCTAATATATATATATCCAGTCCTCTTTTTATGTACCCTTGACCATGCTGGAATAAAAAGGCTATGTAAGATATTACTAGCCAGACATCACTTTCAATTCAAATTCTTCAATATTTATTCTACAACAAGCAAGTGCATCACTAAGGGCAGTGGGGTTTCATGTGCATAGCTTCCACTGTAAACAATTCTACCTACTCTTTATGTGTGGTATTAGAAAGACAAACAAGATGACAATTGATCATAACACTTTTAGTCTGAGTTGTCTCTGAGCTGCATTTGTGTTAGTGTCTCATTCTTTGGCTCCTAAGGTTGTGACCACAGTTCTGAGTTCTAATTCTTTTCTTCCCACATGCACAGCCTTTCTCAGAATTCACTCTGGCCTCCCCATGCTGGGAATCCAGACTCACCCTCCTGCTACACTCCCCAGAATCCAGCACTAACTGCCTGGAAGCTTTTCTTTGTAAGCCCTCCAAACGCAACCTCTGATAGATACCTGGTTGGAGGAGTTAGCATCTTCCCATCAAAAACCACTGAGAAGAAGGAGAAAACTGCTAGCATGATGTTGCTGTTGAGGAGATGTGTACAGTCCACAGATTTTATGTCTTCTTCAAGTGTTCTTGTCTCTTTCTTGACCACTATTTTAATTTCATGATCATAAAGGAGGGAGGAATTAGGGACAACAAAAAGATGTTCATCCTTAAGATATAAAACATGAAACTGAGACAGGAAGAGAGCAGAAATTATGAACTCTTTGCAGTGGTTTGGGTTTCCTTAGCTATAAATACAGCAGAGCCAAGATGTCAGGAAAGGACATCACTTATTCTGGTTCTTGCTTTTACTGCCTTTGACACCCACAAACACACACATACACACGCATGATAATGCATTTCTTCTCCTAAGGGGCAGGTCTATGGCCAACGAGGCTCTTTTTCTTCAGTATCATTTAAGGATAAGCGACAATAATTTTAGAAACAAGTGAAAGAATAACAATGGCTTAAGCAATGAGAAGAGATCTGAAGTTTGGCACATTCAGGGTTAATACAGCAGCTTGGTGACAGGAGAAAGGCCCCAGATTCTTTCTACATTACTGCTTGGTAAACTTGACCACATTGGTTTTTCTGTCTTGGGCTCAACATCTCATGGTCTCAAGAAGGCTGCAGAGACTGTAAGCTTCATGTCCTCTGGTAACTGCCCAAAGAGGAAATGAAGGGCAAAGCTCTTCATCACCCCTCTTTTTATGAGAGATCACCATTTTCTCCAGAAGTCCTGCCCCTCCTTCACACCCATGACATCTCATTGTGGAGCTGATCACATGTCCACCTAAACCTTGCTCCTTTCCTGGGCTGGGAGCGGCTCAGTGTCGTTGTCATGCACAGCAGGACAGAGACAGTGCCCTATACACTGAAAGAGGAGAGGGTGGCTGCTCTGTAGGTGACAAAATTTTAAATTCCACTGTGCTTTTAAGGAAAGTTGTATGAGGAGGAGAAAAGCTAGGCGCATCTTCATACTGCAACATTCGAAGAAGCCGGGCCCTGAGGATGAAAACGAAGTCAAATTTTAAATTTCTCACATGACCTTGTTAGTTTCAGCAATTGTGGAAATGTAGCCTATGCATTTATGTAAGTCAAGGACATACTTTCAGTTACCAGAATACTTGTAGAGACATTTATAATAAGATCCTTAAATCAGGGCTAAGGTCAGACTTGCACTGTCTGAAAGCTGCTGGGCTCTGGCCCTGGGCTGTGGAGGAAGCAGCTGCTCTACTGAGACAAGGGGCTGAGGACCTGGGAACCAAAGGCGCTGCCCACAGGTCTGCCTCACAGGGGCTTCAGGGAAGGAAATTGCTCACACACTCATGGGCACTGCTTCAAGCCCAGAGCCTGCCACCAGGAGGAAAGTCTCAGAGACAAGGGCCTTGGGGCTGGGCCCAAGCTCCTGGGGTGGGCTGCTCTCAGCTCTGTTCTCACTGGCTCTCAATGACCAGGACTGTGCTGGAGCCAAAGAGGTCAGCAAATGTCCGCAGAGTCCTGACTGAGCCTGATTCTGTTATAGTTAGAAAAAAAAAGGAGCACGTGCTAAATAAACATAAAATTATGTGTATATGTATATATGCGTTTGTAACAAACTTTGTATATTAAATATGTATAATATTATAGATGTAAATTGCAGTGATATCTTTGTATCTACTATGCATCTATATTACGAATAAATATTGTGAAAGGAAAATATCTTGGGCTCCCCAAATCACTAAGCTAAAGGGAAAATTCTAGCTGGGAACTGAATAGGGCAAATCTGCCTCCCATTGTTTTCAAAGTCAGCCCTCTGGTCCCTGAGATAAATGCATATCTAATTACCTGTTCTGGAAAGGCTAATCAGAAACTTAAAGGAAGGCAAGTTTTTCTCTCACCTACCTGGGACTTGAAAGCCCCTCCCTGCTTCCAGTTGCCCTGCTTTTCGCTTGGAGTTGTCCTGCCTTTCCAGACCAAACCAATGTTCATTTTATATATGTTGATTGATGTCTCATGTCTCACTGAAATGTTTAAAACCAAGCTACGCTCTGACCACCTTGGCCACATGCCTGCAGGACCTCTTGAGGCTGTGTCACAGGAACGTGTCCTAAACTTTGGCAAAATAAACTTTCTAAATTACCTTATACCTGTCTCAAATGTTCTGGGTTCACAATGTGATATGTACATTTGTATAAATAGGCATAGTTGTTCCTGCAGTTTGATGTAATTCTAATCAGAAAGCAAAAAGGCTAGTTACCTGATGGTGAAGGAAACATTTGTATTTAGTGCAACCAAACTGAGGATGAAGCCTGAGTCCTCCCTCCTCACCAGAGTCTGACAGCAGCAGAAGAGGAGGAAAGCTGTGTCTCCATGTCCACGAGGGCCTCCTGAGGCTGATCCTGCTCAGAGAGGGTTGGGACGGTGGGTGAATCTGCTGGCACTGCCACGCCAAAATCCCAAAGCCTGGATGGCTTAAGCAATAGAAATTTATATTCACATTTCTGGTGGCTGGAAGTCTAAGATCAAGGTCCAACCAGGTACACATTCTGTTAAGAACTTTCTTCCTGGTTCATAGACAGCCATGGAGAAAAAGGGATGGGGGTTGGGAAGAGAGAGGGAGAGACAGGGAGGAAAGGAAGAGGAGAGCTCTGGTTGCTATTCGGATAAGAGCACTAATTCTATTGCAAGGGATCTCATGCTTAGGACCTCCTTTAACCCCATCTACCTCGATCATCTCTCGCAGCTACACTGGGGGTCAGGGCCCAGCTTCCAGTCTCAGCGCACAGAGCACAGAGCAGATTTTCCCCACCATTTAGCACCCTGGCAGCTCCTCCCAGGTGCTCCAGGTCACACATGAGACCCTGTTCCAGCCAAAGGGCTCCCTGTTGACAGTGAGACACCATCATCCTTACATTCCCAGTATTTCTTAGTTCATGGCATTCTCTTTTTATACTGTGGAATTTGTTTGCCATCTAGGGGCAGGTGTTTGACATAGCAATACACACGATTTTTTATTTTGTAATAGGGAAAACTAATTCATTAATTTTGCATAAATAATAAATTAAACTGAATAAATTACATGTTGAAAAAGCCAAAGGCCAATTGAAGAGCTTAAAAAGAGCCTGAAGAGACGAAAAAGCCAGATTCCTTTCAGAGGAGGTGTGTTAGTCACAGATGAAAGTCTTTCATTTGCAGATGACTTTTTAGCAACAATTACCAACAGTAAATGACAACTTCTATAGGCTGCCACAATATGATTATATATTCAAAAATTATTTCCAAATATTGTGTAAATATATTTTCAAATTAAAACGAACAAAAATGCAAGTTTATCAGGAGATTCACACAGTAAAAAATTGCACAAATGAGTCCTTGAGGCAAAAGAACATTTATCCCTGGTGGAAAGCTGGAATTTTCTTAGGTCTTTAGAAGAAAAGAGAGGCTCTCTAGGGGTAACAGCTTTCTCTCCTCTCCGCTCCACCCCATGCTGCTGAGGAATGGGAATGGGGGCAGAGACTGTGAGGAAGGAGGTAGGCTGTGCTCTGAGCTTTTGAGGCTTCTTTGTAATAAATTTGATTATCCTCTGGTTCTTCTTGAATCCCCTTTCTGTCTTTGATATCATTTTTTTAGCATTTTGATTTGAGAGTATAGCCCTTGGGATATCAAAATCATGTAGGCTGTATGTTTGTTTCCTTGTTAAATACATCTAAACATCTTGAGTGAGTTTAGACCTTATCCCCTTTCTGTCTTTGATATCATTTTTTTAGCATTTTGATTTGAGAGTATAGCCCTTGGGATATCAAAATCATGTAGGCTGTATGTTTGTTTCCTTGTTAAATACATCTAAACATCTTGAGTGAGTTTAGACCTTATCCCTGTCTCACATCAAAGCAGAATCTACAGCGACTAGGTGCTGTCAATCACGTGAGTACTAAAGACGATGATGGCATTTCTCAGCTCCTGCTCTTGCTACTTACGCTTTGTTTCTCTGAAATAGCATTCTGTAAAATCATTTACACTCCACGATGTATTTATTAGGATTTTTAAATAGCATATTTAAAAGTGTCTAATGTTTTTTAATTTGAGGGCTCCAGTCTGCTTGATTTCTACATAAATTTTGCCCTATATCTATGAAACCTAATAGAAATGGCACTTTGGAATTTTAGTTGCAGTGGCCATTGAATCCATTATCACAGAATGGAAAATAATCTCCAATATACTTCAAATCCTAAGGCTGAAGCAGAAGCTTCTTGTTCTGTTCCTTCAATCATTCTTTTGTCTCTATCACACCATGTTCTGTCATGTAACTGACATGACTCATCATTAAGTTTGATGGAAATTTAAAATACCATTTTAAGTGAAATCAACTGAAACCTTACTTTTTTTTGCTTTTATACCTAAAATAGAGGATTTAGATATATTTTCTAGGAACGATGATGTAATATGTAAACAAGGAATTTTGGTATTGTTTGAAATATTTTCTCATGGGGACACACCACTAAATTTGTCACCTCTAAAACAGTACTTAGGTTAAATGCTTTTTAAATTCTTAAAACTGGGGTAAGAAGAAAAAATATTATGTAATTCTGCATTATTCATGTGACATATTTAGTGAGTCTATGTTGTCCATCTGTGAGTTCATTCTGTTTATTTTCAAAGCTCACTTTTGTAACTGGAAGAACTTTCACTGGGATGAAGGTAATTGAGGAGAATTGAAGTATTTTGGCATTGAGATCTTTTATTTGCCATGTGTTTACCAAGTCTATGAATAGTCAAACCTAAACATTTTTAATAATTATTTTTTGCCACACTCCCCTGAGGACAGCTTGTGTAGAATACCTTCTCCAGCATGACACTGGAGAGGGCAGTTTAGTGTACGAGTGCTAAAAAAGATACAAGGTTGGGAGAATGAAATGAAAAAAATGATTTCTCAATAGGACCAAGTATCATCTTGTATAAAATAAACCCCAAGCTGGTCATTTCCAACACGTATTCCACTTGTGTTGTCACTAATCTGCATCCACGGTCTGGTTGTTTTGACAAGTAAATGTCCTTGAAAAATGTAGGCAAGATAGGGAGGGATGAGCTTTCATTCACTCTCCCTTCATCATAGCTGGTTGTTCCCAGGGCTCATGGCCCCCAAGAATTCTCCTCCTGATGATGTCTTCCCCAGGCCATGGCAGCTGATGGGACCTTAACATATGTGACTGAGGCACAGCTGAGGCTCTCATGAGCCAGAGTCTTCAGCAGCAAACCCTTTCCCTGAGTTCCCCAACAGCCTCCTCTTCCGCAGACTCAGAGACCCTGCAGAGCTGCTCCCAGACAGCAGCTCATGTGGGCAGTTGGGACACCCCAGCAAGGAGGTTTGTGTTCAAGGCGTTACCACTGTGCAAGGATATTATGTAGCTTGCATGTATTAATAAAGTCGAATATCCTCAGCCTCCACCCTGCTAATTTTGAGTTTAAAATATGTGCCTGACCCACTGCTATTGAACCTGTCTGGGACTCCAGAGGCCCCATTGGAAACCCCATAGATCAGGAGCTGTGGAGACTCGCCTGGCTTCTATAGTTACCAATACAAATAGGTGTTTCCATTGCTATGCAGGAGGGTCTGACTAGACCTGCAGGAGATGAAGTACAAAGTTATGTACAAATATTATGAGCAAGTATCACGATTTCCCTTATGATATGGATTTATCATTTATCTTTTAAAAGATTTTTTATTCACATCATAAAAAATACGTTTTTAAAAATGAGCTTAGGCCGGTTGTGGTGGCTCACGCCTGTAATCCCAGCACTTCTTGGTCCGCGGCAGGCGGATCACCCGAGGTCGGGAGTTCAGCCTGACCAACATGGAAAAACCCCATCTCTACTAAAAATACATAAAATCACCTGGGGGTTGGGGGCTTATGCCTGTAATCCCAGCTACTTGGGAGGCTGAGGCAGGAGAATCACTTGAATCCGGGAGGCGGAGGTTTTGGTGAGCCGAGATCGCACCATTGCGCTCCATCCTGGGCAACAAGAGCGAAACTGGGCAACAAAATAAATAAATAAATAAATAAATAAATAAATAAATAAATAAGCTTAGTATTTACTAGGTACAAGCGACCCTTTATTAAAAGATATTATTCAAGGCACTGGTCATTGTTCTTTCAGGTGGTTTCTAATGATTACACATAGGCTCAAAGTAAAGGGAGAAAGAAAGATCTATCAAACAAATGGAAAGCAAAAAAGAGCAGGGGTTGCTATTCTTATTTCAGATACAACAGACTTAAAACTAACAATGATCATGGCTGGGCGCGGTGGCTCACACCTGTAATCCCAGGACTTTGGGAGGCCAAAGCGGGTAGATCACGAGGTCAGGAAATCGAGACCATTCTGGCTAACACGATGAAACCTTGTCTCTATTAAAAATACAAAAAAAATAGCCGAGCGTGGTGGCAGGCGCCTGTAGTCCCAGCTACTTGGGAGGCTGAGGCAGGAGAATAGCGTGAACCCAGGGGGCGGAGCTTGCAGTGAGCCGAGATCGCGCCACTGCACTGCAACCTGGGAGACAGAGAGAGACTCTGTCTCAAAAAACAAAACAAAACAAAACAAAACAAAACTAACGATAATCAGAAAGGACAGAGAAGAGCATTACATAATAATGAAGAGTTAAATTTAACAAGAAGACTTCACTATCCTAAATATATTATATAAGCACACAGCAGTGGAGCACCCTGATTTGTGAAGTAAGTTCTTAGAGACTTACAAAAACACCTAGATAACCACACAATCATAGAGTGAGACTTCAACCCACACTGACAGTATTCGACAGATGATTTAGGCAGAATAGTAACAAACATATTCAGAACCTAAACATGACACTTGACAAAATGGAACAAACTGACATCTACAGAGCAACCACTAAAAATTACAGAATATACATTCTTCCCATCTACACGTGGCAAAAACTCTAAAATTGACTACACTCTCAGCCATACTGCAAGTGTCAACAAATACAAAAAATAAAAATGATAAAATGAAATGGAATCATACCAACCACACTCTCAGGCTGAAGTGCAAAAAAAGTAAAAATCAACACCAAAAAGATCTTTCAAAAACCATAAAATTAAGTAGAAATTTAACAATCTGCTGCTTACAGACTTTTGGGTAAACAATGAAATTAAGATAAGAATTAAGAAATTCTTTGAAACTAATGAAAAAAAAGAGACAACATACCACAATCTCTGGGACACAGCAAAAGCAGTGTTCTGAGGAAAGTTTATAGCGCTAAATGTGCACATCAAAAAGTTAGAAAAATCCTGAATTAACAACCTAACGTCATACCTAGAGAAATCTGAAAAACAAATGTGAACCAACCCCAAAGGTAGAAGAATAATCAAAATCAAACCTGACCTGAATGAAATAGAGAGGAGAAAAACCAAACAAAAGGTCAGTGAAATCAAAAGTTAGGTCTTTGAAAGAAGAAATAAGATTGATAGACTGCAAGCTAGACTAATAAAGAAAAAAGCAATATCCAAAGAAAAACAACCAGAAGTGACAAACAGGATATTATCACTCAACCCTCAGCAATAAAACAAACAAACAAACGAAAAACCCTTGGAACCTATAACCAACACCTCTATGCACAAAAACTAGAAAACCTAGAAAAAAGTGCATAAATTGCTGGAAACAATCTACCAAGAATCTCGCAGGAAGAAGCTGAATGCCTAAACAGACCAATAATGAGTTCTGAAATTGAATCAGTAGTAAAAAGCCCACCTATCAGAAAAAGTCCTGGAAAAAATGGATTTACAACCAAATACTACCAGACATATAAAAAAAGCTAGTACCAATCCTAGTGAAATTATTCCAAAAAAATCAAGGTGGGAGATCTCCTCTCTAACTCATTCTATGAAACCAGCATCTCCCTGATAGTAAAAACTGACAGAGGCACAATAAATAAAAACTTCAGATCGCTATCTCTCATGAACATAAACACAAACTTTCTGAAAAAAATACTAGCAAACATTATTGTGTAGCACATCAAAAGCTAATCCACCATAATTAAGCTGGCTTTAGTCACGGGATGCATGGTTGGTTCAAAATGTAAAAATCAATACATGAGATTCACCTCATAAACAGAACTAAATACAAAAACTACAGGATCATCTCATTAGATGCAGAAAAGCCTTTTGATAGAATTCAATGCCCCTTCATGCTAAACACCCTCAAAATCTAGACAATGAAACTACACAACTTAAAATATTAACAGCCATTTATGGCAAAATTACAGCCAGCATCCCACAGAATCGACAAATGCTGGAGGCATTTTCGTTGAGAACCAGAACAAGACAAGGATACCCACTCTCACCACTCCTATTCAACATAGTACTGGAATTTCTAGCCAGAGCAATCAGGCAAGAGAGAAAAATAAAAGGCATCCAAATAGGAAGAGAATAAGTCAAACTATCTCTCTTTGAAGGCGATACTATAATATATTCAGAAAACCCCACACTCTCTGCCCAAAAGCTTCTAGATCTCATAAATAATTTCAGCAATATTTCAGGAAACAAAATCAATTTACGCAAATCAGTAGCATTTCTATATACCAATACCATTCACACCAAGAGCCAGTCCCAGAGCCCAATCCCCTTCACAGTAAGCATAAAAAGGATAAAATACCTAGAAATACAGCTTACCAAGGAGGTGAAAGATCTCTACAACATGAACGACAAAATACTGCTGAAAGAAATCAGAAATGACACAAACAAACGGAAAAACATTCCACCTGCGTGGATAGAATCAATACTTTTGAGCTGGTCATACTGCCTAATGCTATTTATAGATTCAATGCTATTCCTGTGAAACTACCAATAACATTTTTCACAGAATTAGAAAAAAAATTCTAAAATTTACTTGGAACTAAACTAGAGCTAAAAAAAAAAAAAAATCCTAAGCAAAAAGAGCAAAGCTGGAGGTATCACACTACACGACTTCAAGATATACTACAAGGCTACAGTAACTAAATCAGAAGAGTACTGCTACAAAAACAGGAACCCTAGACCAATGGAACAGGCTAGAGGATTCAGAAGTAAAACCGCACACCTACAACCATCTGATCTTCGACAAAGCTGACTAAAACAAGCAATGAAGAAAGGACCCCCTTATTCAATAAATGCTGCTGGGATAACTGGCACCTATATGCACTGAAATGGAAACCTTTCACTATATAGAAAAACCAACTCAAGATGGATTAAAGGCTTAAATATAAAATCTAAACTCTAAAAACTCTAATAAAAATCTAGGAAATGCCATTCTTGACATTTGCTCAGGCAAAGAATTCATGACATAGACTCCAAAAGCAATTGCAATAAAAACAAAAATTGATAAGTGCTATCTAATTAAACTACACAACTTCATTACAGCAAGAGACACTAACAACAGAGTAAACAGACAGCCTACAAAATGGGAGAACATATTCACAAGCTATGTATCTGACAAAGATCTAAGATCCAGAATCTACAAAAAATTTTAAAAAAATCAACAACAAGAAACAACTCCATTATAAAATGGGCAAAGGCCATGAAACAGACACGTATCAGGGAGCAGTGAAATGAGTGCTGGGAGCTGCCTGAGGTCACTCCTCTGCTTTTTCCATCTGGTTTTAAGTCACCTAATCCATCAAAATAAATACAATTTTGCCTCACCAGGCACAATGGCTTCTCTCATAGTCAACTGATTCAATGATAGAACAAGTAGAAGGAATGAATGGATTGTTTCCTGTGCTTCTCAACTCTTTGGTGTTCTCATCTCCTAAGCTCACCGTGTGTTTCATCTCCCCTCTGCTGCACTAACATCCAAGTGCATGTGATGCTTCAGCTGCGTTACGCAAAGCTTCATTCTGAAGTCTGTTGAAGTTAAGAGAAACTTTTACCAGAGGAAACGTCAGTAAATAAAAACAATCCTGAAATTCTTCTAGCTTCCACATTTTCTCTACTTCCTCTCTAAAATAGGTAGAAGGAAACCTAAAAGAAGTTAATCAAAAGAAAACATACAAGCAGCCAACAAACATAAAAAAATGGTCATCATCACTAATCATCATGGAAATGCAAATCAAACCACAATGAGATACTATCTCATGCCAGTCAGGATGGCTATTACTATAAAGGCAAAAAATGACAGATGCTGGTGAGGTTGCAGAGAAAAGGGAATGCTCATACACTGCTGGTGGGAATGTAAATTAGTTCAGCAGTTGTGGAAAGCAGTATAACGACTTCTCAAAGAACTTAAAACAGAAGTACCATTCGACCCAGCAATCACATTATTACATCTATACCCAAAGGAATATAAATCGTTCTACTATACAGACATGTGCACACATACGTTCATGGCAGCACTGTTCACAATAGAAAAGACATGAAATCAACCTAAATGACTATCAAAGGTAGGCTGGATTAAGAACATGTGGTGCATATACACCATGAAATACTACACAGCAATTAAAAATGAAATAATGGTCCTTTAGAGCTACGTGAATGCAGCTGGAGGCCATTATCCTAAGCAAATTCACACAGGATCAAGAAACTTGATCAGACAGCACCGTCCTGTGGGCACAGCCTCCTGCCTCACCATCTTCCTGTCACAATAGGAGGACTTTTCTTTTTCTTTCTTTCTGTTTTTTGAGAAGGAGTCTTGCTCTGTGACCCAGGCTGGAATGTAGTGGTATGATCTTGGCTCACTGCAACCTCTGCCTCCCTGGTTCAAGTGATTCTCCTGGCTCAGCCTCCGGAGTAGCTGGGATTACTGGCGTGTGCTAGCATGCTTTTCTAATTTTTGTATTTTTAGTAGAGACGGGGTTTCACCATATTGGCCAGGCTGGTCTCGAACTCCTGACCTCAGGCAATCTGCCTGCCTTGGCCTCCCAAAGTGATGGGATTACAGGCGTGAGCCACCGCGCCTGGCCTTGGAATTTTCTTGATCATGGAGACAAGGATGAGTGATATCTTGATCAGGGAGGAGTGAAATCAGTGCTGGGAGCTGCCTGCACTCACTCCTCTGCTTTTTCCATCTGGTTTTAAGTCACCTAATGCATCAAAATAAACACAATTTTGCCTCACCAGGCACAGTGGCTTCTCTCATAGTCACCTGATTCAATGATAGAACAAGTAGAAGGAATGAATGGACTGTTTCTTGTGCTTCTCAACTCAAGCTGACCAAGAGGCTGCCTTTGCTGTTCTCATCTCCTAAGCTCACTGTGTGTTTCATCTCCCCTCTGCTGCACTAGCATCCAAGTGCATGTGATGCTTCAGCTGCGTGTTACTCAAAGCTTCATTCTGAAGTCTGTTGAAGTTAAGAGAAACTTTTACCAGAGGAAATGTCAGTAAATAAAAACAATCTTGAAATTCTTCTAGCTTCCACATTTTCTCTACTTCCTCTCTAAAATATGTAGAAGGAAACCTATTTCTCCTTGATTATCAGGTTGTATGTCCCCAGCCCACACCATAGGACCCTTTGTTCAAAGTTTGTCCTGAACCATAATAAGAACTAAATGGCCACATGTTCATCATTTTTTTCAATTTAATGCAACAATTATCATGCTAATTCTTTGAATTAAGAACTATCAACTGGAAAACCAGACAAGAGTGAATAGAAACAACATTTCAATCTTCTCTGTACCCATAATAAATAGTCATCTCTCAGATTCTCCTATTCTGTTAATGGGGGTAACAACGTCATACACATCAGTGTTTCAGGGCCTCCAGCACATCTGGTAAGACAGTGATTTGACATTACAAGGGTTAGTGTTTTGGCTTTTCCTGACTACTAATGGATTTTCTCTTTTCTATAAGGACAGCTGCCCCTGGACACATGACAACATCGTGAATATACGTTGCTTCACTTTTTTTTTTTTTTTTTTTGCTATAGATACTTCCAAGTGATGATTCTGGCAGAAACATGACTGACAAGAAAGGCAAATCCGTATACAGGAAAACTACCACTGTCCTCTGGATGCTGGGTTAGGTGCACTGTACTCATTTGACACGCGTTGTTAGTCTGATCACTGATGTGTGGTTAGATGTTAGTGGTTTGGGAGGGGTAATGCTACTTGGCAAGTTGAATGCTCAGAAGAGCCATAGGTATGCAAGCCTCATTAACTGAAATTCATATTGTTGAGCTCCTGCATGGATTTCTATGGTTCATGTCACTTCCTAAAAAATCTGGGAAAGTTGACTGACTGAAGGCCAAGCATTCGATCCTCTTAATTACTAAGAGCTGGTCCTCAGTAATGGAATAGATATGAATATTCACTTAGGAAGCATTTATTTTTGATCTTGACGTATTTTCAAAGATCCAGTCATAGCTCTTCCAAACCAACTTTGTCTCGAGTCCTTCAGTTTTGTTTCTTCTGAGGCCTGGTGATCTCTCCAAACCAATAGCCAATGTTATGGAATTGCTAATCCCTCTTTGCAAAGTGTACGGTGACTTCACCCTTCGGGTTTGCCCACTCTTGTGACTGCTAGTCTCCCAGGGTATCCTTTACCATGGCAGTGGTATGACATCAATACAGCACCCAGTTATGAGAACTCCATCCAGCATGGCATCATTGGCAGCATATGCATGATTGGACTTCCATAGGATGAAATGATTAATTTTTAACAGTAGGCAGTTATCCCCATTCATACCCTTTACCCCTCCACTTGAGTTAGAAAAATATTTTAAGGTGTAAATACCCATTAGGTGAGTATTTTATAACTAAAGGTTATAAAGGAACTTTCTGTAGCCACAGCAGATACTACACCAGGTCTCGGGCACCAGTGTTCTTATGGGGGGAAACTGAAATCACCTTCACAGATTTCATTTTTATATAATTGTTTTGTAAATATGCATGTGTTACTTCTATATGGATATATAAATATACTTAAATAGACTTATTTAAAGATAAATATGTGTACATATACGTATATGCAGCCAATAATTTTTCAAAAATATAAATGCACCAATATGTATGTTATATACACTCAAATATGTATTTTCCCCAAATGACATCAATTTCATGGTTTTTATTGGTATTAAGTTTTAATGTTTTAAATGTTGTCTTAGTATCTCTATATATGGATTAATAAATATTCATATTTATGCCATCAATTTTAATAAAATGCATCTATCTAAATAGGTAGATGTATAAATACTGTATTGGTCAGTTTTTGCACAATAATTATTGACAATCAACCACTTAAACTCTTAGTGTCTTATTAACACTAAGTATTTATTTTCATATTCCTGAATGTTCATTTTAATAATCAGTTGGCTGATCCCAAGGCAGGGCTCAGCTGGTTGGTTCGGCTGCAGGGAATCGAGCTTGTCTCCAGCCTATGGATTGCATTTATCTGAGGCCAAGCCTGAAGGACACTGACTACTCAGGGCAGAAGATTCTCATGGCAGGTCGCAGGAGTAGACAAATCCCAAACCAAGCTGACCTGATACAATTAAGCCCGAGAATCTCTAACATAGGTACACACAACTTTAATTGATTCTTTCACTTGGTAATTATTAAAGTTTCTAAAAATGTTTACTCCATTTAAACATGAAGTTATTTGATAATTCTATGGACATATATAATTATGATTTTCAACCTTTGTAATCTTCAAAATGTTTTCAAATGCAATGTTGCATCAATTTGAAAGTAAAGCTGGGTGTGCTTTCAACATGTGACTCTCCATTGAAATTTTCTTAAATATCCTCATTGAGAAAAAAATAAATCTCTTTAGCTAAAATATCACCTAAAACATACCTTGTTAAGCTTTATGTAGATCACTTGTTACCGTGTTAAAATGAAGATTCTCTTTCAGGTAATTTGAGGTGGGCCTGCTATGTATCTTGCAAGGCACCCTCTCAGTATTGCTAAGGTGCTACTGGATTCTGGATAGTTTTGAGTAGCAGAGGACTTTCATATTAAGAGGAAAAATGCTACATCCATGTTTAGGATTTTCTCTTGTTTTCCTTTTTGTCAAGGAAAAAGGTTGTCAAACGATTGTTATAACTATCTATTTATCTTTTTGTTTTGTTTTGTTTTTTGTAGAGACAGAGTCTTCCTATGTTGCCCAGTCCAATCTCAAACTCCTAGGATGAAGCAATTCTCCTGCCTTAGCCTCTCAAAGTGCTGGGAATTACAGGCATGAGCTACCACACACAGCCTTATAATGTATTTCATACAGTTTCCTGATTTTTCTGTTTCATCTATGACTTAATGAAGTTTTCTTGCTATGAACCCAGAGTTGCTCGTAAGACGTGATAGCACATTCGAGTATATTCTGGGACAATCTGTAACTGGCAAAGTTTTGAGCCTTGTGGAAAGAGCAACCTTACTGACCTGTCAGCTGTCAATTCCCCATCGCTACTATCACTTCTGGACGCACATTTTCCAAAACTCCTTTTCTCTCTATGGTTTCTTTAGAGTTGCTTAATGAGAGGCACTCCCATGAGATTGGGAAGTCAGAGTGGTGGATTCATGTACTCTGACATCTGAAGTAAAACATGTGGAATTGTTTGTGGACTGGAGAATCACCTGGAGACGTGCTGCAGGCAGCTGAGAGCATCAGCACCCCAGCCCTCGGCTTCCCAGACAGGTCTGAGGATCATCACACGGTACTCAGCACATACCACCAGGGGCAGGTGCACTCTGACTTCTGCAGGAGCACCTGAGAATCCCCTGTCTCTAGTGGCTGCTTCACGAATAACATACCGTAGGCTTCAAAAAGACTAGTTTAGACTCTAATTTATTCAACTTGAACAATTTCTCCTTGAAATACCGAGAATAGCTTCTCTTTTGCTGTGTAAATTCCAATTATCCCATAACACAGACTCCTCAGGTGGACTTGTATCTCTTCCTTATTCAATCAGGACAGGCATTGTCACATCTTTTCTCCTGGGGATAGGGGCAAAAGAGGCTTAGAGTTCAGAGGAGCCTCCCTGGTCCCCTCTACAAAAGTCTCCCAATGACTTTCAAAACCTGACTGAGTTTGAGAAATGCTCTCAGCAGATGGAGGCACCAGGAGGAGCATCTGGGGTGGCTCGTCCTCACACATCTGCTTCCTTGGAGGTTTATGTTATGACTTGTAACACTGTGGGAGGGGTACTGTAACTCTGTTGACAGTAGTAAGTTGCAAAATCTTCAGGTTGCAGACTGCTGATGGTGAGAGTGAAATCTGTCCCAGATCCACTGCCACTGAACCTTGATGGGACCCCACTTTGCAAACTGGATGCAGCATAGATCAGGAGCTTAGGGGCTTTCCCTGGTTTCTGCTGATACCAATTTAAATAGCTGCTAATGCTCTGACTTGCCCGGCAAGTGATGGTGACTCTGTCTCCTACAGATGCAGACAGGGAGGATGGAGACTGGGTCATCTGGATGTCACATCTGGCACCTGAGATTGGAAACATAAAAACAAATATTCTTACTATTAATCATGTTATCAGAGAACTTCCCTGAAGTTCCAGTCAGTACTGAGCACACTGGCTGAGTAAATTCCTAGTGTTCTCCATCCTTACCTCGGAGCCAGAGTAGCAGGAGCCCCAGGAGCTGAGCGGGGACCCTCATGTCCATGCTGTGTCCTGACTGAGACTGACTCCTGCACAGGGTGCGACCAGCCCATAAAAAAGTCTTCAGGGCAGGGGGCTGTGCTCTGGAACATGCAAATCAATCAGCAGGGCATGGGGCAGGCTGAGCACAGCTGCAGGGCTGGCTCATCTTAGTAACTCAGCACAGGGGCAATGTCCCCAGGGTCCCAGGTCAGACCAGCGCAGCATAGATTTGCCTGGAGGGAATGTATTTCTCTCTAGAGCCGCTGTTGTGACAAGAGATATTTTGAAGGAAAAAAGTCAAACTTTAATACAAACCTAAGGACTATATGGAATAATATATTTTAGAGTTGTATTGGGAGTATACAGGAGAGTATAACCATTCGTAGGGAATGTCTAATGAAGTCTTAGAGGGTGGGTCTATCAGGCCTTCAAGTTACTTAAAGGGATGTGGAGAGTAACAATCCCTTTTGCTATAGTAACAACACCTCTGTGATTGTCACATGGTTCCCATTGTTTCATGTGAGAAAAACAGTCTTTATCAGAAGCATATTTAATACACTCCAAAGTATTTGTAGTGACCTTAAACATTTGTAATTACCAGTATATTTACAAGCAATTCCCTGCAGATGCACGATAATGATGCTGTGATTCCTCAGCGCCTGTGCCACTCATAGATCTTCCATTATCCAGAGCTATAGGTCTCTGTAATACCCAGGGTCTCAATGGGCAGCAGCTTCGTCTTGGTTTGGGGCTCCCCTTATTCTGCCCATTTTTCTGCCCTTGGGTATTATTTCCCATAGGTCATCAGTATGAAGGGTTGATTAGTAATGCTAGATCTGTTTACTTCAAAAAACATCTCTGTTTCTTCCTCCAGCTGTTGAAGCCTGAATCAGGATAAACTTGAAACTCTGGGTCAATCTAGAACCCCACATCAATTGTCTCCAAAGGAAGAAGGCCAAGGTAATGCAACTTGCCTAATGCTCTGATCTGCTTTTCCCACCATAATGTTTGTGAGTGTTCAGGTGTGGCTCTCAAAAATCATGGCTTTCTGGAAAGCAATGGGAGGGAGAGGCCCTGGGGAAAGGCCAGGTCAGTGAACACTTTCTCTTCTGTGAGGGTGGCGACCACTCAGTGCATTTCCCTGCCCTGCACCATCAAAGCCACTTTTCTCTTTAGCAGTGAGTAGGGACATCATCCTGACTCAGACGCCTGCCTCCTTGCCTCACATCCAGGAAAGAGAGTCTCCATCTCCTGTCAAGCCACCGCTCATGTACACGGAGAAATGCTTTGAAGCTGGATAAAACTTGGAAACAGATTTGAACCCCTATACCTCACATGTCTGCCTCTGCCCAGGCATCCCAGCCTGGTTGTGCAGCAAGGGAAGTGGAATCAACTACATCGACATGAGAAGACTAGAACCTGGGGAGTCCAGGGAGCATTACTCATGCATCACTAAGGGTGGGCAGACTGCTGTGGTATAGCCTGTACACAACCCCCTGCTCCTTTCCAGGGGCCTGAATTTCAAGGGCAGTTACTGGTAAACTGCTTGCTAAGATTTAGGTTCAGAGAGAAGCAGTTCTGGATTGCAATACACAATTTCGTGTGTGTGTGTGTGTGTGTGGGGGGGGTGAATATAGTTGTCACTCTTGCTACCCTTTCCCTTTTCCCTTTGCTGTACTTCTGCTGACCCCCCATGGCCATATCTTTTCCTCACTGCTCTATCTGAAGCTGGAGAAGGCAGCCCTGCCTGTACACATGGCCTATCACAGCACCTGGAATGAGCATCCTCTCGGAAAGCCCTCAATCAGTGAGGACAGGGAGGTGTATACATACCCCATCTCCCTCCCTTCTTAGGTGGAAAAATACTGAGACATTTTCCCATGTTTCCACGTGGGCTTGATCTCCATTCATCCTCTGTGGTAGCTTCTCGCTGAGGACATTTTCGGTATCGCTGCTCTCTTTCCTCTCTCACTGCCTTGTTTCCTCCTAGTGTTTACTGTGCATTATAAATATGCTGCCTGCATGGGCATCATTGTCCCTGAAAGATCCAACCTAAAACAGTGGACAAACCCTCATTCTTGGAAAGTATAGTCTGAATACTTGCCAATTCTTTTTTTTTCATGCATAGGGATATTCAGAAAATTTAGGAAACAGCTGAATTATCTAGGAAAGACAGCGTCATCAGAAGGGTCTTTATAATAGGGAGGAGTGGGGGTAACAGTCAGAGAGGAATAGGGACAATGGACAGGGATGCTTCAGTGATGGAGAAAGGGGCCAGGCAGCCCGGAACATGGGGCTATCTTTGAAGATGAAAAGCTGAGAATCAGATTCTCTCCCCTGGAACTTCCAGAAGGAATATAGAACTACGGATACCTTGATTATAAATCAGTGAGACTTCTCACTGCCAGAACTGTATGATAATAAATTTGTGTTGTATGAAACTAGTAAGATTCTGATAACTTGTTACAGCAGGAGTAGGAAACTAACACAAGGGGCAGGGGTGTCTTTTACCTCCTTAAGGGCATGGTTGCCCTCTGTTCTTCCAAATATTTTTATCTTGTCATTTTTTAGTGTCAATTTTAGCAAGACACACAGAAAATTTCACTGTGAAGATGGCTAGCACCAGAATCCTTGTTATGTGTAAACACTCTTGCATAAATCCCTTGATTAACTCTCGTACTCTCTGGATATGTGATTAACTCTTGTATCCTCTGGATATGAGAAAAGTAGGGGAATATTTGTTCATTTGTTTTCATATTGGGGGAGAAATCAGATTTACAGGACATCATTTGAGAAGGAAGGACTGGGACAGAAAGATGAGAATGGTAGAAAAGATGCAAAGTGTTCAGGGCAATGCAAGATGTGCTCTTGCCCTCGAATCTGAAAGAAAGACATTTAGTATTTGTAAAGACTTTGAGGAAGTTTTGCTTTGTAGACAAAACTGCATGAGGGCCTGAGTTTATAATTGGAGTAATCACGGTAAGGTGTAGAGGTAGCAGGGAGCTTGTGTTGAGAATTTCACACCACTCTTCTGGCTTTGTCTCTTCTTTGAATTTAAAGGCCATTCAATCGTATATGAAACAAACGTGGCCATGTGGAAGCAACATATTTAAGGTTATGCAGACCTGGGTTCCAAGCTCAGCCCTGACAATTGCTGACCACATATCTTTGGGCAAACCATCTCTGTTGAATAGTTTCAACTACGGGCTCTGATAACAGTTTACTCATCTGAAATGTATCACCAAGGGTATTAAGGGCTGTCCTGAGGGTTTCTCTAGTTGATGAAAAGACTGCTTTTCATACATATATATGTGCATATATATGTATGAAAAGACTACTTAGGGTCCCTTTTATGCGTCCTTGAGTATCTTAGAATGAAGATTCTAGATAAGATACTACTAGTCACATGTCATTTTTTTGTATTATTACACTTTAAGTTCTGGGGTACATGTGCACAACTTGCAGGTTACATAGGTGTACATGTGCCATATGGGTTTGCTGTACCCATCAACTCGTCATTTACATAAGGCATTTGTGGTCAATTTTAGAATAAGTGCGATGTGCTGCTGAGAAGAATGTATATTTTGTTGATTTGGGATGGAGAGTTCTGTAGATGTCTATTAGGTCCACTTGGTTCAGAGCTGAGTTCAAAAAGTCCTGGTTTGGTGGGTTTTTTGTTTGTTTGTTTGTTTGTTTGTTTTGGAGGCAGAGTCTTGCTCTCTTGCCCAGGCCTGAGTGCAGTGGTGTGGTCTCGGCTCACTGCAACCTCCACCTCCCGAGTTTAAGGGATTCTCCTGTCTCAGCCTCCCGAGTAGCTTGGACTACAGGCACGTGCCACCATGTCTGGCTAATTTTTTGTATTTTTCAGAATTTCTGAAAAATTTTGTATTTTTCAGATTTTTCATTGTGTTAGCCAGGATGATCTCCATCTCCTGACCTTGTGATCCACCCGCCTTGGCCTCCCAAAGTGCTGGGATTATAGGCGTGAGCCACCAAGCCCAGCCTCAGATGTCATTTTCAACTAAGAACTGTCAATATTTATTCTGTAACTAACAGATGCCCCTGTATATACTGGGTGGCTTCCTGTACAATGTTTCCATCATAAAAATCTTCTTCTAACCAATTATGTGTAACATTAGAGAAATGAAGGTGGAGAGTGCAAATCATCATACTACCTTTAGGCTGGACTTATCCTAAGCCCCATTTTTATTAGAATTCTTGGGCTGCTATAACAAATTACTAAAACTTTGGTGGCTTAAAGCAACAGAAATATATTCTCCTCCTATAGTTCTGGAGGCCATAAGTCCAGCACTAGTTTCAGGGGTCAAGAGCAGGCTGTCATCAAAGCTTCTGCAGGGACTCCAGCGGGGAGTCTACTTTTTGGCTTCTTCCAGCTTTTGGTGGCTTCAACTTTCTTTGGCTTGAGTCCACATCACTTCAATCTCTGCCACTGTCTTCAAATTGCCTTCTCTTCTGCAGACTTTGTTAAAATGTCTGTCTATGTCTATCTTATAAGGACAATCGTGATGTCCTTATAAGAGAGATAGACAGACATTTAATAAAGACAGGCCCATTTAGGGCCCACCTGGTCAATACAGGATAATCTGCCCAATTCATAATCCTTAATTTATATATGCAAAGGCCCTTTTCCTATATAAGGTATATGTATCGGCTGCATGGAATAGAACCTGAGCATTTGAGCATCATACTCAACAATAAACCATTAAAGAACATACTATCAGTGTTGGTACTATACACACATCACAGGCTCTTCTCTCTCTCTCCTCCTTTCTCTCTCTTCCTTGTGACTATAAATTTCCTCACTTCCCTAAGTGTATCCAGTGCCACCTATGTCCAGGTTAGAGCAGCACACATAGGAAGGCCTTGCTGAGGTTTTGCTTAGAGACCTGCTCTATCCCTCATTATCATTCAGAAAGAAGGACACAGCCAAAGACAGCCCTCAGCCATCTGGGGAGCAGCTGTCTTTACAGAGGACAGTCACAGGCTATCATTCTCTGGACCTCTGTTTATCTTCAGATGTCTGTGGCCCTCAGCCCTCAGTGAGGGTCTGTGTGGCAACTGATTCGAGTAGGATCCAACAGGACCCTTATCAGAACATCTGGTTCACAGAAGGCAGTGAGTATAAGGTAGGAGATCATCAGGGCTTGTATTCTGAGCACTGATCACAACACTGGTCATGACAACGCTGACCAGAACAGGATCTGGACAAAACAGGATGCACTACAGAAACTGGCCCAAACCAGCTAGAACAAAGATGGTGACAAAAACGACCTCTAGAGCACAGTGTGAGTGGATCTTCCCCTGGGGGCTCCCATCAGACAGAGTGGCAGCCATGGCTCAGTGCTGGGTGGTCATAGTATGAAACCCCCCCACGGTCTTTTCATAGCCCCCCTCTGACTGCAGTGATGTGGGATTTCTCTGTCCAACTTTCATGGCTCCAGCAGCTTCCGGGACTCTGTTCACAGTGGGAGGTCATGAAGGTAGTTAGGCTACTGATGGCCAGAGTGACGTCTGTCCAGACTCACCCCCTTGACCCAGGCAGGCATCGTGTCCAGGGAGCAGTGGGAGCCAGCAGGAGCTCAGTGTCAGCCCTTATTTCACAAGGAGCTAGGCTAGACACTGTTATTTCCCTGACTGGCTCTGCTGGTGACAGTGACCCTGTCTCCTGGAACACAGGGAGGGGCCTGGAGATGAGCACCACACAATATCCCAACTGTCATATAAGGGGGGAACAAATATGAACATCCCCAAATATTAATTGTAAGTACATACTTCATTCAGTTTGATTAAATTCTGAGAAAGCAAAATGGGCTAAAAACTTCATCTTGAAGGAAACATTCATGTTTAATGCACAGAAACTGATGATGAAGCTTGAGTCCTCCCTCTTCACCAGAGAGTTGGAAAAACAGGAGGAAGAGGAGCAAAGCTGGGACCCCATGTCCACGAGGGCCTCCTGAAGCTGATCTGCTCACAGAGGGTGGGGAAGATGGATGAGTCAGCTTCCGCTGCCACACCGTAACACGGGGCTGGATGGCTAAACCACAGAATTTAATTTTCACATTTCTGGTGCCTGGAATATCCCAGATCGACGTTCAGCAGAGTTTGTTTTCTGCTAAAGACCTTATTCCTGGTTTGTAGGTGCCACCTTCTCACCATGTCTTCACACAGCCTTTCCATGGAGGGGAAGGCGGTTAGAGAGAGAGAAGAAAAAGGAGAGGTCTCTGGATCCTACAAAATCATGAATCCTACTGGATCAGGGACACCCCCTGCCATGACCTCAATTACATCTTTAGAGGTTCTGATTTCTACAGTCACATTGAAAATTAGGGTTTCAACATGAATCTGAGGGCACAATTCAGTCCATAGCAGGTGGGACACAGCCAAGGCCGTGCTTCCAGTCTCAGGGCATGGGGCAGGTTCCCACAGCTCAGCACACGGGTGGCTCCTCCCAGGTGCCCAGGTCACAGGGAAGATTTGACTCTAACTCTAGGGCTCCCTGTTGATAATGGGACACCAGCACTCCTACTTCCCCAGTGTTCCTGAGACCATGGTGCTGTCCTTTGTTCATTGTGGAGCATGTGTGCCATCTTCAGGCAGGTCTTTGACATAGCAACTTATAGGACATTTGATTCTGTGATTGTGAAAATTAATTAATAGATTAATTAGTCATAAATAACAAATTAAACAATACATTGAATCAGAAACAAAGGAGGGCCAAATGAGGAGCTTAAAAGGAGTCTGAGTGTCTTAAAAAGACGTATTCCTTTCAAACAAGAACAGTTAGAGTCACAGATTTTTTTAACAATAACTTTTTAGTAGCAATTATGAAATAGTAAATGATAACTTCAAATAGGCTACTACAAATATAAGTTTACAGTCAAAAAATATTTTCAAGAATCATGTAAACACATTTTCAGATTAAAACAAACAAACAACGAATGTGGGTTTATCTGCAGATCCACTCACTGGAAAACTTCTCAAATGTGTGATTGAGTCAAAAGTACATTTGTCACTGATGGAAAGCTCCAGGTTTGTTTTTTTTTTTTCTGTTTTTGTTTTTAGTCTTTAGAAGAAAACAGCTTTCTCTCCACTCTGTCCCACCTCATGCTGCTGAGGATGGCTGGGCAGGCAATGACTGTGAGGAAGGAGGAAGGCTGTGTTCTCAGGGTGTTCGTGCCTCCTGCCCACCGGAGTGACCTCACGGAGCAGAGCCACCTACACCACCAAGGCCACCTGCCTGCCTCTGCACTGCCATGGCAACAGACAAAGAAACCTTGTTACATTTAGTTCACCATATTATGAGGCTTCTTTGTAATTAAATTTGATCATGCTCTGATTCTCCTTGTATCTCTCCCCTTTCAGTTTTGGGGATCATATACTTTTCACTATTTTGACTTGAGAATATATGCCTTTGGGATATCAGCATCATGTAGGTGGTATCTTTGTTTGCTTTCTCCAAAATATAACTAACTACCTTGAATGGGTTTTCATTTTATCTCCTGTCTCGCAGAAAAGCAGAAACTCAAGGTGACTAGGTGCTGTCAATCCCAGGAGGGCTAAAGGTGACGATGGCATTGCTTACCTCGTGCTCTTGCTACTTACATTTTATTTTCTTTTACTGCATTATGTAATAAAATATAGGGTCAATGATGCATTAATTAGTATTTTTCAATAACATATTGAGTGTCTCATATTTCTTAGTTTGAGAGCTCCGGTCTAATAAATATCTATGTACATTTTGCCACGCAACTTTTAAACCTAACAGAAATGACACATTGGAATTTTAATTGCACTTCCTATGGAATCTGTTATCTTGAAATAAATCATCTCAAGTATTATTTAAACCCTTAGCCTGTATCAGGATCTTGTTCTGTTGATTCAGTCTTTTGTGTCTCTACACCGTGTTATCACATGTGACAGACATCACTCATTACTCGGGTTCGTGTAAATTTATTTGGCAGAATGATCAGATCATGGATGCAGATTAGTGGTAACACAAGTGAAATACATGTTAGAAATGACTGGTTTGGAGATAGTTTTTTGCATGATAACACTTGGTCATATTGCAAAATTGCTGTCTTCCCACTTTCCAAACTTTCTCCTTTACCACTCACACGAAACTGCCCTCTCTAGCATTATGGTAGAGAAAGCACTGTTGCTTTTTTAACGAAAGCATTTCTGTTAGGTTTAAAAGTTGCATGACAAAATGTAGATAGATATTTATCAGACTGTAGCCCTCAAATTAAGGAAGCATATAAATTTAGAGCACTATTGTCAATGGAATATATTAAGAGCATAATTTTTCTATGCATTAACAACTAAAATAGAGGATTCAGATTTATTTTCAGGAATAGTATCATATAAAAATAATGCATTTATTCATTCTTTGAATCATTTTCTTATGACAACATAGCACTAAAAATTTTCTCTTTAAAATGCTATGTCAGTAAAATATTTTTAAAATTCTAAGAATTTGAGAAGGAAATAAAAATCTCATATAATTCTGCATTGTTCCTGTGGTACATTATGTAAACTTTATGTTCTCCATCTGAATTATTTTGTCTATTTTCAAAGCCCACTTTTGGAATTGGAAGAACTCTATTTTCAGTCAGCAAAAGGCAACTGAGGCAAATCAAACTATTTTGGTATTAGGATTTATATCTGTCCTGGATTTTAAAAATCCATAAGTAGTAAAAATAATTATCCTTGGCCATACTCCCATGAAAATAGCTGGTGCAGAATGCTTTTTCCACCATAATACTAGAGAGGGCAGTTTCATGTGAGTAATAAAGGAGAGAGAAAGTTTGGAAAGTGCGAAGACTTGGCTCCACCCAGGAAGCCATGCAGCAGTGCTTTCAACTCTGTGGTTCTTCACAAGTAACACATTTGGCCCCTTTTTGGATCCACATCATCAACTGCCATCACCACCACCAGCCACATCCCCACCCACCATAATCAAGGGCAGTGTAATTGAACAATAGCTGATCTCTCTTATGTTCTCTTCATGCTCCCATTCCTGCAGTCTGCCCAATCTCAAATTCTGAACTTTGGAAAATAAAACTGTTTACCTCATCCTGTATTTTCTCAGTGATCCCTGGAAAATACTACATCTTTAGTATACTGCATCTTCCAGTGTATGCATTTTATTTTTAAAACCAACTTTCAAAATTTCAAGAACTCCCTTTTTCTATCAGCAAGAGGTAATTGTAATCAAAGAGTTTTAGTATTAGGAACTTGCGTCTGCTATGAAATTACAAAATCTATTTGACACTCACAACCAAGATCTTACTGATTGTCCTCAGCCAGCTCCGCCAGAGGAGAATTAGTGAATAATCCTGTCTCTACTGTCTCATGGAGTGGAGAAGAATGGCAAACAGGAGAAGTAGGAATTTAAAAAGTGGGAAAATACCAATTTTACATATAACCAAATATTTTCTTTGAAAGGTACCCAAAACTGTTAAACCCTAAAATGTACTCAACATGTTTTGCCAGAAATAATCAGTAGTCTGGCCCTTTTGCTCAATAAATTTAAACAAATGTAGGCAAGGAAGGAGGATTCAGATGAGATTCCATTCTCCTTTCCCTATCATCCCAGTTTTTTACTCACAGGGCCCTAGAACCTCCTCATTTTCCTGTTGGTTATGAGAGTCAAGGCTGTGGCAGGTGACAGGAACATAAACAGGGGTGCTGACCTGCCACAGTGGCTCACACTGTACTGCCAGCACGTTGGGAGGCCAAGTCAGGTGGGTGGCTTGAGCCCATGATTTTGACAACAGGCTGGGCAACATGGTGAAGCACCGACTCTACAAAAAAATAGAAAAATTAGCCATGTTTAGTGGCATGCACCTGTAGTCCCAGGCAGAGTCCTCAGAAGCAAACCCTGCCCTGTATTCTCCAACAGCCTCCTCTTTTGCAGACTCAGAGACGCTGCTGACCTGCTCCCCAGACAAGCAGTGCATGTGAGCAGCTGGGGCACCACAGCAGGGAGGTTTCTGTTCAGGGCTGTACCACTGTGGAAGGAAACTCTATACGTTGCATGCAGTAATAAACTCCAACATCCTCAGCCTCCACCCTGCTGATTTTCAGTGTGAAATCAGTGCCTGACCCACTGCCACTGAACCTGTCTGGGACTCCAGAGGCCCGATAGGAAAGCGTATAGATCAGGAGCTGTGGAGACTGCCCTGGCTTCTGCAGGTACCAGTCCAAATAGGTGTTTCCATCATCACTATCCAAGAGGCTCTGACTAGACCTGCAGGAGATGGAGGCCGGCTCTCCAGGGGTGACGGGCAGGGAGAGTGGAGTCTGGGTCATCACAATATCCTCACTGGATCCTGAAATAATAACAGAGAAGTGCAAGTTTATATAGATACATTATGAGCAACTTTCATAATTTCTCTTGTGATATAAATTTACAGTTACATTTTTAAAGTTTTGATTTATATCATGAAAAGTAGACTTTCTAAAATAGACCCATTATTTATTAGCCACAAGGGAACTCTTTTTTTTCAAGTTCTTAATCAGAGCACTGGTCATCGTTCCCTGGAGGTGAATCCTGATTATTCATAAGACAAACCTGAATTC